>NC_000004.12:8490980-8797477 GCF_000001405.40 Homo sapiens
AGTGTCGACTGGTGCATTCACAAACCTTGAGCTAAACACAGGATGCTGATTGGTGTGTTTACAAACCTTGAGCTAGATACAGAGTGCCGATTGGTGTATTTACAATCCCTGAGCTAGACATAAAGGTTCTCCAAGGCCCCACCAGAGCAGCTAGATACAGAGTGTCCGATTGGTGTATTTACAATCCCTGAGCTAGAGATAAAGGTTCTCCAAGGCCCCACCAGAGCAGCTAGATACAGAGTGTCGATTGGTGCACTCACAAACCTAGAGCTAAATACAGGGTGCTGATTGGTGTGTTTACAATCCCTGAGCTAGACATAAAGACTCTCCACATCCCCACCAGACTCAGGAGCCCAGGTGGCTTCACCTAGTGGATCCCGCACCAGGGCAGCAGGTGGAGCTGCCTGCCAGTGCCACGCTGTGCGCTCGCACTCCTCAGCCCTTGGGTGGTCGATGGGACTGGGTGCCGTGGAGCAGGGGGTGGTGCTCGTCGGGGAGGCTCGGGCCGCACAGGAGCCCATGGAGTGGGTGGGAGGCTCAGGCATGGCGGGCTGCATGTCCCGAGCCCTGCCCCATGGAAAGGCAGCTAAGGCCTGGCGAGAAATCGAGCACAGCGCCGGTGGGCCGGCACTGCTGGGGGACCTAGTACACCCTCTGCAGCCGCTGGCCCGGGTGCCAAGTCCCTCACTGCCTGGGGCCAGCAGGGCTGGCCGGCTGCTCCGAGTGCAGGCCCGCCAAACCCACGCCCACCCGGAACTCCAGCTGGCCCCCAAGCGCTGCACGCAGCCCCGGTTCCCGCTCGCGCCTCTCCCTCCACACATCCCTGCAAGCTGAGGGAGCCAGCTGTGGCCTTGGCCAGCACAGAAAGGGGCTCCCACAGTGCAGCGGTGGGCTGAAGGGCTCCTCAAGTGCCGCCAAAGTGGGAGCCCAGGCAGAGGAGGCACTGAGAGCGAGCGAGGGCTGTGAGGACTGCCAGCACGCTGTCACCTCTCAACTCAGTCTCCCACATGGCGTGGCCACCCTTGTGTCTGTTAAACTCTTTCTCTACAAAAATGCCATGGTCTTTCTTTGTGCAGTGGTCAGGAAAAACCCCTTGGGCAGATACAAAAGTTCTTTCAGGCATCTGTTTCCAGAATAGCGAGGTTTCCTCCATATTGAAGATTTGCTGTGGCAAGTAAATCTCCTCCATAATCAAGCTTCCAAAACTCTTCAGCTGCCTTCACATCAGCACCCACAGACTCAGCATTCATGTTAACATTATGTAATGCATAACGATCCTCAAATCATGTAAACCACCCGGAACTGGCAGTAAATCTGATACCAAAGTCAGGTCCAGCCTTTCCTTTCAACATCAAAAACATACTTTTTGCTCTGGCCATGACCGCCGTGGTGCTGAAACCGCCTCTGCAAAAATTATAACAGAAAATTATGACCGTGAAAGGACAACTAACCTAACCGACTCCATCTTGCTTCTAATCTCCAAGCTGTCCTTGTTCATCCCCGGGCGTAGGCTCAACCTACTTTGGGAGGAACTTAGTTTACAGTGTGAAAGGAAAATAAATCTTGGGGCCCCAAAATCACTAACCCAAAGCAGAAAGTCAAGCTGGGAACTGCTTAGGGCAAACCTGCCTCTCATTCTATTCCTAAAAAAGATAGCTACTACGATTAAAAAGCTACATACCTCCCTCACAAGGAAATTCCTTGTGGACAAATGACAGAACTCAAAGCCACCTCTGCTCACTGAGATAGATGCGTCTCTGCCTGCCTCCTTTGGAAAGGCCAATCAGAAACTCAAAAGAATGCAACCGTTTGCCTCTTATCTACCTATGACCCAGAAGTCCCCTCCCTGCTTCGAGTTGTCCCACCTTTCTGGATGGAACCAATGTATACCTTACATATACTGATTGATGTCCCATGTCTCCCTAAAATGTATAAAACCAAGCTGTGCCCGACCACCTTGGGCACATGTCGTCAGGACTTCCTGAGGCTGTGTCACGGGCACACATCCTTAACTTTGGCAAAATAAACTTCCTAAATCGACTGAGACCTGTCTCAGATATTTGGGGTTCACAATGGTTTAACTTTGAAACAAAGACAATAACAACTCTTTTCCAAAACAAAGTCCCTGCCTGCCTGAGGATCAGACTGCCTTTGTAGGACTAACAAATTTGCCATGAGATTAGAAATTATGGTGTAGGAGTAATGCAGCTGGAGGTGGCGGGATTCTGAACCTCCTTAAATTGCTCCTGTGATAACCTAAGATGAGTGCTTAACATCTTTTACAGACCCTGTATTCAGTGGATCAGCTGGCACCACCCAAATAGATAAATTGGCCCATCTGGTCTTGTGGCCCCCACCCAGGAATGGACTCAGCTCAAGAGGACAGCTTCAGCTCCCTAAGATTTTATCTTGGACCCGACCAATCAGCACTCCCGACTTACTGGCCCTCTACTCACCAAGTTATCCTTAAAAACCTCAATCCCTGAGTTTTCAGAGAGACTGATTTGAATAATAATAAAACTCCGGTCTTCCACACGGCCGACTCTGCATGAATTAAGCTCTTTATTGCAAATTTCCTGTTTTGATCCATCAGCTCGGTGTAGGCAGTGGGCAAGGAGAACCCTCTGGGCAGTTACAGTGCTGAGAGGCATTCACTCCTCTGTCTGGTCTTCAGTCTATGTTGGATCCAGGCACCTCTCGACTTTCCGTTAGTCACCTTGCTCTCAGCGCAGCGGATCCTTTTGGCCTCCACTTTCCATTGGTCGCCTTGCTTTCACAGAGGCTGGCTCTTTCAGCAGCTGTCGCTTTGTCCTTGCTCATCAGGGCCACAGCTCTGGTGGAATGGGACCTGCCTGCCTGGCGAGCATAACCACCTCTGATTTTCCACCTTCATGGTCCTTAGTCACTTGTCATTTCGTTTTCAGGTCAGTCACTGGCAATAATGACTCTTACTGGTCTCTTACCAGCAACATTAGCTGTGGATCTCGTATGCTTAGGGACCATGATGAACAAACCACACGAGATTAAATCAGGCACAAGAGAAAAGTGTGCAACTGAGAGATGCAGAAAACACCAGGTGTGTGAGGCAGCTGTGGGGTGATGGGACGCACAAAGTGTGAAAGGAAAATCAATCTCGGGACCCCCAAATCACTCAGCCAAAGGGAAAAGTCAAGCTGGGAACTACATTAGGCTAACCTCCCATTCTATTCCTAAATAAGATGGCTGCATAGGTTTTAAAAAGCTGCATACCTCCCTCACAATTTGTTCCCTAGGAAATTCCTTGTGGGCCCCAAGATCTTCACCCTAAAACAGTTGTGTTAAATTTCACCCTCACAATGTAAATGGAGAGCTGATATTCACAGGTACAGGACAAAGGACAGAGCTCAAAGTCATCCCTCTGCTCACCTGAGACAAATGCATACCTGATGGCTTCCTGTGCCCTACGTTTGTTTTATCTTAGTAGAAATGCAGGTTCACTGAGCCAGACTAAGTTGTGTATTCAGTGAAAGACTGATCGAGGACTCAAAAGAACACAACTGTTTGTCTCTTAGCTACCTGTGACGTGGAAGCCCCTGCTTCCAGTGGTCCCACCTTTCCAGACCAAACCAGTGTTCATCTTACATATGTTGATTGATGTCTCATGTCTCCCTAAAAATGTATAAAAGCAAGCTGTGCCCGACCACCTTGAGTGCATGTCATCAGGACCTCCTGAGGCTGTGTTATGGGTGTGTCCTTAACCTGGGCAAAATAAACTTTCTAAATTGGTTGAGGCCTGTCTCAGATATTTTGGGTTCAAATACCCAAGGGAGGTATGAAGCTTTTTTTTTTTCTTCCAGTCTTTGCAGCTGTCTTATATAGGGATAAAATGGGAGGCAGGTTGCCTGATGCAGTTCCCAGCTTGACTCTTCCCCGTGGCTTGGTGATTGTGTTCTGGGAGCACCGTCGTAGGTGTGTTCTGTGGTGGACTGAAACATCGCGATGTAGTGCATGGTAAGCATTAAACACGGGTGAACGGTGTGCTTTCACCAGCTCCCAGCTGCTCTTTCCCAACACGGGCTTTCATCCAGGAAATGGCTGCCATGGCTGTTTGGAACCACCTGACTTGTCCACCATGAGAGTCCTCAGTCAGGGGAAGACAGAACATTTGGAGACCCCAGGTTAGGGTAGGGAGACTGTTCACACCTGGAACAGGAGGCAGCTGTGCCCCTGTCTGTTCCTCACAGTCCTGCTGCACTTGGGCAGTTTGCATCCATTGTCATAGGTAAACCCCCATGGGGTGTTAGTGACCTGATGCCATAGAGGAGAAAACTGAGGCTCAGAGAGGTTAAGTGACTTGCCCAGAATCACACAGCAACTGCCAGAGTCAGGATTTCCACGCTGGGCTGCAGCCTCCTGGCAGGGCTCTTCCCTGTGAGGCCCTTGACCAGAGGGACACTCGGGTTTTAGTCTGGGGGGCATGCCTTTGTTTTTCACCCTCCAGTCATGGTGCATGGTGGTTTCTCATTGGTGATGAAGTGGAGCTTTCAAAATGAATCCATTTCAGTAAAAAAAGTGGGTCAACTAAATACAAAATATTAACTAGGTGACAGTTTATTTGGTGCATGGAGAGGGACGACATCACAAAGGCAGCCCTCAAATTATGCAAGCTTGGAAATCACTGCCTCATATCTCCTTCCAGAATCAGGAGCAGGCAGCACCCGTGTCTCAGCGCACACCCTGTCCTTGTCTTGCACCTGATAGTGAGGCAGGAGAATCGGGTCTGGAGGCAGGGAACCTGAGGCCGATTCCTGCTGACTGGATACCAGAGGCAACCTCTTTTCAACCCCTCCTTTTTTTGCTGGCAGTTGAAACATGAAAGTACCTCTGATTGGTTCCCTCCCACAAACAATCAGACTGGTTGTGGGCCTACTCTTCACTCTGGTCCTCTCCCACAACCAATCAGACTGGTCGTGGGCGGGGCCTATTCATTCTGATTGTTTCCCTCCTGCAGCCAATCAGATGGGCCACAGGCCGCTACTTCATTTGCATAGAGTGAACCAATGAGAAACCTTCATTTGTATAGACTGAAGCAGTGGGAAACCTTCATTTGCATAGAGTGAACCAATGAGAAACCTTCATTTGCATAGAGTGAACCAATGGGAAGCTGTCATTTGCATAGAGTGAAGCAATGGGAAACCTCTAGAGGGTATTTAACCCAGAAAATTCTGTGACAGATGTTCTTGAGCCACTTGCTCAACCCTGCTCCCACTGTGGAGTGTACTTTTGTTTAAAATAAATCTCTGCTTTTACTTCCTTCCTTTGTATGATGTGTCCAATTCTTTGTTCAAAACACCAAGAACCTGGACAACTACCCTCACTCAGTAACAGTAGCCTCTGACTTTCTTGTTCTTATCCCGGCCTGCAGCAGCACCTTGGTCACCTCATCTGTTAGATGGTGGTGGAACACCTGCTGGCCAGGCTGCAGCTGAAATGGAAGGCAGGAGTGTGTGTTTGCATCTCAAGCCCGCCCCATGCAGGAGCTCAACCATGCAGTTGGGACTGTCGGTTGCTACAGGGCACTTGACAGTAGAAAGACCTCTGGGCAGTTAACCAGAGGCAGCTCCTCTAAATGAGATGCAGAGGTCCCCAAGAAGGAAAGTGAATTGCTCAGGGTCACAGAGCTGTGTGATTAATTAGAAACGCGTATTAATCTATCCTGCAGATGCAGGCGGTCACTGTGGCTCCCTCAGAGAGAGAGGACTGAGCCTCAGGGGCAGCCAGTAAATTTTCGCCTCTAGGGTAATTAGGAGTTCAGTGATTTTTTTTTTCTTTTTCTTTTTTTTTTAAAGCACGAAATGGGGTTAAATTTTTTAAATTAATTTTTAAAAATTGATTTTTAAAAGGAGTTTAGTGATTTTTAATGAAAAGAGCCCATAAGAGGCCTTTGTGATGGGGCCCTGGGCTTACCTCTCACTTATTCTGAGGCAGAAATTAAAGAAAAATAAATACTGCGTTTCTTCACTCTAAGAAAAGTAAAAGCTAAGTCCTAGAATGTGGCAAGGCAAGGGCTAAAAAGAAAAGAACAAGTGTTTTTCTATTTAGCAGCTCACTTCAAGGAGTTATAAGATAATGCTGTCTGAAAAGCCAAGGCTAAAGGAATGGGCTTTAGACAACTCTTCCTTCTCCAGAGCAAGGTTGAGGGAAAAAAAAAAAAAGAGAAAGACCAATTCCTTTACTGTTACTCCTTTCCTTAGTCTCTTAAGCATGATTATGTTTTACAAATGTCTCTATTTAGCCAGTTCTTGTTTTTCGTTTGATGCAGCTGCAAGTCCACAAGCTATGCACTATATGATTAACTGCTTTTGTTTTGCTTTTGTAAGCCAGCTTATAAAAACCCTGCTCTGGGCCGGGCACGGTGGCTCACGCCTGTAATCCTGGCACTTTGGGAGGCCGAGGCGGGTGGATCACAAGGTCAGGAGATCGAGACCATCCTAGCTAACACAGTGAGACCCCATCTCTACTAAAAATACAAAAAATTAGCTGGGTGTGGTGGCAGGCGCCTGTAGTCCCAGCTACTCAGGAGGCTGAGGCAGGAGAATTGCATGAACCCAGGAAGCGGAGCTTGCAGTGAGCTGAGATCGCGCCACTGCACTCCAGCCTGGGCGACACAGTGAGACTCCATCTCAAAAACAAACAAACAAACAAAAAAACCCTGCTCTGTCTTTGTTCAAGGCTCAGCTTTTTAGATGTGAGTCCACTGAGCTGGTGTGTACCTTAAAATAAACAATCCTCCTGTTCTCCATATCAGTCTCTTTAGTCTCTCTAGTTCTCTATTTCCCACAACATTTCAGATGCCACTCAGGTGAGAGGCAGTGAGGATTTTCCCCTCAGGGTTCTGCCCTTTGCCCACCTGAGCTACCTGCACAGCATGGTGTATGGGAGCTGTGCCACTGGGGCTGGCGTGGGGGGGGCTGGGAAAATCCCAGGGGCAGGGAGCAGGAGCTGTGCCCTCTGCTGGGCTGAGAGCATGGCCTTGCTCAGCTATGCTTCTCACTGTCCCTCCCCAGCCTCTGTGGACTCCCACCCACTCCAGTGCAAATCAGGACTCAGTGGAAGACGTCAGGAGAGTGGACATGCAGGTTTTAGAGATCCTCCCTTTGTGGGTTCCCCTTCTCCGGGGTTTTCTCCTCAATTTTCAGTAGTTTGGGCAGCTGTGAACTCCATCCCCTGACTCCTCAGGGTATGAAGATGATGACATTTTGCTTGATTTGCACCCTGTGCACTGCAGGGTCTGGCAGTTTCTTCCAGAAAGCCGAGTAAATGCAGATTCTACCTCGTGCACCTCCCTTCTTGTAGGGGTGTTCTCCTGTATTCGTCTGTTCTCAAATCACTATAAAGAAATACCCAAGACTGGGTAATTTACAAAGAAAAGAGGTTTAATTGGCTCACAGTTCTGCAGGCTGTCTAGGGAGCATGATGCTGGCATCTGCTCAGCTTCTGGGGAGGCCTCAGGAGACTTACAATCATGGCGGAAGGCAAAGGGAAAGCAGGCATGTCTCCATATGGCCAGTGCAGGAGGAAGAGAGAGAGGGGCAGCGATTTTCTTTCTCAGTGTTATGGAAAGGATGATGCCTCCTGCTGTTTACTTAGATTTGATAAAATGCGGTGTCTCCCCCTGCCAGGGTGCTGAAGGAGGGTCCCATGCTGAGACAGCCACACCTACCCAATATCCACGCCTCCCCTCATTCCCAGCTGCCTGTGTTAGCTTGGGCCACAGGTCTGGCTGATGGTCTGTGAGTAGAAGCGATGCCACTGTGCCCTGTCTGGAGATGCCAGGGGCGATGTGTTCTGGGTGGGGAGTCAGCAGATACAGGGGCAGGGGGCATGGGAGTGAACCCCACCTTTACAGTTAGAGCCACGGGGCCCTCTATATTTGTCGGGGACTGGTGGTCCCTGCGTGGTCCAGTTGCCCAGAGGAGGTACCCTTGAGCTGGAGCTTGAGAGGTAAGGGGGTCCCTCGTGGGAGGTGAGTTTGTCTTTTCCCCTCTCTGTGGTTCTGTGGCTCCAGGTGCAGCAGGGGCAGATACAGCTGCAGCAGGGGCAGCTGCAGCAGTGGCCTTCAGCCCAGGAGGAGGGGCTGGAGATTCAGTTCCCCAGGAGCTTCAGAGTGTGGCCATCAAGGAGGCCTGGGTTAGAGGTGGCCTCCTGAGATGTGGCTCTGGGTTCTAGGGTCCTGGGGCTCTGGGGTGAGCTGTGAACTCCCATCCGGCACAGGAGACTTGCCCCAACACTGTGCTGAGACACTTGCCCCATCTTCAGCCTGGGCCCCCTGCCCTGGGCCGTGTCTCTAAAGGTGACCCCAGCCCCTGAGCTGAGGTGTTGTACAAGAAAATGCAATGCTGCCAAACCGCAGCCTGCCTGGCCAAACCCTTTCCAGGAATTGTCCTCCTGCACCTGCCATACATTTCTCCATCCACGGAGCCTCAGGCCTTTGCCTTCCCTCTTCTTCAACCCTCCAATTTTGGTTTCGTCTCTATTCTCCCTTTAGAATTGAGTGTGGGGGTGGGCAGGGGTGAGGTCGTGTGTGTTGGGGCGTGTGGGGTGGGGAGGGAGGGGAGTGTCCTGAGGGTCGATTTAGTGTGTCCTGAGGGTCGATTTAGTGTCATGCCTCTTTCACCACCACCACCAAAGATGAAACCAACAATAAACTAAATACCGTGTGTTCTCATCTATAAGTGGGAACTAAATAATGAGAACAGTGGGCAGAAAGAGGGGGATCACAGACATGGGGACCTACTTGAGGGAGGAGGTTGGGAGGAGGGACGGGTTCAGAAGAAAACACAAAACTGTCAGATGCTACACTGAGTACCCGGGTGATGAAACAATCTGCACCCTGAACTCCTGAGTCAGGAGTTTACTATATAACAAACCTGCACATGTACCCTTGAACAAGAAATAAAAGCCAAAATAGAGAGAGAGCTCTCAGCCTATGGGCGCAGTGGCTCATGCCTGTAATCCCATCACTTCGGGAGGCCAAGGCAGGACGATTGCTTGAGTTCAGAAGTTCAAATCCAGCCTGGGCAACATAGCAAGACCCTGTTTCTATGAAAAAAATTAAAAATTAGCTGGGAGTGGTGGCATGTGCCTGTAGTCCTAGCTACTCTGGAGGCTGAGGCAGGGAGGACTGCTTGAGCCTAGGAGTTCCAGCCTGGGCAATGAAGTGAGACTCTGTCTCTAAAAAAATAAAAACAGCTGGGTGCGGTGGCTCATGCCTATAATCCCTGCACTTCAGGAGGCTGAGGCGGGTGGATCACCTGAGGTCAGGAGTTCGAGACCAGCCTGGCCAATATCGTGTAACCCTATCTCTACTAAAAATGCAAAAATTAGCTGGGCTTAGTGACGTGCACCCATAATCGCAGCTACTCAGGAGGCTGAGGCATAAGAGAGAATCGGTTGAACCTGGGAGGCAGAGGTTGCTGTGAGCCAAGATAATGCCACTGCACTCCAGCCTGGGCAACAGAGCGAGACTCCCTCTGGAAAAAATAAATAAATAAATAAAATAAAATAAATTAAAAGCCCTAGTCCCCTTAGTCTTAGCTGAGACTCAGCTCAGTGTGTCCTGGAACCTCTTCCCCACTCCAGGGGTCTGAATGAAGCCAGTCTTGCCACCTTTCACAAGTGTCTGGCAGGCACTGTTTACTTTTTTTTTTTTTTTGAGGCAGAGTCTCACTCTGTTGCCCAGCCTGGAGTGCAGTGGCGTTGACCTTGATTCACTACAACTTCCACCTCCTGGGTTCAAGCAATCCTTGTGCCTCAGCCTCCCGAGTAGCTGGGATTACAGGTGTGCACCAACATGCCCAGCTAAATTATTTTGTATTTTTAGTAGAGACGGAGGTTTCACCATGTTGACCAGGCTGTTCTTGAACTCCTGGCCTGAAGGGATCTGCCCTCCTTGGCCTCCCAAGGTGCTGGGAAGACAGGTGTGTTTCCTGTGATGCTGGGACCCCCACCCTGTGCTGTAGCACCCATAGATAGAACCACTTCCTCAGTGTGGGGGTGAGAACGCTTGGGAAGCACTGTATGAGGGAGCTCTGCCCTGGGCCAGAAACCCGGATGCAGCCCTGCCAGGCCCCCAGCTGTGGGGCAGGTGGTCGTGCCACTGCTCAGTGGATCCAATTGAGTGCCTACTGCATGGCCGGCAATTCCATGTGCTGGGGATAGAGTGACAGCAGAGGTGATGGCTTGTGCATGTGCAGGGCGGGAGGTGGCCTGTGGTGGAGCTGGCAGGTGGCCTGAGGGGACCCCTGGTCCATCGGGGGATGTGGGGCAGGAGAGACCCCACCCCCAGTTGGCCCCTGCAGTTCGAAGTCTGAGAGATGGTATGTAGGCTGCTGCTATTAATAGCAGCATGAGCTCTGGGACCGGATGTCCTGGGTTCAAATTCCAGCTCTGCCTCAAAAACTTGCAACCTTGGGGAAGTCACTCAACTTCCTGTGCCTCAGTTTCCTCCTGGGAAAAATGGGGATGAGGATAATCTTGGCAGAGGATTGTTGAGAAGGTTGAGTACATTTGGAGCCTAACAGCTTTAGCGGGCACTTGGCCACTGTGAGAACTCAGTGAGGGTTAGCGATTTCACACAAGGGCCTTCTCACCAGGCTCCGGCAGACGGGACATTCCTTTGCTATTTGAGATGTTTTTGGACTCTTCCTCTCCCTCTTTGCCCCTTTCCCTTTTCCTTTCCCCTTCTTCCCTTCTTTCTTCTTATGGGGAGCTAGCTGGGAGGTGCTCAGTTGGGGCCCTCAGTGACTGGAGTCTCAAGGGCTCTGCTGCCATCGGCTGTGAGCTCAGCAGCCCCTGTCCTTTCTGGGCCCCAGCCTCTCCATCCAAAAACCAGAAGGCTGCCTGGAAGGTTCCAGAAGTTGCTCTTGGTCCTGACCCCTGCCCACATCTCTCTGTTGAGAAGACTGGTGCCACTCTGGGGACAGCTGGCTTCCCGCCTCTTCCCGGGTCCCTGGGGAAGTAACTCCTCTCCCAGGAGGAGACAGACAACTGGTCCTCTGAGCAGCAGCTGAATTTTACAGAAGGGCTATTGATTGTTTTGTTCAAAGAGGGAGAATAAATTTGGTTCTGTGAGTCATAACGTGACATTCTCCAAAATGGTTCTGACCCATAAAACGGGGGCTCCTGTTGATATCAGCCCTGAAGGTTAATGGGTGTGTTTTCAGAATACTCTGCCAGGAATGACTCCAGAAACTGCCCTGAGTGCATCCATGGGAATGGTCCTCGGGACAGGCAGCCGCCATGAAATAGACACCCTGCCCTGCCTTCTTCCTGTTGGTGTTTGTTGACCACATCTGCAATCCTCTGATGAAGCAGGGGGTCAGGTGGAGGGAGAGGAAGCTTCTGAATATTTCTAATCTTCAGCTGCTTAAAAAACTACAACGAACTTAGTGGTTTCAAGGACACATATTTAGCTCATGGTGCAGTGGGTCTGAAGTGTGAGTGCAGCTTAGCAAGGTTCCCTGCTCACGGTCACATCAGGCTGCAATCACGGTACCAGCCAGGGCGTTGGTCTCAGCCGAGGCTCAGCTGGGGCAGGCTCTGCATCCACACTCACCAGGATGTTGGCAGTATTCGATTCCTTGCTGGCTGTTGGCCAGAGACTTGTTGTGCCTCAGTTTCCTCTTTGGCAAAGTGGGGTTGATTTTTCCTGGCCACAGGCCCTCTCCCAGGGCCAGCTCACACACAGCAGCACAACCAGTTATGATCTTATGCAAGGCTGTCAAGGAAGCAGTGCCATTGCCTTGGTGGATGCTATTGGTGAGACGCAGGTCCCAGGTCCCAGCTCCCAGATCCCGCTTACACTCAGGGGAGATTAATCAAAGGTGTCAGTGCCAGGAGGTGGGGAACATGGGCCACTACAGGGTCTGCCCACCACTCTCTGGATTGGCCCAAGACCACTTCTTCTTCACCCTTGAACACACAACAGACACAGGCACACACAGACTCAGCACAGGCTTGAATACCATCGGGATGAGGTAATGTCATGGGTTGAGGGGGCGTTCCCCACCCCTCACCTCCCACATGAGAGGCAGAGGCCAAGGTTTGGTTTCTGGCTGTGACCCTGGGCTGCTTTCCCACTGGGTCTCTGCTTCATTATCTGTAGAGGGAGGACTTGGACTTGGCAGGGGTTCCTGGACAATTCTCAGCCAAAGAAACCCGACCCCTTCCCCAGGCTGCAGGAGCCGCATTTAGGGGTGTTCTCCCGCTCTGCACACACACCCTTGAGGGTCTACTCCATTCACCTTGCAAGGCAAGCTGTCCCCTACAGCCCCGGAAAGGGTGGCACTCTATCCCAGCAGACCCTAGGCCGTGGCTGCAGCAGTCGGACCGGCTCAAGCATCTGCCCCGGGGAAGCAGCCTAAAGCAAGAGAATCACCCACATGGGAATCCGGACCCAGGTGTGGAGGACACTGGGCTGACAGTGTGCACAGGGCCATGCACCCACCAGCAAGGGACACAGCACTCGGTCCCAGAGGTGGCCTCTGTTGTGGCCCCAGCCTGCAGAATGATCTCAGGCAGCCACCCGGATGGAGGGTTTGGTGGAACTCCTGGGCCACATACCTCAGAGAACACAGCAAAGAGTCAGCACCCAGTAAGGTGCAGAGAACTTTCCACCCCGATGCCCACACAGGGTTCCTGCCATCAACGGGAGTCAGGTGGTCACAGGGCTTCTCTTGGGAACAGAATTCCCGTCCAGAAGCTTCCTCTTCTCTTGCTTTGGCCTGGGCCCTGGCTCCCAGTTCTGTCCTATGTCCCCGCATCTCTGGCTGTTCTTCAGTGCCCTGGTTGCTTCCCCTTCACCCTCCTAAATGTTGGAGTTCCGGAAGGCTCTGAGCCCCTCTTGTTCTTATCCTCCTGGCTAGCTTCGTCTCCAGCAAGCCCTCACACGCACCTCGGTGCCAAGGCTTGCAAACCTCAGCCTGTCCTGGCCTCGCTCCCAAGCTATGGGACAGAGCGTCTCCCCCGAGGCTCCCGAGCCTGTGGTGCCCTCTGCAGTCCCCGCACCCGTCCACACCTGCTCTCTCCTGCTCCCCCTCCAGCCTCTGAGCCTCTGAGGTTGGTGGGCATCTTGGTGGTGGCTGCTGGGAGGGTCTCAGGGCGGGGCAGGGGCTGCATCAGGGGTCTGCACTGCATGGAATGGACATGGCATGGTGTAAGCCCCTCAGCCTGAGATTCAGCACCATTTCCATGCTGCTCATGTCCCCACCTCCTCGGCTTTCCCCATGGCCCACCTAAGTCTCCTGCGCTCCTGCAGGGCTGAGCAATGGCCCCCATTCACTAAGGCAGGGAATCCCCTCTGCCCGTGCCTGCTCCCTTCCCCGCCAGGTACCCGCGCCAGCTTTACTGCCTTCCCTCTTCCTCCCGGGCCTGCGCTGCTGCCCTCCTCCCCTGGAGCTGTGCCAGCTCCAGCTTTTCAGCCAGCAGCTCCTGCCCCGCCCCACTCATTGTGTCCAGACCTGGGCTCCATGCTGACCCCCAGCGTGTACGGAGCTCCTGCCATTCCTTGGGTGTGGACCTGTGCCGAGTCTGTAGTGTGCACAGGTCCTGCCAATCCTTGGGTGTGGACCTGCGCCAAGTCTGTATCCACCTTCAATAGCTCATCTCTTCCACCCGGGAGGAAGTTCCCTTCATCCTCCCTGTGGGGAAGAGGGCACTGAAGCTTGGCAGAGCTCTTCCTGGGGTCTCAAGGGTCTGCTCCAAACCCTTGCTCTTGCCCCTGTCACAACCCAGGCACCCTGGCTGCACCTGCAAACTGCACTCCATGGTGGCAGCCCTGCCCTGCCAGTGCCAGCCCCGTCTGCCTCACCACCCCAGTCCCTGAGCTCCCTGGGGCTGAACGCCACTTCTCTGGATTCTAAATAGGCCCCCGCAGGGTACCTGTTGCTGTATCTACCACTTCCCCCAGCCTCCTGGTCTGGGTCCTGCTGATTCTGGTCATTACTCACCTTCTGCTCTACCCACCCTCCCCTGCATGCTGCCCCCAGCCGCAGAGGAATGCCCCCTCCATGTCCCACTCCCTCCACCAACAACAGCTGATCTGTCCTTTCTCCTGGCTGCGTGACCTCTCAGGAAGAGGCGGTGCTACACTGAGGGCCCTGGCAGCCTCTCTAGGTCCCTGTCCCTCACCTTTCAAAGGAGAGATAGGACAGAGGTGGCAGAAACTGGCTGGAGCAGGCTTCTGTCCGGGTGCTGCTCCGGCTGTGACTCCTCACCCCTCAGAGCTGCATCTTCCATCTGCGAACAGGAGGCTGCAGCCCCTGAGGAGGTGGCATCTCTGCCTGTGGGAAGTCAGGTGCACTGAGGCCAGATGCAGGGAGGGTGCTCCAGGCTCAAGGGTGCAGGAGGAGCCTCCTGCCCTGGGAGGCCAGCACTCAGCCCCAGCTCTGCCACCTTGACCTCCCAGCACCTCTGCAGCCCGGGCATCCTAGTCTGCAAGACGTGGTAGGGTGGATGGAGATCCCCAGGGTTCCTCCGTGGCCCTGGACAGGCAGCCGGTGTGGGGGGCATGAGTCACGCCCTGTGGGGGAAGGGGAGCAGCAAATGTGCCTGCCCTCCGCTGCACTAGCTGCACTGTTTCATGCCCATGCAACCCTAAGAGATGGGAGTCCTCACTGTCACCCTCTCATTCAGATGAGGAAGCAGAGACAGAGAGGCTGAGACACTTGCTCAAGGCCACTGATATGGTTGGGCTCTGTGTCCCCACCCAAATGTCATCTTGAATTGTAATCTGCAGGTGTTGAGGGAAGAACCTGGTGGGAGGTGATTGGATCACAGGGGCGGTTTCCCCCATGCTGTTCTGGTGATAGTGAGGGAGTTCTCATGAGGTTTGATGGTTTTGTAAGGGGCTCTTCCTCCTTCTTGCACTTCTGTCTCCTGCCACCATGTGAGATGTGCCTGCTTCCCCTTCCACCATGATTGTAAGTTTCCTGAGGACTCCCCAACCATGTGGAACTGTGAGTCAAGTAAACATCTTTGCTTTATAAATTATCCAGCCTTGGGTATTTCTTCACAGCAGTGTGAAAATGGACGAATACACACAGCAAATCACAGCACCATAGTTGGGGACGAGGGCTGTGTGGCCCTGAGTATGTGCTCCTGATGAGGACATGGGACACCAGCTAGAGAAGGGGCACTCCCTGCTCTCATGGGGACATTCACAAGGAGACCTGGTGCTCAGTGCAATGTCTGGGGACCTCCTTGAGACCAGGGCACGTGGGTGTCACAAGCTGCTGAGGGGCTGTGCCCTGCTGACACTGCTGAGGGCGCTTGGAGTGCAGAAATATTTTCAACAGAAGTGGAGCAGAAGGGATTTCTCCTAAACCCTCTGTTACCCAGAAAACGGCATGGACTGGAATTCCGCATTTCTTTAACAGTCTGTTTAGCCAGATCCTGACTCCACCAAAAACAAAGAAGCCCTCAGCCGCCTGCTGGGGTGGGAGGTAGTGACTGTCCTTCCAGCCCGGGCACCACTCCATGCTCATTGCTGATTTGGCCTCACTTAACCTTTGGTGCTGGGCTCTGCCGCATTCCAGGGTCCCTGTGTGACCTGGGCAGCCCCTTCCCCCCTCAGCCTGGGGTCCTCTCGGGCTGGGAGGTGATGGCTCTGCCCCAGGGGGAGCGGGCCAAGTGCTACGTGTGCACTTCTCTGTGGAATTCTCACCTCCTGGGCCAGCCCCTGGGCGGAAGGAGGCTGCTGGCCCCGCGTGGCCTGCCCTGTTGGAGGCTCCGCCAGAGCCCACGTCTGCAGTGCTTGGAGCCATTTCTTGGCACAAATATAAAAACAACTCCAGCTCTGCCGTGCTCCAAGTGAGAAATGCTGCTTGGTGAGCTGGGCTGGCTGGGCTGCTGGCCCTCGGTCAGCCGCCTGCAACAGGCAGGGCCACGGGAACCTCATCAGCAGAGCTTCCTGGAGGCAGCGTGGGTGGAATTGTGGAATTGTCATCAGACAGGCCTGGGATGGAGCTTCCCCACTGGAACGCAGCTGGCTGTGGACAGGGAGTCAGCTGCTGCCTGAAGGGACAAGGAGGCCTGCGACCACAGCAGGTTCCCACCTGGCCTGGGCCTGGAGGCCAGCAGGCACCTTTCAGGGCTTCCCAGCTCAGCCCCCACAGCTGGATGGAGCTGTGTTCCCTGCAGAAGTGTGGCCGGCTCCGAGCAGGCACAGGGGGCTCTTTCCCTCCACCTCAGCCCTGGCCTATGTGGGCACAGCAGAGGACGTGCTCACACCATGGGGGCCCCCGACCAGGCGAGGCCAGGGCGTGTCCACATTGGGGAAGTGAACGAAGAAGGACAAGTCTATTTGAGGGGCTGGCTGATAGTTTAGAAGCCCAGAATCGCCTGGCAGTGAATTATTCTGCTGAGTAACACTGTACCCAGAGGGATGTGGCTGAAAACCCCGGGAGGGAAGGCTGCGTGCGGGAAGCACTCCCATCCTCCCCCAGCGCCTGCTCTGGGCGTTCCGGAGCTCAGCGTGCATCCTTGCCTGTGGGTTCTGGGACCATCCTGCCATCTCCCTCCCCTTTCTTTCCCCTTTCCCCTCCTTTCCTTTCTCCTCTTTCTCCTTCTTTCTGTTTTCTTCTTTCCTGGCTGAAGCCAGAATTCATTTCTGTTACTTGCATCCAAAAAGTGTTCAAACAAGCATGCTTGCTGGGATCCTGGGTCCTGCCCCTGGTCACCTGGAGGCAGGGCTGTCGCTCCATGTACAGACAGGAGTCCAGGAAAAACTTGAGGAGACACAGCGTGTTCCGGCCCCCGCTCCTTCACCCCTGCCCCGTCCCCCAGTGACAGATCCGGCAGCAGGCAGAGCCTTGAGCCCAGAAAGCCCAGGCCCCCTGGGAAGCTTAGGTGTGGCCTCACATCTGGCAGTTTTTGCTTTGATTTGTTTTGTTTTGTTTTGTTTTGAAATGGAGTTTCGCTTTTGTTGCCCAGGCTGGAGCGTGACGGTGCAATCTTGGCTCACTGCAACCTCCAGCTCCCAGGTTCAAGTGATTCTCCTGCCTCAGCCTCCCGAGTAGCTGAGATTACAGGTGCCCACCACCATGCCCAGCTAATTTTTGTATTTGTAGTAGAGATGGGGTTTCACCATGTTGGCCAGACTGGTCTCGAACTCCTGACCTCAGGTGATCTGCCTGCCTCGGCCTCCCAGAGTGCTGGGATTACAGGCATGAGACACTATACCTGGCCTCACATCTGGCAAGTTTTACAGCTCAGGTTTCTGTGTGGGGTCCTGAGGCAGCCCCTGGGCAATTTCGTATGGCTGTGGGAGGGTGAGGAGGGACTTTCAGGACGTGACCTTGTTATTAGCAGGGGCTGCGGCTGGAGGTTGGCCTGCCGGGCCCTGAGGGTGGGTCTGGGTGCCATGGGTTGTGTCTGTTGTGTGGGTTATTGGTTGGGCCTGGGGAGCCCATGGGAGTCTCCAAGCCCCCTCCCCAAGTGACCCCCAGCCAGGCCTGGCCACCTCGTCCCCTCTGCTGGGCTGCGGAGTTGAACCTGATGTCTGCTCAGAGTCACCTCTGAGTGGTGCAGACATTCGGAAGTGTCCGTGGGACTGGATGGAAGGGACCCCATCCTCAGCCTTCATGGCCGGGGTCTGGCTGACCGACTGTGGCCATGGGGTTGCGGCGCCTTGGGCGGCAGATCCCCCATGAGTGTGAGGTGCTGGCTTCTGCACCTCCCATGAGCCCACAGACACACAAACACAACCCCGTGTTTGCTGATACATCCCAAGGCTTTGGTCTGTTGGGTTTGGGGTGAGACCCTTCCCTTCCTTTACAGATGCTCACCTGTGAAGAGGGAGAACGTCGCTGTCCGAGCAAATGTCTCTTCTGTGTCCTTGGCTGCCTTCCTCCTCCTCCTCCCGCCGCCTACTTTGGGGCCCCTTCCTCTTCTCAGCAGTGCCACTGACCAGCCCAGCCTCATGCACCATCCCGGCCGTTGCCCTGGAGGGCTGGCAGCTGGCAGGACTCAGAGAGGGCCCAGCCATCACCCCTCTCTTGAGCAGATGACAGAGTAACACTGGGAGTTACTATGGACACTGGAAAAGAGAACACAGATGCGTCGGAGATTTTGTAGTTGCAACTCTTCTCTGGTAACCAAAAAACATCAGGACATTCATTGCAAGTGCAACGCTGAGGCTTTGAAGGAACCAAAGAGATCCTTTGCAGCCCTGAGGACGGAGGGAGGGAGGGAAAAGGGAGTGGGGTGGGAGGGAGGGAGGGAGTCCACTGCAGAAAGTGGCACTGATCCCTCTGAGCCTCTCCGGCCTCATGTGTAAGATGCCAGCTGCCCCGGAGTGGCAGTGGCGAGTGAGTGGCTGTGTAAGGTGCCCAGGCAGGAGCTTGCGGGCAGCCCTGTGTGAAGTGGGCAGCCTTGGGCCGGGTTCCCTAGAAGCAGAGCTGAGATGGGGATTCTTGTTCATGCGATTGGAGGTGCTTCCTAAGAAGTTGCTCCCTGCCCCAACTCCGAGCCAGGGCAGCACTGACCATGGGCAACTTTCCCTTGCAGGGGGCACTCCCAGCTGCCGGGGAGGGGCAGTGGCCCTGAAGGGGCCTGGTCAGGACCAACAGTTTTCTTGGCAGTGGTGTGTTTGTCCCCATTTCGCAGATGAGGAAACTGAGGCTTGGAAAGACCCAGGTCCTTGCCCAGGCCCCACACCACACCCAGGAGGGGCGGCGCTGGAGTCCTGCGCCACGTCGCTGTTCTCACCAGGAGGAGGCCCTTGTTTGCTGCGTCCAGCGACCCCATCTCCATGCTGCAGGCAGGAGGACACAGCCGGGGGTGAGCCATGAGCGAGGCCTCACGGGGAAGCGAGAGCAGCGGTGTTGCCATCTGGATGTCAGACGCGCTCACTTGCTTCTGCCGCACACGGGACTCTGAGCCAGGCCTTAAGGTTTTGGCTCCCTGGGTGTGGCACCCAAGGGGGTGGCCAGGTGGGGTGGAGTGTGAGTTTGAGTGATTTGGCATCCCCGTGGAGATGATAGGGAGAATGAGTACCTGTGTCTGCAGCTGCAGAGCGAGATCCGGGCTGGACGTAGACATGGGGAGCCACACAGTGGAGGTGGCCTGCTTCTGTTTGCAGCTACAACAAATCACCAGGACCTCAGCAGTGGGAATGTCCAGACACGTGATCGGTTCTCACTGGACTTGGTTATCCAGGTCCTGTGGGCTGAAGTCTAGGCGTCGGCAGGGCTGGGTCCTCCTGGAGACTCCAGGGGAGAATCCGTTCCCTGCCTTTTCCAGCTCCTGGAAGCCTCTCGCGTTCCTGGGCTAGGGAACCTTCCTCCATCTCAGAGCCGGCCATGGGGTGTCCCCTGACCTTCCGCAGCCATGTCCCCCTTCGATGGAGCTCTGCTTCTGGCCCTCCCTCCACACTGAAGGCCCCTGTGATCACATGGCCCACCCGCCAATCCAGGTGGCCTCCCTCCAAGGTCAGCCGGTGAGCTGCCTTCATGCCTGCATGGTGTCTCTGACCCTTGGCCACGCAACCTAACATAGTCACAGGTCCTGGAGATTTGCACTGGGATATCTTGGGTGAGGGGAATTATTCTGCTGACCCCCGATGGCAACTGCAGTGGTGGGAGGGGAAGAGAACACCAGGATGTGTTCAGAGAGAGAGGCGTGGACCTCAGGGGGTGTCAGGGGAAGAGGGCCCGGGAGGGAGAAAGCATTTGGTTTAGACGTGTTGGGTGTGAGGTGCCCATGGAATAGCAGGGTGGAGCTGGTGGGGGAAGCTGGGGGGCTGCCCTGGGGCTCTAGCACATGGAGGCCAAGGAGGGAGTCGTGGGGTGGAGGGGGCACAGGGCTCCCCAAGGTCCTGGGTCTGCCTCAGGGCCGCTGCTACTCCACACCCCTCCTCCCATGCCTGAGCACCCATGGCAGTGACCAGCAGTGACCATCATCACCCAATGAGGATGGAGAGAAACTGAGGCTGGCCTGAGATGTCCTGAGGAATGAGCTGGCACCAGAGTCCCACAGGTGAAGGGTGAGCATGGATGGGCCGGGAGCATGCTCCCTGTAATTGTGCATGGCGCAGAAGGTCAGGAACGGCCTGGTGGCCCCGTGGGAGACTGGTTACTCCAATCTGGTCCAGCAGAACCCCAGGCAGCCTCGTGGCAGCGTGGGGGAAGTGTCTATGCTTAGTGATGTGGCAGATGCCCGGAGTGCCGTGAGCTTTAATAACAGTGAGTTACAGAAGTATGTGAGCCCGTTCCTGAAAACACACACAGTCTGAAAAACGTCCAGAGGGACAGGCCTGAAAATGTTAAGAGCACTGCAATCCTGGGGGTTGGTTGTGGAGGTGCTTCCCTTCTCCGTGGTGGTCTGCACTTGCAGTTTCACTGACTGGGAGTCAGAATAATGTCCCCCCTCCCCCACAAAATGCCCACCTCTTAATCTCTAAAACCTGTACTTAGGACCTTACATGGAACGGAGACTTTGCAGAAGTGATTTTGGATCTGAGATGGGGAGGTTATCCTGGCTTGGTGCTGGTCATTACCCCAAAAGACACAATCCCAAAAGCCACTATCCGGAATGTCAAAATCCTGAAAGATCAACATCCCTAAAGTCTAAAATCCCTAACATCTAATTGAATCCCTAAACCATAATGACAGATTTGGAATTCGGCTCAATCAAGGCTTCTAAAAGCACATTTCAAGTGTTAGCAATAATGTTTGTTTTTTTCCATTCAGCCCAATGCATTTGGCAAAAAAAAAAAAAACATCCAGATGAGTGGATTGGCCAGGCAGTATGGTAGTGACAAAAACTTCGATTTAAAACTGCATTATTTGCCTGCACCGGCATTTCTTCCAGCTGATGAAATTCTAGGAGAGTCCATGTCCTAAAGGATAAGAAGCAACTATTCGTTGAGATGAGAGACTTCAAAGATAGTCAATGATCGTGAAAGTCGGCCAGCCTTTCTGGACCATCTCGTGCAATTGCTCTAATCTATCCCTGCAATAGATCCCTTTAATACACTTTGTCATATGTTGAATTTTCTTTTTAGTTTTTAGTTTTCTTTTGTTGTTGTTGTTGTTTTCCCATTTTTTAAAATTATTATTATTGTGGAGACAGAGTCTCACTCTGTCACCCAGGCTGGAGTGCGGGGGTGCGATCTCGGTTCACTGCACCCTCTGCCTCCCAGGTTCAAGCAATTCTCCTGCCTCAGCCTCCTGAGTAGCTGGGGCTACAGGCACCCGCCATTATGTCTGGCTAATTTTTGTATTTTTAGTAGAGACAGGGTTTCACCATGTTGGCCAGGCTCGTCTCAAACTCCTGACCTCAAGTGATCCGCCCACCTCGGCCTCCCAAAGTGTTGGGATTACAGGCGTGAGCCACCACACCCAGGCCCATTGTTTTTAATTATCAACGTTATTTTTGTTATTCTATGTATTTCATCTTTGCATGATTTCCAGTATGGGAGGTATAAATTGTGTAAAGACGTTGAGAGTTCTAATTTGTTGTATGCATTTTTTACAAATGTGACTCTGTGAAAATGATTATCACAACATTGACTTTATGTGTAAGCGTTGTGTGTGTGCGTACATAAAATCGTCGAAACTTCCTCAATAAATGAAGAGATGTCCTTTTTGTACGCCTGAATTTATGAAAGGTAAATTTCTCGAGGTCTTGTTTCTTTGGGCAGCTGCGTGTGCAGTGCTGACCCATGAGTGTCTGATCGATCACGTCACCAGACGTAGGGTGTCCTTCATGGGTTTTCAAATGACAGCTGTTATCTCAGGAATTTCTTTATGAATGTGGTTTGTCTGCTCATCACCGAGTGTCTATGCTTGCAAAAATATGTCTGTTATTACTGCCTATTTTATTGTGTAAAGTAGCCTGTGAGATGTTCCATTGTGTTTTTGTTTCTTAAATAAATCTCCTTTAAAAATGTAAATAAACGTATTTTATTTGAGACAGAGTGTCACTCTCTCGCCCGGGCTGGAGTGCAGTGCCACAATCTCAGCTCACTGCAACCTCCGCCTCCTGGGTTCAACCAATTCTTCTGTGTCAGACTGTAATCTCAGTAGCTGGGATTACAGGTGCCCGCCACCACACCCAGATAATTTTTGCATTTTAGAGACAGGGTTTTACCATGTTGGTCAGGCTGGTCTCGAACTCCTGACTTCAGGATAAAGAAATACCTGAGACTGGGCAATTTACAAAACAAAGAGGTTTATTGGACTTACAGTTCCACATGGCTATGGAGACCTCACAATCATGGCAGAAGGCAAGGAAGAGCAAGTCACATCTTACATGGCTGGCAGCAGGCAAAAAGAGAGCTTGTGTGGAGAAACTCCCATTTTTTAGAACCATCAGATCTCATGAACTCGTTCACTATCACGAGAACAGCACAGGAAAGACTGGCCCCCATAATTCAATCACCTCCCACTGGGATCCTCCCACGACATATGGGAAATGTGGGAGTTACAAATCAAGGTGAGATTTGGATGAGGACACAGCCAAACCATATCAACCAGGAAACATAAAGTCTAATCATAAAGGTGAAAATGGATAAGTCAGACCATAATAGAATGAAAAATGTCAGCTCATCAAAAGCCACCATGGAGAATAAACAGATGTCAAAGAGCAGGAGAAGATTTTAACAGTACATAGACCTGACAAAGAATTGGAACCTAGAATATATCAAGAATCACTACAATTCAATAAGAAAACAGTAGATCAAACATAAAAATGGATAAAGGTTTTTAAAAAGACACATCACAAAAGAGCATATTCAGATCATCAATAAACATGGAAAGGTGTCTCATCTTGATCAGCCATCAGGGAAATGAGGATTGAGACCACAATGCCAGATCACTACACACCCACCAGGGTGACCAAAACCCTCCCGGCAGATACCTGCAAGTGCTGTGTGGAGCAGCCAGAACTCTTGGGTGGGGCTGGTGGGAAAGGATTGGTTCAATGCTTTGAACCACTTGGTTTGAACCCAAACCATCTAGCAGCATCAGCCACGCTGTGCCCAGGCATTCCCACTCCTGGCGAAACCCCCAACTGAAACATACACATATGTGCACCAAAGCACAGGTCCAGCCTACTGGAAGCCACCATGCACCCGTCCATAGGGAGTGGAGGCACTACACGTGTTCCACACGTGCAACAGAAGCTTAGGTGAGCAGGGAAGAGCCAGCTCTGCACAGGGCACCTGGCACATATCACTGCCAACAAGCCAAGCAGACTATGCACCCACAGGACGAGGCCTGGGCTCTGATCTTTTTTTTTTTTTTTTTTTTTGAGACAAAGTCTCGTTCTTTTGCTCAGGCTGGAGTGCAGTGGTGTGATCTCGGCTCACTGCACCCTCTGCCTTCCCATATTCGAGCCCAGTGGTGCGATCTTGGCTCACTGCAACCTCAGCCTCCTGAGTAGCTGGGATCACAGGCGCCCGCCACCATGCCCAGCTCATTTTTGTATTTTTTTTAGTAGAGATGGGGTTTCACCATGTTGGCCAGGCTGGTCTCACACTCCTGACCTCAGGTGATCCGCCCGCCTCAGCCTCCCTATGTGCTGGGATGACAGATGTGAGCCACTGCGTGCACTACCTTTTACTCAACGCTCCAGCCAGGCGAAAGCATTTGTGGGGATGGAGGGTGAAACGGTGGCTGCCCTCATCCTTTGAGGCAGTAGCAGGGGACCTCAGAGTGAGGTCATGTTCTACAGTTTCTGATCTGGGACCCAGTTGGGGGGCAGCGCTACATGGATGTGTCCACTTGATAAGAATTCACTGAGTTGAACGGTTTTGATACTTTCTCTAAAAATGTTGTACTTAACACAGTTACCTGCAAAGGCCCCCAAGCTCAGGCCCACATAGTAAGAGCAGCAGCAGTGTGGAGCACACAGGCATGTTGGGAGGAGACAGGGTGTGGAGCCGCAGAGTGATGCCTGCTCCACGTGCACTGGGCACTTGGCGGGGCACCATTCAATTTATTTATTTGTTATTATTATCTTGAGACAGAGTGTCACTCTGTCACCCAGACTGGTGTGCAGTGGCATGATCTCAGCTCACTGTAACCTCCACCTCCTGGGCTCAAGTGATCGTCCTAACTCAGCCTCCCTAGGAGCTGGGACTACAGACGTGTGCCACCATATCCAGCTAATTTTTGTATTTTTTTGTAGAGACAGGATTTCACCATGCTGCCCAGGCTGGTCTCGAAATCCTGAGCTCAAGCAATCCTCCCGCCTTGGCCTCCCAAAGTGCTGGGATTACAGGTGTGAGCCAATGCACCTGGCTTCACTTATTTATTTACCACCCAATTTGTTCTGGGTCCTGTTCTAGGCTCAGAGGAAATGGTCATGGAGGATTCGGGCTGACCACTGGGAACTCACGGTCCAGCGAAGGGCAGCGGTGAACAGCTGTCCTGGCTTTGCCCCTGCGGCAGGCCCATAGAATGACGAGAGCAGTTGGCATCCACAGCATTTCCTGAGCAGATGCTGCCCTTGCTCCCAAGCTGCTCCCAGCCTAACAGAGACAGAGGAACAGCAAGTGTCACCAGGGGCAGGGCCAGGGCTGTGGGAGCCCAGAGGAGTGCCTTACCCAACCCGAGTCGGGTGAGTCAGGAAAGGCTTTCAGGGGGATATGACCCCTGGGATGGCCTGAGGGCCATGCAGGAGGCGGGGCAGGGAGCAGAGGCTGGGCTAGGGGTTGGGGTGCTCCTGACCAAGGAGCAGGCTGGTCCCTCTGCCCAAATATTGTTCCCCAGGCACTGACACAGTTCACTCCCAGTGCCCTCAGCCTCCGCTCAAACGTTCCCTCCCCAGTGCGGGGTGACATGGGGCTGGTTCAGGGCTGTGCCCACTTGGTGAAAGTCCATCAAGCTGTCCTCTGATGACATCTGTACTTCTTCATGTCTGTTATAGTCCAATAAGAAGTGGGAAGTGCCTGAAAATATTGGAAGAGCTCGCCAGGCTTTCCACGCCTCTCTGTGACACCCTCCTTTGAGCGCCTGCATTCCTGGGAGTGAGATGGTTGTCCGTGGTCTCTCCCCCACGACAAGATGGAAGTTCTGCCCAGCTGTACGCTGGGGGTCTGAAACCGTCCCTGTAAACTTCATAAAATTAACCAGGGAAGAATAGAGGGGGGAAAACAAAAATGAACTCAGTGCGGCGCCCTCTGTGCTCGTCCCTGGGTGGCCACGCTCCAACCCACCACCTTGTGCCCATCTGCTGCTATGGCCCCAGAGTCACGCAGGCCCGGCCACAAGAGCATCGCCCCCTCGACTGCTCTGCAGACGACAGCCTGAGCACTGGGAACGTGTTTTCCCCTGAGATACCCCTTCAGGCTCTGCGTGCCAAGGACACTCCTGACACCAGCTGTCCTGAGGACCCCAGAGGAGCTGACTCGCCCAAGAACATGGTCCCAGATACTGATGACTCATCTCCCTTCCCTGACCTGACCAATCAACAAGCCTAATTCTCCAGCCCCTCACCCTTCACCATTCCCTGAAAAACCTCACCCCAGCCCAGGCTAGGTGCAGTGGCTCATGCCTGTCATCTCAGCACTTTCGGAGGTCAAGGTGGGAGGATGGCTTGAGGCCAGGAGTTCAAGACCAGCCTGGGCAACATAGTGAGACTCCATTTCTACCAAGAATAAAAAAAATTATCTGGGCTTGGTGGTGTGTGCCTGTGGACCCAGCTACTCAGGAGGCTGAGGCAGAAGAGTCTGAGTCCAAGAGATTGAAGCTGCAGTCAGCCAAGATCGCACCATTGCACTCCAGCCTGGGCAACAGAGCAAGACCCTGTCTCAAAAAACAAAAAACAAAACAACAAAAACAACACCATCACCAGCCCAGAACTCATCAGAGAGGGTTGTTAGAGTTTCACCCATCTTCTCATGAGCAATGTGGCCTTGGCAATGATGTACGGTTGTAACAATGTAACCTTGTAACAGTGTAACCTGAACAAGCTTCTTGCAGATATCTCTTCTGGCTGATTTGAAACCCCAGTGAACGATTGGTGTGCAGATGGAGCCTCATGAGGGCCATGGTCTATTGCCCAGTTCATGAGTGTCTGGGGAGAGAATGGACTTGAAAGAGGAGCTAAGGACTCAGTGCTGATTTTAACAGCCAGAGGCCTTCGCTGGACTTGGGGTTCCAGCTGCTGGGGCTGCAGCAGGCACTGGCATAGTTGTCAACAGCCCCATCAGCCAAATGAATTATTTACAAGTTTTCAAGAAAGGAGACTGCAGGCAGCTGTTGGACCAGACAGAGGATAGAAGCCTCCAGGAGAAATAGGCAGTTTTCAAGGTTTCCTGGTATAATGATTCATCCAGAAATTTATTTGAAAAATTCATTTGTATCTAGTGGTGATCATGGCACGTCAAGACAGGGCCCTCCTGAGTTTCCTGCCCCTCTTTCAGTGCCAGGGAGCAGAAGAGGGAGGGGGGCAGAGGAAGCAACAGTCATCTGGTAGGGAGCTTGATGTCTCCAGGGTTCAGGAGGGGGCAGCAGGTGTGTCCCGACTCTGTTCCTCAACCTGCCGTGTGAGGCTGGGGGAGTCGTGTCCTCTCTGGGCCCCTGAATCCTCATCTGAGACCTGCACACAGGCCACGTGGCTCTAGGGTCCTTCCAGCTTAGCTGTCCTGAGTCCCCTGACCTTGATGACTGGCTGGATGTTATGCCCTTTCAAGAAGTCTGTCTTTGGCCCCATGAGGCTGTGGCTCAGGGGAGGGTAGGGCATGCAGGAGAGAAGGCACCAGCTCTGGGGTCAGACACACCTGGCTTGGTACCCGGCCTTGCCCATGCACCTGAGTAACCTGCGCTAGGCCCTTCCTGTCCTTGCCTACACAGGGTGGGCACTCGGATGGCACCTCCTGGCTTTCAGGGAGGGAGTGTGAAGTGGGGCCAGTGGGGTAGCTTTGGGTGGGGCCCTGTGGGGTCTGCATACCCCTGGAGCTGAGTGACAGCATGAGAGGGTCACCAGCACAGCCGAGGGCCTCTCCTGCTCCACCTCCAGCCCCTCACTCAGAGAGCCCCCAAAGGCACGACTGCCGGAACCCAGTCCCTCGGCAAAGGCACGCCTGCCAGAGCCCAGTCCCTCTGGCCGGGGCAGGGCCTGACACTTTGGCATGACCAGCTTCTTCCTGCACAAGCTCTGGAAGGTCCCATTTCTCCCTGGGGTGACCCGGACTTGAGGCCACGTCAGCAGTAGGCCATGGCTGGGAGGTGCCCATTTCTCTCGAGTTTGCACGAGGCACAAACTTCTGGCGTGGACAAGAGAGGGCGGGGGCCTGGGCAACTGCTTTTGCTCTTTTGGCTGAGAAGGAAAAAGTGACTTCCAAGAACTGAGGCGCATTCTAGAATCTCTCTATTCTGAAAGTGACCTTTCTCTGAGCCGGCACTCCTAGAAGGAACTGATTCTGGCCATGCAGGCTGCAGCTGGGCATTAGGGCAGAAGGGAGGGCGGGAAGCTGCTGGGCTTCTCTTTGCCCCAGAGAGAAGCAGCAGTGAAGATGCTGGGATTTGGGGAGTGTGGGCTCTGGCCTGGACAATTGGGTACCAGGTCTCGCATGCCCCCAGCTAATATCAGGCAATTTACCTTAGCCATCCTTATGCAAAATGAGAAAGGAGCCCTCACCATGCGGGGTGGCTGGGAAATGTCAGAGGGTGTCCCCACATCCTGGGTCAAGAATAGCCTTCGGGCCGGGCGCGGTGGCTCACGCCTGTAATCCCAGCACTTTGGGAGGCCGAGGTGGGCGGATCACGAGGTCAGGAAATCAAGACCATCCTGGCTAACACGGTGAAACCCCATCTCTACTAAAAATACAAAAAATTAGCCGGGTGTGGTGGCAGGTGCCTGTAGTCCCAGCTACTCAGGAGGCTGAGGCAGGAGAATGGCGTGAACCCGGGAGGCGGAGCTTGCAGTGAGTTGAGATCGCACCACTGCACTCCAGCCTGGGTGACAGAGTGAGACTCTGTCTCAAAAAAAAAAAAAAAAAGAATGGCCTTCGATACAGGCCCTTCTCTGCTCACAGCCCCTCTGGGAGCTGCCTCTCCTCTTCTAGCTGCACCAGCCCAGCAGAGGTGTGATGGGGACTCCTGGGCTGCCCCTGTCAAATGGACAGGGGTGCGGGGAGACACAGAGGCAGCTGCAGCTTCATCTAATGTTTTCTCCCATTCTCTCTGACTCTGATCATCTGAAGGTGGGGTGGGATGTGCCATGCATGGGGTGTCATTTGCCTCGAAATCTTCTTTTCTGTCCCAGTATTATCTCAGTTGAGGAGAAGGGCAAATTGTCTGCCATCCCAGGGGCTGTCAACTCCCACCTAGTCAGTGGTGCCGTTGGGGCAGCCCCAACGCTCATGCTTCCAAGGGCCCAGAGGTCTAAGCCCAGGAGGCACTCAGTGAGTGCCTGTGGAATTAGAGTCGTTCATTCCCAGGTACCAGATGCCTCTATGCAAAATCGCACAGCCCTGCTTCTTCCAGAGTGTGCACGCGTGTCTGTGTTTGTGCATGCACTTGCGTGTGTGTGTGAGATCCCTCACTCTGGGAGATGGGAACATGAGTCAGCAGTGTCAGGTACTGAAACCCTGCTCTAGGAAGACAAAAGGAACCTTCTTGGGGTACCCCATCTGCAGCTCTGCTCTGGTCTGGGTCAGGGTGGAGCAAACCTGTGGGGTGAATGAGAGATCACTCGTGATAAGTAAGACAACACCCAGCCATGTTCTAGGGGGCTCAGTGGCACCTGGCACACTTACCCTGAGACGACTCATTCAGCTGCTTACTGGGTGGTCTTGGGTCCACCTGGTCAATCTCCCTAAATGTCATCTTCAAAGAACCAGAAGGAATGCAATGGAAGGAGCTCTGGCTACGAAGAGTGGCTGGTGTGGTTGCCCTGCTTGGCCACTAAATTTGTGAGTGACCTTGGGCCAAACACCTTTTCTCTGGGCCTCAGTTTCCCCATCTGTAGAACAGAGGAATGAAGACCATCCTCTGGGTCTTAGTTATGGAAGGTACCCTGGCTTCATTGGGTGTGGGGTTGTGCTAGGGGCAAAAGGAGGTATTAGGGATGGTGTGGCATGGGAGAGGCCCCAGGCTAAAGGCAGAAGCAGGCAGTTTAATCTGTAGGGTGGGACCCATGGGGTGCAAGTGGAATTTACCTGAGCGGACTCCAGGAAAGTTCCCTAAGGGAATAGATAAGTGGTGCTCACCCCTCCTGACCCCTGCCCTTCCCTTCTTCTTGGCTGGGATGCAGATGTAGTTATTGGAGCTCTGGCAGCCAGATTGTGACTTTGAAGATGGGCACCACATACCAAATATGTTGAAGCAGAAAGAGAGAAGCAGACAGTGTGGGGTTGTCACACTGGCCCCAGACTGCCCATCTCCTGATATCTTTTATTTTACCTGAGAGAGTAAACCTTTCATCTGCTTAAGCCACTGAATTCTGCCCTCTGTTGTATACAGTTGTACCTAGCCCTACCTTGCACTACCATCCCATGGGGCAAAACTCCATGCAGGACCTGATGGTACAAATAGAGGTGAAGACAGTGAGAATATGTTTGGGAGATTCCAGGAAGAAAGTGAAATAACTATTGGAAAAGCTAATGGAGCATGTCTGCTTGAAATATTATTACTGTTTTGTAGGAGATCCTGTTTGGGCAAAGCCCAACAATATCAAAATCAAGAATGAGAGGGATGACATCACCACAGGCCCTATAGATATTGAAAAGAAAATAGAAATAATCTGAACAACTCCATGCCAATAAATTCAACGACTTAGCTGTGATGGACAAATTTCTTGAAAGATGAAATACCAAAGATCACTCAAGAAGAAAAATATAACCTGAATAGCTCTACATCTATTAGAGAAATTGAATTTGTTGTTAAAAACTTCCCCATAAAAAAATTGAAGTCCAGGTGGTTTCACTATCAAGTTCTACCAAAAATCTAAGAAGGAAATAACCCCAATTATACCCAAGCTTTCTAGAAAATGGAAAAGGAAGGGATATTTCTCAACTCATTCTGTAAGGCCAGCATTACTCTGATGCATAAACCTGACAAAGACATTACAAGAAAATAAGCGAATACCTCTTAAGAACATAGTGCAAAAATTTTAATAAAATTTTATCAAATTGAATCTAATAATATAAAAATAGGATGATAAATTATGACCAAGGCATTTTTAGCCCAGGAATGCAAGGTTGGTTTAACATTTTAAAAGCAATCAATATAATTTACTACATTCACAAACTAATAATGAAAAACCACCTGATCATCTCCGTAGATGCAAGAAAGCTTTGACAAAATCTGACATCTATGCTTGATAAAAACTCTCAGCTTACTAGGAATAGAAGAGAACTTCTATGCTGAGCCACCATGCGCAGCATCAGCAGGCTTTTTTTGTAAAAATCAATAAATCAGTTCTAACAATCATATGAGGCCAGGCACGGTGGCTCCCACCTGTAATCCCAGCACTTTGGGAAGCTAAGGCGGGCAGATCACTTGAGGTAAGGGGTTTGAGACCAGCCTGGCCAACATGGTAAAACCCCATTTCTACTAAAAATACAAAAATTATGCAGGCATGGTGATGTGCACCTGTGATCCCAGCTACTCAGGAGGCTGAGACAGGATAATCGCTTGAATCCAGGAGGCAGAGGTTGCAGTGAGCCAAGATCACCCCACTGCACTCCAGCCTGGGTGACAGAGCAAGACTCCATCTCAGAAAAAAATAAAATAAAATAAAAAATAAACTAAACTAAACTAAAATAAAATTCATATGAAAGTGCAACGGACCTAAAGTGTCTAAAACATGTTGAAAAATAACAAAGTTGCAGGATTAACATGACTTGAAGAAGACAGGTGTTATAACACCTTTTTCTCATGACATCCTCTCAACAGCTCTAAAGGGTAGCTGGTTTTTGACAGAGTAGGAAACACATTTGGGAAAGTGACTGATTTACTCAACATCACACAGGAGTGAGTGCCAGGGGCTGAGGCTCGGGAGGGCAGGGCCGTGCTCGCCCTGCACACTTCTGCATCCTCAGCTTCTCGCTTGGTGCTGGGCACATAGCAAGGGCTTGAAAATACAAGTTGTAATAATGGTGATAGCTATTGGTCCTTGTGCACTTTCTCTTCCCAGCACTGTTCTAAGCGCTCTATTGATATCCTGACACTGTTTGGATGGAATGTGGGTGAAGGTGGTCATAGAATGCATCTTCCTCTGCCTGGTTTCCTTACCTTTCCTAAACCTTCCAGGGCACTGGACGGCCCTTGCCCTGCTCCTTGCCCTGCCTTTCGGCGGGGAGGGAGTTGTCTGCGGGGAGGACACTGTCCATGAGTATCTGCTGCTTCTCCATTCTTTGCCCCAGCTCTGGGCGTGGTCAGCTCCTTCCAGCCGCCAGGCCTGGGGAAGCCCACTTGGGGAGGTTGCGTGGCCTGTGCTGCTTGCGGCTGGGCGGTGACCTAACCCTGGTGGCATTAGGAAGTCATTGCTACACATCTGCAAATGTTCTGAACCCAGCCTTTTTTTTTCTTATTTGATAAAGGTGATATTTTATATTCATTCCTGTATGCCTGATGTCTTCATCCCTAGGTTCCAATCATAGGCAGGGTAAAAGAGAGAGTATGGTTAACTGAGATTTCACCCATGAAGGAAATCCACGTCGCATTCCTGTGGGGTGGGTGCTGAGGTTATGCTCATTTTGCAGATGGGGACATTGAAGCACAGAGAGATGAATGAATGAATGAATGAATGAATGAATGGACAGTTTGGCCCCAAAGCTCAGGGTCTTCGAAATGAGAGACTGCCTTTGACAGGAAGAGCCAGGTTTGGCCGGAGGGAGCAGGGCAGGAGCTGGGCCTGGCTTGGTCGTGAATGTTCTCGGTGGTGAGGACAGACCCTTGGACAGGAGAGCCAGAGGCCCTGACACTGTGACTGACTTGCTCTGTCGGCCTCGCCAGCTCCTTTCTCACATAATGTCGTGGCCCAGGACTTGGGTCGCTGTCCCCGAGTGGAGGGCAGGGTGGGGTCTCCATCCTCTCCCACCTCCTGCTTTTATCACAGGGCTGGACGCCGAGAGGGCCCGGGGAAACCTTGCTGAGAAAACTGATGCCTTTTAAACATTTGAAGTTGCCCGTTTTGACTTTTAGTTGGAGAGAGGACATCGAAGGCTGAGATCTCAATGCTGAGCCTGCTCAGCTATGTCCCTGGTGGGGTGACAGGCAGGCGGGGATTAGGGGGAGGCCAGGGTGGTGCCGAGGGGAGGACTCCTGTTCCCAGCAACGGCGCTGAGCTGCTTCCAACTCTGTGCCCAGCTCAGGGCTGCTGAGGGTGGCTGGAGAGTGTTTAGCCAGAATGCAACCAAGGCCTTCCCGGGCCATCTGGAGAAGTCCTCATAGAACTTGCCAGGGCTTTGTACCTTGAGCTGGGAGGGTGCCAGGTCTGATTTTCCACAGTGAAAGGAACGCCTGGAAGGGACGAGGTGGCCACGTAGACTGGAACCCCCTTTCTCTGCCAAGCCCGAGGCTGCTCTGTCTTCTCGATGTTCCTCTCCCCATCGATGGCCATAATGGCACCCTCCCTTCTTCCCGCCTTCGTCCAGGGCTGTGTACACCCAGTTCAGCAAACAAAATGCCCCACAGGCAGGCCTGGGGGCAGCCCCAGCTCCTATGCCCAGGCAGTGCTCAGTCTTGTGGGGAAGCAGCCAAGGAAAGAGGTGGCTCTCACATCTGCAAGCAGCACTGGGGCCATAATAACAATAATTTCTAAAGACCTCCTGATAGGCCAGAAAGCTTATAAAGATGATTTTACTTAATATTTGCCTCAAACTTCATGACACACATTAAAATCTTTGTTTTGTCTTTGTAGACAAGGAAACTGAGCTTGGAGGAGTCAAGGAATGTGCCCAAAGTCACACAGCTATAAGAGAAACAGCTCCAGCCTCTGACGGCTGATCCCAGGGGGTTGGATGGCTTGTCCACTTATCTTCTGCTGTTGACAGATGGGAACAGAGAGCTAGTGGGAGCCCAGAGGAGGCACCAAACTTGGGCATTCCTGGAGGCCTGAGCACACCACTGGGTACTGAGGAATGAACAGGAGTTGGCCAGCGGAGGAGGTGAGGGAGAGCACACCAGGTTCCTCGCCAGACAGTGGCTGTGGCTTTTCCATGTCATTTGGTGTAGAAAGGGCAGTTACTTTGAGAAATAGGGCTGGAGTCATAGCCTGTCTGTACGGACAATGAAAACGTTTCAGCTCTATTTTACGCCACGCATAAAAACAAACCTGAGGTGGATCAGGGATCTAAACGTGAAAAGCAAAACTCAAAAATGTTAAGAAGGGTTGGGCGCGGTGGCTCACGCCTGTAATCCTAACACTTTGGAGGGCCAAGACAGGCAGGTCACTTGAGCCCAGGAGTTCAAGACCAGCCTGGCCAACATGGTGAAACCCTATCTCTACCAAAAATACAAAATCAGCCAGGTGTGGTGGTGCACACCTGTAGTCCTGGCTACTCGGGAGGCTGAGATAGGAGAATTGCTTGAACCCAGAAGGCAGAGGCTGCAGTGAGCCGAGATCACGCCACTGCACTCCAGCCTGTGCAGCGGGTAACAGAGTGAGACTCCATCTCAAAAAAAAAAAAAAAAAAAAAAAAAAGAGAGAATGATTTCTCAACTGGGACATGAAGAGTTCAAGCCATAAAGGATTTTATATACTCTGCGTGCAGAATCGTGCCACAAGGAAGGTGCAAAGACAAACCACAGATGGGAGAATGCTTCCCACACAGGAACCGGAGGACTGGCATCCAAACCCACACCACACTTCCAGAGATCAGCGAGGAAAAGACAGCTCCATCCCTGCACTTGTCCCTCCGTGCACTCATTCCTGGCTCACACTCTCAGGCGCTGATTCCTCCTGCCGTTCCTTTACCAGGACACCCTGTCCTGGGGGGCTGGGTATGTGGGGTTGAATGGGATGTGGTGACCTTGCTGGAGTGGGCCCTTTGGCCACAGAGCTAAGGGGCCCCTACAGGGTGACACAGCACAGTTGACAGATTGGGGTCTGTCTGCAAAATGTTTGTTCCAGGCCCACAACAAGTACAGAAATCAGAGTATTTGGAGACTTTCTTGTGGTCTGGCCTTGCGGTATCACCCGGGCACATCCCTGGGAGATGGCTCACCTGGCTGGAGCGTGTGCACACACCTGTTCATGCAGTGAGTCTCGTGTGCTAGTCACACTCAGAAGGACTGCAGATGGCCTAGGGTAGGTTAGTTCTTCCCACAGATGGCTGGACATGTGCTGGCCCAAGGAACCCCGCTGGGAGAAGGGGTGGTGGTCAGGGGGCCTTCCTGGAAGAGGTGTTTCCAGGGTGACATGAGCTTCAGATTCCACCTCCTGGAGCCCCATCACCCTGGTCTCCCTGGCATGGGGGTTGAAAGCTCACAGCTTCTCATGGAGACCCCTCAGGGAGACCCACTCAAAAGACCTCCCAGTGAACCTCAGGAGTTTCTGGGCCTCAGGGGAGGCCAAGGGCGTAGAGAAGCAGGATTGGAGGAAGATGCATTTCAAAGGAGGCCCAAGAATTTGCAGCTTGGGAAATATTCCTGGAAAAGTTCAATGGGGCAACTTGTGGAATTCCAAATATTCCAAGTTTACAAGAAATGAAAATTTATGTTCCTGGGCCATGAGGGCCGAGGAGGCCTCTGGAGATCAGCTTGCCTAGGCTCTCGTTTTAGGGGCAAAACTGCCGGCTCCAGAGGGGCAGCTCTGCGGTGAGGCGGTGAGCCTGGGCACTTCTGGGGAGCATGTGGGCCGGTGTCGGGGGATGAAGGGGGCTGCGGCAGAACCAGGCACCCAGTGGTGTGGATCCGGGAGCCGAGCCTCAAGACGGGAAGCATTTGGGACAGGTTCTGTGGGCCTCGCTCCCCATCCCCGCTGCTTGGGCAGAATTGCATCATCTGTGTGTGGCCATCCTGCTGGGCTGCCATCTCCTGGCTGGCTGGGGGTGGCCTTTCTTCTTTACACCCCAGGCCAGCATAGTGGGTGGCTCGCAGGAGGCTGCAAGAATAAATAAATACCACATGCCCTCCACTCCTGGACACCACCCACTGCAAGACGTGGTGGCATCATCTCCACATCACTAAGAGGAAAAACTGCTGCCAAATAAAGCATGTGTGGCGCTTTTCCTTCTGCCACCAGCTGACAATCTGAGGACATTGTAAATGGCAATGAAACATCACTCATGCGTTGCCAAAAGTGCATGGGACTTGCCGGCCGATGACAGGCTCAAGTGTGAGGGTGCTGGGTGCAGCCCATCTCAGAGACGGGAAGTGGGAGAGTCAGTCGATGAGCTGGGATCTTTACGTCTCTTTATTTCTGTATCTTCATGTCTTATTTCTACTTTCATAGCTAAGGAAACCGAGGCACGGGGAGAGCCTGTGGCTGCTCTAGGTCATCCAGTTTGAGGGGGAAATGCTTGGGTATGAGCTCCCTCCCAGGACCCAGCGTGGTGCCCACACATCATGGATCCAGGGTGGTATTTGGAGAGACTGGGACTCCCTTGGGAACCCAGCTCCCTGGCGGTGCCCTCGAGAAAGGGACCTGTGCTCCCTCCAGCCTCCTTATTCAGCGCAGGCAAGGCCCTCCCGCAGCCCAGGCCTCAGGGGTAAAGCGAGGTTGTCCAGGTAGATGAGGTGTGTGCAGGAAAAGCTGAATGTGGGAGGCAGAGAACCTGCCCTGCCATGGACAGCCACACGTGGTTGCGTGTTGGGCACTCTCCTCTTCGTGCCTCCAGGGGCCCCTCTGCCCTCACTGGGGAGTGGACTTCTGCTCACCTATTCACCCAGTGGATGTGAAGGATGCACTGGGAAATGGTGGAACTGGGCTCTGTGAGCGGCAAAGTCCTCCGCGTATGGAGTGTGTTTTGTGAAAACAAAATCCTAGCATCCTAGCCGTGATGATCTTCCACCTTCTCTCAATCCAGGGTCCCCAGGATGTCTTTTCCTGAGCTGAGGTTGAAAAATAATTTTTTTAAAATTTGTATATTTTACTTTTTAGATTCTCATGCTGTCAACGTATCTTTTTCGGTGCACAGAGTTATGAATTTTAACAGGTGTATGGATTTGTGTGACCCCCCCCCCCACTGCAGTGAGGACGCAGAACCGCTTAGTCGCCCCAGAGAAACTCCCCATGCCACCCCTTGTCATCCAGCAACGGGTGACCTGCTCTCTGTCACTTTAGCTTTGCCTTATTGAGAATGCCACATGGCTGGGCAGGGAGGCTCACACCTGTAGTCCCAGTGCTTTGGGAGGCCGAAGCAGGTGGATCCCTTAAGCCCAGGAGTTTGAGATCAGCCTGGGCAACATAGTGAGACCCTGTCTCAGTGAAAACAAAAAAGAACAAGAGAATGCGGTGTACATGGAAACCCTCTGACAGAGACTTTAGAGCCGCTGTTACAGGAGTGCTCCAGGTAGCAGGGCTGTGAGCTTGGCATTGCTGCCCATGCCAAGGGCCCTTCCTTTTCCGTGCTGAGCAGCATCTGTGTGGGCTGTAGGTGTTGCCTACTTTGTTCATCTATTTACCTACCTGTTTGGTTTGTTTCCAGTTTATGTCTTTTGCCACATATGGGACATTTTCAGCCATTATTTCTTTCAATATCTTTTTTTCTGCATCAACCACTTCCTCTTCAGCTTCTGAGACTCTGATGAGCACAAACTTTGGATGTTTTATTGTGATCCCATACGTCTTTGTTTATTTTTTAATTGTATTTTTAATTGAGATGTAGTTCTCCTGACATCAAAGTCACTCTTTTATCCATTTTAAAGTGTCCGCGGGTTTTGGTAAATTCTGTGTTGTGCAACCATCATCACTCCCCAGTTCCCGGGCAGCTCCACCACCCCAAAGGGAAAGCCTGTGCCAATCATCGGTCCTCCCCAGGCCTTCCTCCCCCATCCCACCCCCAGCAACCACTCAACTATTTCCGTCTCTGTGGATTTGCTTTTTCTGGACATTTCATATAAATGGAATAATAGATGTGGCCTTTTGTGTCTGGTTTCTGTCACTTAACATGCTTTTACACGTGTTCATCCATGCTGTGAAATGTATCAGTACTTCTTTCTTTTTATGGTTGAATAATGTTCCATTGTATGAATATGAACATGCTATAATTTTTATTTTTATTTTATTTTATTGAGACAGGGTCTTGCTTTGTCACCTAGGCTGGAGTGCAGTGGCACAATCATAGCTCACGCAGCCTCCACTTCCTGGGATCCCAGGATCTTCCTGCCTCAGCCTCTCGAGTAGCTGGGACTACAGGCACATACCACCACACCCAGCTAAGTTTTGTATTTTCAGTAGAGATGGAGTTTTGCCATATTGGTCAGGCTGGTCTTGAACACCTGGCCTCAAGTGATCTGCCCACCTCAGCCTCCCAAAGCGCTGGGACTAGAGGCATGCACCACCATGCCTGGCTAATTTTTGTATTTTTGTAGAGACAGGGTCTTACTATGTTGCCCAGGCTGGTCTCAAACTCCTGATCTCAAGCAATCTTCTCACGTTAGCCTCCCAAAGTGCTGGGATTACAGGCGTGGGCCACTGCGCCCAGCCACATACAACAATTTTTTATCTGTTCATTAGTTGGTGGACATTTGTTTCCATTTTTTAGCTATTTTGACTATCAACATTTGTACACAAGTTTTTGTGTAAACATGTTTTCAATTCTCTTGAACACCTAGGAGTAGAATTGCTAGGACATCACACGACTCTATGTTTAAGTTTTTGAGGAACTACCAGTCTGTTTTCCATACTAGGTGCATAATTTTAAATTCCCACCAGCAGTGTATGAGAGTTCCAACCTCTCTATATCCTTGGCAACACTTGTTTTCTGGTTTTAGTTACAGCTGTCTTAATAGATGTGAAGTGGTATTTCACTGTGGTCTTGATTTGTGTTTCCCTAATGACTCATGACCATGAACATCTTTTCATGTGCTGTCTTAGTCTGTTCCTATGGCTACAACAGAATACCTAAGACTGGGTAATTTACAAACAATAGAAATGTATTTATCACAGTTCTAGGGAATGAGGAATATAAGATCAGGGTACTGGGAGAGTTGGTGTCTGGTGAGGGCCCACTGTCTGCATCAAAGATGGTACCTTCTTGCTGTGTCCTCACATGGCAGAAGAGGTGGATGGAACAAATCTGCCACTCAAACCCTTTTTATAAGGAAATTAATCCAATTCATGAGAACAGAGGACCCCCCAAAGAGCCCATCTCTTAAGACCACAATCTTGGAGGTTAAATTTCCACATATGAATTTGGCAGGGACATCAACATTCAGGCCATAGGGCGTGGTTACTGGCCATTTGCAGATCTTCTTTAGGGAAATGTCTACTCAGATCCTTTCCTCATGTTTTAATTGGGTTATTTGTCCTTTTTTTGTTTACTTGTGAAAGCTCTTTATATATTCTGGACACTAGACCCTTATCAGATATATGATTTGTAAACATTTTATCCCATTCTGTGTGTTCTTGTTTCACTTTCTTGAGAATGTCCTTTGCAGCAAAAGTTTTACATTTTGATAAAGTTCAATTTAAATTTTTCTTTTGTTGCTTTTGGTTTAATATCCGAGAAACTTGCCTGATCTAAGGTCACAAAGATTTACACCTATATTTCTTTCTAAGAGTTTTATAGTTTTAACTGTTACATTTAGGACTTGAGAGTTGTGAGTTCAACTTTGTACGTGATGTGAGGTAGGGATCCACATTCATTCTTCTTTGCATATGAGTGTCCTATTGTTCCATCACCATTTGTTAAAAAAAGATTTTTTCCTTATGAAATGATCTTGTTACCCTTGTCAAAATCATTTGAGCATAGCTGTATGGGTTTCTTTCTGGACTCTCAATTTTGTTGCCCAGGCTGGAGTGCAGTGGCTCAACCTCCAAGGCTCAAGCAGTCCTACAAACCTCAGCCTCCTGAGGAGCTAGAACTACAGGTGTGCACCACCACACCCAGCTAATTTTTTTTTTGAGACAGTCTTGCTCTGTTGCCCAGGTTGGAGTGAAGTGGCATGATCTCAGCTCACTGCAACCTCCACCTCCTGGGTTCAAGTGATTCTCCTACCTCAGCCTCCCGAGTAGCTGGGATTACAGATGTGCATCACTATGTTGGCTAATTTTTGTATTTTTTGTAGAGGCAGGATTTCACCATGTTGCCCAGGCTGGTCTCAAACTCCTGAGCTCAAGCAGTCCACCTGCCTTGGCCTCCCAAAGTGCTGGGATTACAGGTGTGAGCCACCACACTTGGCCCCAATGTTGTTCTTTTTTAAAGATTGTTTGGCTATTGGGCTTCGTTGCAATTTCACATGAATTTTAGCATCAGCTTATTCATTCTGTGCAACACACCATTGGAATTTTGATAGGAACCACACTGACTCTGTAGGCTGGTTTGAGGAGTATGGGCATCCTAATAAGTCTAGTCTTCTAATCTATGAATACAGAGTACCTTTCCATTTATTTAACTCTCCTTTAATTTCTTTCAACAATGTTTTGTAGTTTTCAGCGAATAAGTCTTGCACTTCTTTGGTTAAATTTATTGAGTATTTTATTCTTTTTGATGGTATTGATGCTATTTTTTTCTCAATTCCACTTTTGGGTTGTGTGTTGCTTGTGTACAGGAATCCTACTGACTTCATATATTGATCTTGCATCCTGCAAAATTGCTCAGCTGTTTATTGGCTCTAATACGATTTTTTGTAGCTTTTATAGGATTTTCTACATATAAGCTTGTGTCATCTCCAAATTGAGAGTTTTACTTCTCCCTTTACAATCTGCATGTCTTCTAATTATTTTTCTTGCCTAATTGCCCTTGCTAGGACCTCTAGTCAGTGTAAACCAAACTGAGAATGGGTGCCTTGCTTTCTACTTGCTCTCACTGGGAGAGCACCCAGTCTTTCACCATAGGGTACAAGTTAGTTGTGGATGTTTTGCAGACACTCTGTCAGGTTGGGGATGCTGCCTTCTATCCCTAGTTTGTTAAGAATTTTTATCAAGAATGGGCATTGGTGGCTGGGTGCGGTGGCTTACGCCTGTAATCCCAGCACTTTGGGAAGCTGAGGTGGGTGGACCACTTGAGATCAGGAGTTTGAGACCAGCCTGGCCAACATGGTGAAACCCTGTCTCTACTGAAAATACAAAAAATTAGTCAGGCATGGTGGTGTGCGCCTGTAATCCCAGCTACTTGGGAGGCTGAGATGGGAGAATTGCTTGAACCTGGTAGGCAGAGGTTTCAGTGAACCGAGATTGCACCATTGAACTCCAGCTTGGGCAACAAGAGCAAAACTCTATCTCAAATAATAATAATAATAATAATAATAATAATAATAATAATAATAATGAAGGGCAATTGGATTTTGTGTTCATTTTTAAATATTTTCTTCACTGCTGTTCATGTTGAATAATTGTATTGCTTTAGCTTTCTTTTCTTTTCTTTTTTTTTTTTTAAAGGGACAGTGCCCTGCTCTGTTGCCCAGGCTAGAGCACAGTGGCACAATCATAGCTTACTACAGCCTGGAACTTCTGGGATCAAGCGATTCTCCTGCCACAGCTTCCAGAGTAGCTGGGTCTACAGGTATACACCACTATACCAGGCTAATTTTTTTATTTTTATTTTTATTTTTATTTTGTAGAGATAGGGTCTTGCTGTGTTTCCCAGGCTGGTCTTAAACTCCTGGCCTTAAGCATCCTCCCACCTCAGCCTCTTGACGTATTGGGGTTGCAGGCATGAACCATCATGGCTGGCCCATTGGTCTATCTTCAAGTTCACTCACCCGTTCCCGTGTCATTTTTGTTCTACTATTGAGCCCATACAGTGGGCTTTCACATTTCTGATTACTTCATTTGAAAGTTCTGCATTTTTCATGTGGTTCTTTGTAGCTTCTGTTTCTTTGCTGACATCTCCTATCTTTCCTCTGAACTCAATAGTGTTCACCTCTTCCTCTTGGATTACTTCTGCAACACTTGCTTTAAAGTTTTCATAAGCGAATTCCAACATCCGGGTCATCCAGGTATTGGCGGCTGTTGATTGTCTTTTCCACATGAGCTGAGGGTTTCCTGGGACTTCCTGGGCCACATCATTATGGGTTACATGGTGGACATTTAAAATTTTATGTTGTTAGGCTGGGCAGTGGCTCATGCCTGTAATCCCAGCATTTTGGGATCTTAGGAGGCCAACGTGGACGGATCACCTGAGGTGCAAGGCTATTTCAAAATATGTCAAATAAATATATTTTGGGGTAAAACGCTTCAATTTCTTTCAGGGCCTGCTATCTGTCGTGTGATGCTGTACTAGAGTCCGGCTGGAATTTGATGCCTTGTTGCTACAAAAAGTCTGAAGGTCTCCTCTGTTTTAATGTTAATGCTGGTCAGCTGTGCCTGAATTCCAAAGGGGGGAGGGTAAAATGAAGCATGTCTGACCCCGCTTCCCATCACGGCCTGAACTGGTTTTTCAGGTTAACTTTGGAATGCCCTGTCCTCTCTTGGCAGAGAGGAGAGGCCCATTCAGTCAGTTGAGGGGCTTAACATTTAATTTTTAGTTTACATCATCCAGTGTGACCTAGGGCCACACCCCAAGATGGCAGAGTCCCCACAACCTGAATCCCTAAATGACTGAGTGGAGCAGAGCACCCTGCCCCCACCACCAGGAACATCAGCACTGGGGTGGGGGTGAGGGGAGGTGGGAGATAAATGTTCATCACATGAAGCTGCTGAAGTTTGGGGTATTTTTTGTTATATTATTCCAACCAAGTCACTGGCCATTCATTACAAAAAACATTTATAAAGAAAGAATAAAATATGAAAAGGAAGGAAGAAGAAAAAAGTAAAGTAAGCCTTAGTTAATCTTTTAGGTAATCTGTCAGGAATAGACATCGAAATAAAGATTTTAGTGTCTGGGCACAGGGGCACACATCTGAAATCCCAGCATTTTGGGGGCTGAGGACGGTGGATCACCTGAGGTCAGGAGTTCGAGACCAGCCTGGGGAACATGGCAAAACCCTGTCTCTACTAAAAATACAAAAAATTAGCTGGGCGTGGTGGCACATGCCTGTCATCCCAGCTACTCAGGAGGCTGAGGCAGGAGAATTGCTTGAACCCGGGAGGCCGAGGTTGCAGTGAACCAAGGTCATACCACTGTAGTCCAGTCTGGGCAATGTAGCGAGATCCTGTCTCAAAAAAAAAAATAAAATAAAATAAAATAAGGGAAATGTTGTGTTAATGTTAAATCAGCTCAATGTGTGTTAATGTTAAATCAGCTCAATGTGCTGAAATAAATTTGAAATTACATATCAAAGTGATAAACTGAAAAAAGGAGATAACCACACAAAACTTTGGGTAAAAATCAATGATTCCATGAATGTAAAAAGCATGAGAAAGCAAGAACAAGAATAAAAAGTGAAAATCCAGAGGCAGAACCTTAAACAACTGGAGGGCAGGTGCAGACATGAAAGTGAGAGGGGCAGGTGGGTCATTCCTGGAAGCACTGAGCATAAACCAGTGTCTGAACAACAGAAAAACCACCAATAGCAGATTTTCTTCTCTTCTCTTATTTTTATTTTTTATTTTTTTTGAGACAAGGTTTTGCTCTGTCACCCAGGCTGGAGTGCAGTGGTGCAATCTTGGATCACTGCAGCCTTGACATCCTGGGCTCAAGTGATCCTCCCGCATTGGCCTCCTGAGCAGCTGGGACTACAGGTGAGCACCACTACGCTTGGCTAATTTTTGTATGTTTTGTAGGGACAGGATTTTACTATGTTTCCCAGGCTGGTGTCAAACTCCTGGGCTCAAGTGATCCACTTGCCTCTGCCTCCCAAAGTGCTGGGATTACAGGTGTGCACCACCATGCCCCATCAATAGCATATTTTCAAAGAATTAAATGAAAGATCCAGGGTAAAGGGAAATAAGAAAGGAACACCAACAGCAGCAGGGGTGGAAGACCTGAACTAGAAGGTGAAATAGACAGACTGTGTCTACGCCAAAAAAAGAAAACAGCTCGCACCCTCTTCATGAAGGCAACAGCACCTTTTATATACAGTCACTGGAGCCATACCAGGACGCAGGGACATGGAGTCAAAGTGTCCTCTGGGAGGCCATAGCCCGTCACCACAGCAGGATGGGTTTGCTTGGTCCTTAGCTGGCTAGTGGCCTCAGGCAGGGGTGGAAGGAGGCAGGGCTGGCTCGGCCATAGACGAACAGGGCCCTAGGCTTGGGGTTTAGTGCCCTGGAGTTGGCAGTTTATCTTTGAATCTGTGTCTTGTGTGTAAAGTCTAAGGGAGAGTGGAGCATGTGCTGGGGACTTGGAGCCTGTAAACTGAAACTAAAATTCTAAGCTCCCCAGCTGACTGAATGGTCCCTCCTCTTGGCCAGGGGAATTCCAACGTAAACCTGAAAAACTAGTTCAGGCCAAGATAGAAGTGGGTTGGACACGCCTCATTATACCCCCTCCCTTTGGAGTTTCAACATGACTGACCAGCATTAACATGAAAACAGAGATCCTGAGGCTGACCAAACAGACTCCTTGTAGCAATAAGATACCAAATTCCAACCTGACTCTAGTATAGCATCACATGACAGATAGCAGGCCCTGAAAGAGATCGAAGCAGTTTACCCCCAGAATGTACCTATGTTGAAATGGCCCTGCAAATTTGTCTCTTACTGGGAAAACCTACAGTCTGTAGAGAATCCTTTTCCCTTTCCAGTCTTTTCCTGATCCAGGAGAGAGTTAACTAAGGAGAGTCTGACACATAACAGGAACCTTGGCTTCCACATTCCCCCTTCTCTTAACAACAAACATTTCCTTCTGTTGACTTCAACTTTTCAGGCAGAGCTTAACCCTGTCAGCCACTTGCCATCAGGAAATCTCTAAATCCACCTATGACCTGTGTATTTGTCTGTTTTCACACGGCTATAAAGAAATATTCAAGACTGGGTAATTTATAAAGGAAGGACGTTTAATTGGCTCACAACTCCACATGGCTTGGGAAGCCTCAGGAAACTTACAATCATGGTCAAAGGTGAAGGGGAAGCAAGGGCCTTCTTCACATGGCGGCAGGAGAGAGAAGGGTGTGTGAAGGAGGAACTGTCAAACACTTATAAAACCATCAGATCTTATGAGAACTCCCTCACTGTCGTGAGAACAGCATGGGGGAAACCATCCCCATGATCCATTCACCTCCCACCTGGTCCCTCCTTAGACACATGGGAATTAATTATGGGGATTACAATTCAAGATGACATTTGGGTGGGGACACAGAGCCAAACCATATCAAGCTGGAAGCCCCTACTTCAAGATGTCCCACCTTTCTAGGCTGAACCAATGTGCACCTTACGTGTATTGATTTTTGTCTCTGCCTGTAATTTCTCTCCTTCTAAAATATGTAAAATCAAGCTGTAACCCAACCGCCTCGGGCACCTGTTCTCAGGACCTCCTGAGACTGTGCCTTTGGCCATGGTCACTCATAGTTGGCTCAGAATAAATCCCTTCACATATTTTACACAGTTTGACTCTTTTTTATTGCCAAGCCTCTGTTTATAGGTTGATACTTGTCCCATGCCTCCTGCCCTCACCTGACAATCACTGCTGCCCTCTGCCCTGGGGCCTGGGTTCAGGGGCAGGGAAGTCAGAGTTGGGATCAGGTGCCTGGCATGTTGAATTGCACAGCAGGGTCCTGAGTTCCTGTCTGCATCTGTCCTCACCCTGTAAGCATCCATGTCCAAGGGAGAGTGACATCAAATAGCAAATTAAAACACCATGACAACTTTAGAGAGAGAGAGAGAGAGATAACTCTGAAGGAAGGATAAAGATTTCCTCCTGCTTTTTGAACAGGAGGCTGTGTGTTTTCATTTTGCCCAGGGTTCTGGGCCTACAGGAAGGCCCCCGAGAGAGCTCTTACAGGAAGCCCCCTGGGTTTTCTCTCCTCCCTTGACTGAGCTCCCCACTGCAGACCCCAGCCAAAGGACCATGGCTGGCCAAAACCAAGGTCCCAGCAATTCAGCAGCAGCCCTGGCAGGCCCTGGCGGGTGATGCCAGCTGGCTCGGCTGCTTCTTCCAGGGATGTGTCTGTATTTTGTCATCCCTCTAGACCATGCACTCTTGGAGACTAAAGACCACGACTCTTAGCCATTTATTCTGCAAGTGTGTGTTAAGCAGCTTCTTTGGGGCAAGCCCTGTGCTTGGCTTGTTGAGGGTAGAGCTGTAAACCAGGGAAATAGGCCCTGTTCTTACGGGGAGGGTAGGCATCAAGCTGAAAGTAGCCCCCCAAGTCCTCCAGTTGCCTGTGAAGGAATAAAGTCTACAAAGGAAAGGAGTCATTTCTGTGTCCCCCACAAACCCAGAGCATGCAGTAGTTGTGCCTGGAACGGCTGCATGGAAACGTGGAAAGAGTGGCTAATCAGAGCCAAGAGAAATGGCACCAGGGCCAAGGACAGGGTCACCATCACCCTGTCCTTGGGCGATGGGACACCCCATGGGAGAAGGGGGTGATTTTAGAAACCAGCACAACTGTCCACTATGGCTGGGGCTTATCCTCGGGTTGGCAGCACGCGAGTGCCTATTCACGCATGGGCCTCCAACACCATTCCAAGGGAGGCATGGGAGCAAGGCTGGCCTTATCTCACCCTGGGTGCCCCACATCCAGCACAGTCCCCAGGAACCAGCTCCCACTGAACACGTGTGGGATAAAGAAGTGGCAGGAACTAAACCGAGGGCTGGTACTGACTGAGGGAAGGCAGACAGGGCAGGGGCCAGACAGGCTCGGCACCCATCCTTTGCTGCCTCAGTCAGGCACCTGCTGAGCCATGGGGGGTAAATGCTCTGCACCTCACTTTTCTCATTAATGAGGGTAATAGAATTTTTGTCCCAGATTTGCTGTAGGATCAAGGAAAGGACATCAGTTGTCTGGCCCCATGTTATAAGATCAAGTCCCCTTCTCCATCCAGGTCTTTCTGGCACACACAAGTACTGGGGGACGAAGGGGAGGAGGGGCCATCACCTCTGGCCGGGACCTGTTTCATATCTAGGAAAGGTCCAGTGATGGAGACAGGAAGGGCAGTCTGGTGGAAGGCCCAGCCTGAGCAAAGGCTGAGAGGCAGGAAAGTACAGGTATTCCTGGGACGCAGAGGCAGCACAGCTGCCTGGGAGATCTGCTTGTGCTGGTGGAGCTGGGGCCTTAGCTCAGCTCTGCTGACTCTCGGGAGATCCTTCCAGAACACTGACCATCCACCCACCCTTCCCACGCTTGCTCAGGTTGGTTTAGCCGAGCCGAGTGTAATGTAATCGGTTGCAGAGGACAAAGGGAGAGTTGGGGCCAAGAAGAGCTCTCATCCTTCCTGTGATTGCTGAAGTCTGGCACACGTTCAAACTGCGGAATGACTCAATCGAAAAGTGAAAGTGGCAGAGTGAGGAGGTCAGTGGCAATGGTTTCACAGAGACTCCTGGACCAGGAACCAGGCTGCCTGCTTCCAGCCCCTCCATTCATTCTGTCTGTCCACCTGCAGACCTTTTGTCACGCCCCATGCTCCATCGCCACTGCTCTTAGTCAGGCATGGGATCTGGGAGCTGAGACCCTCCTAGGGCCTGAAGACATGTTCTTTCCTGATAGGAGAAGGCTGTCAGGGGAAAGGGGAGCTGAGACCCTCCTAGGGCCTGAAGACATGTTCTTTCCTGATAGGAGAAGGCTGTCAGGGGAAAGGGGAGCTGAGACCCTCCTAGGGCCTGAAGACATGTTCTTTCCTAATAGGAGAAGGCTGTCAGCGGGGCTGGGAGCTGAGAACCTCCTAGGGGCTGAAGACCTGTCTTTTCCTGATAGAAGGAAGCTGTCAGGGGAGCTGAGAGAACCTCGGCAGGTGGGGTGAGGTGGGGTCTTGGCTTGTAGGAAGGGCAAATTCTCAGGTGACATGTCCCCTGAGCTGGAGGTCATTGTGGATCAGACCCCGGCCCAATTGCCCAGGGCCAAGCCCTGCCTGGGTGTCAGCATCATTAGCCACGTGTTTCTGGATACCAGGAGGAATGTTCCAGAGACCCCAGAAAAGGCCTCTTCTTGCTCAGACTGGCTCTTTATTGCCTTTAATCTGGCAAACCTCAGGACAAACCTTCCCCCAAGGCCTTGTGGGATGGAAATGGGGAAGACAAAACCCTGGGTTTACAGCCCTGGCCTCCTGGGATGGACTAGATTTGGGAGGCCCAGGGAGAGAAGACGTGGTGGTGAGAGCAGAGGGCGGCATCCAGGGCGCATGCAGGGCAGGTCTGCAGTCAGGCGTGGGGTGAGGATGCAGCTTGAGCAGCAGTGGGGACAGAAGTGGGGAATCTGAGGCCAGGTTGGGTCTGATCCGAGGGCAGTGGGAAGCCACCTGAAGTTCTTGAGTGAGGAAGTTGAGATCCAGAAACAACCTTAGTCCCTTGGGCCCATCAGAGTTCTTCACTTACAAGTAACGGAAGCTGACCCTGGCCGACTGGAGCCAACGAAGAAGGTACTGAGAGCACTTGGAGCCCTTGCAGGGGCGAGGGAGATGCTGCGGGACCAGGGTCTGAAGACAGCAGAGTGAGAGCAGGGCCCCAGGGAGGCAGGAGGGCTGGAGTGTGACTTCTGCGTTCTGTGTTCTCTGCCTCCAGATTGTGCTCCAGGGAGGGAGCACGGGGGACCAGGGGGAGTTTTGTGTGCCCCTCCCAGCCAGGCCAGTGGAGGCTCACTGATATCTCATCAAGACTGTGGGTGATGATAAGGGATGAGTTCCCAAGGAGATGTCTGTGGTCCCAGCAAATATGGTTGGATGTGGGGCAGGCAGAAGGGGGAGTGCTCACGCCAGTCCTCATCCTCACCCCAGAGAGGCAAGTGGCTTGCTCAAGGACACAGGTGAGTCAGTGGCCAAACCGTGCCAAGTGGCCAGCTCACTGGTGACTCAGGCCTCTGTCTTCCTCTGCCAGTGGGTCATGGGATGAGTTGAAGACAACGTTTGATGAAAACAAAACTTCTGGGGATGTATAAGATGGGTACTGAGAGCAGGTGGGACCAGACAGAAGGAAGAATGGCTCCAGGACATGGCCATGGGCTCCGCAGTGGTGTAGATGGGTTCCAACCCCAGCACGGCCACTTGCTGGCGGTGTGGGACTTCACACACATTGCAGAACCTCTTTGATCCTCTCTCTAACTTCCCTGAGGGGCATGGTAACTGTACAGGGCCATCGTGAGCATCAGAAAGGATGACGTATGACGTGCCTGGCATGCAGTCCGGCCTGATAGGTGTGAGTTCCTTCTGGGTCCCTGCCACCAGGGGAGCTGGAAGGAGCCCCAGAGTGAAGTCATGAGCACTGAATTCAATTCCTGGCGGCTTTGCTGAAATTCGGCTCCAACCTGTCCTGGCTCCCAGACCACCAGCAGCTGTGCCACACAGTGTCTACGGCCTGAGACACACTCATCTGCCATCCCCAGCATCACGTCAGCACCACGGTGTCCTTGCTATACTGAGGGGTCCCCCATCTGTCCCTCCTACTCAATGGGAGCCCCTTGAGGTCAGAGATCACCTGTGGTCACTTTTTGCCACCAGCACCCAGGAAGGGACCCAGCATCACCAGTGACGGGTGGATGATGGATGAAGATGAAGCAGTGAATGTTCCACTGCAGAAGAGCCCTGGCAAGCTCCAGTGCCAAGCTCCTCTGTGCACACAGAGGGTAGTGACTGAGCTGCCTTAAGCCTGACATGGGATGCCCTAGTGCCCGGGGGTTTCTAGCTGCCCCTAGTCCTGTTTGCACCAAAGGAGTATGTGTAGGATTGCACAGGAGCCATCACCTGCTTGGCACCTCGGTCTTTCTTTCACCAGAGGAGAAGGAAGTGAGGAGAAGGCTTTGGGGTCCCATGAGGCTGGGTTCTTGGGGCATCACCTGCTCTCGAGTGTTCTGCAGAGCAGACTCACTAGCCCAGTGCACATCACTCTGCCACTCTCAAGAGTGTCCGGGGCATACCGCATCCACCTAGAGATGCTGGGGATTTCCCAGTGAGATTTGCTGCCACATGGAAAATTCTCTCTGCTCTTACAAGAACAGGCTCATTGATAATGTTTGATTGAGGGGGCTTTTCCTACATTCAAAATAATGCTCATTTACTGTCAGATATTTGGAAACTACAGAAAAACACTGTGAGGAGAGTATGAATTGCCTTTCAAAGAGAAAGTAACTTCCTGCCCTGTCTCTGGGTATGCAGAGGCATAGAGACACCCACACTCCCATGAGCTCAGCTCGTGCACACACAGGACCAGGAAGCCGGGGCGGCCTGGGTGGCTGTCTCGCTTCTTGCTTCCCTTTAACTCAATGTTGGATCCTGAACATGCCGTCGCACTCCTCGCCTGCGATGAAGGCCTCTGCCTCTGTGGTTTTATTTGGTTTCAGAGTCAGCACATCCATCTCTCTGCTCCCAAACAAGAAAAAACAACACAGTAACAGCCGGTTACAGAATGCCAGGAGTTCTCAGAGTCCTGCGCCTTCTTGCACAATCCTCTCAGCAGCCCTGGGAAAGATGGTGGCTATTATCCCCGTCTTACAGAGGAGGAAACTGAGGCACAGAGAGGTTCCGGTGGGGCAGGGGCGGGGCCTGGGGCTGTGGGCACCATGTGTGTCACCTCCCCCGTGTGATCCATCTGTCCCTTTCTAAGGTACAGAAGCCCAGAATTTCAGACTTGATAGCATCTGGACCACGTTTCTAGGCTGCCGAACAAAACACCACCAGAGTGGCTTCAAACAGCAGATGTGTGTTCTGGGGGCCGGAAGTCTGGGATCCAGCTGCCAGCTGGGTTGGTTCATTGTAGAGGCCTTCAGGAAAATCCATTTCACGCCTCTCCCAGCCTCTGGCGGCCCCAGGCATTCCCCGGCTTGTGGCCGCATCCCTGTACTCCGCCTGTGGGTTCCCAGGGCCTCCCCACTGCGGGCCTGCTTCTCTTCTCCAAGCATCTTCCCCAGTTGGGCCCTGGACTCAGTGGCACTGGCCACTGGATTTAGGGCTCACTTGGACAATTCAGCAGGATCTCATCTCAAGATCCTTAAATTAATTGTGCTAAGAGCTTTTTCCAAAGATGGTGACATTTGGGCCCCCATTCACTCAAAGTCCCCTGGCTGAAGCCACCCCTTACAGCAGGGAAGCTGAGGCACGGGGTGGGGAGGGCCTGCCCAGGTGCCCGGCCCCGACTCCTTGCTCGGGGTCTTCAGCTTGAGTCGCCTGCCATCCTAGGCTGCCAGAGACTCCAGCACCCCACTCCAGAGACTGCGTCACGCTGTGGCCCTCAGCTCAAGGATCACCCATTCGAAAGCCCACTTTTGAGCACCCACTGCAGTGACTTGGGGTACAAATCACCCCTCATCCAGTAACCCTGCCCATCTGAGAGCTGTCTTCCCAATATGCCGGTTCACATGGACTCAGGTCCCTGCCTCTATTTTGTGAGGTTGGAGCACAAAAATGATACAGGGCTCTTATTTTTTATTTTTGAGAAGAGGTCTCACTCTGTGACTCAGGCTGGAGTGCCGTGGTGTGATCACAGCTCACTGCAACCTCAAATCCCAGGCTCAAGTGATCCTCCCACCTCAGGCTCCCAAGTAGCTGGGACCACAGGTACACACCACACCAGGCTAAGTTTTGTATTTTTTGTGGAGATGGGGTTTTGCCATGTTGCCCAGGCCTGGTCTTGAACTACTGGGCTCAAGTGATCCTCCTGACTTGACCTCCCAAAGTGTTGAGATTATAGGCATGAGCCACTGTGCCTGGCCAGAGCTCACTTTTATGGGGTCATAGAAAAGGGGGAGTGTTGGGAATGAAAAGGGAAGCATGACAGATGGCCTCATCCATTCATTCTTACACTCAGAAATCTCACTGGACATCCGGGTGTGGTGGCGCAGTGAGATGAGATCGCACCACTGCACTCCAGCCTGGGTGACAGTGAGACTCTATCAAAAAAAAAATTAATTTTCACTGGCAGCCCGCTCTGTGCCCACTGGGGATGCAGTGGAAGATAAGATGGGCCATGCCTGCTCTCTCGTGTTTGGGGTGACAGAGTAACCAGCTGAACATGCTTTACGATGATTTCAATAGTGGCCACAACATGATGAAATCAAGGTGATCCAATGGATGAGGGTGGCCGGGAGAGGTGCGGGTGCTCAAAAGTGGGCTTTCGAATGGGTGATCCTTGAGCTGAGGGCCACAGCGTGACGCAGTGTGGCCACATGGGGAATCAAAGGGAGGCAGTGCGTGCTAGCAAGAGGCACAGCGGGTGACAAGGCCCTGCAGCAGAAAGGAGAAACAGCCAGGCAGTGTGACCAGAGCCTCATGGAAGACGGAGAGGCAGCAGAGCTGGGCTGAAAGGTTCTAGGAGGAGGCTTTTCCAGGATATCAGCCTGACTGCGGTATCTGTTAGGTTGACATTCTGGCTCTCTGCCCTGGCCTTGAGGTGCTGGCCTTGAGGTCCTGGGAGAAGGATGGACACCCCCAGATAAGTGTGGGGGTCCCAGAGCTGCAGGGACGGTGGCTCGACTTCATGAGGGAATTGCAAATCTGCACAGAGCAGCTCCGGGCCCTTCCGCTCCTGGGTGCAAGTGCGTGTGCATGCGCACACATGTGTGTCTGTGTTTGGAGATTCCCAGCTGACCAGGTGATTGTGCACAAGGCCCTGTGTTCTGAATGGAGAGGGGCAAAGCAGCCTGGAATGGTCTGGAGCAGTGGGATGGCACTCCCTGCAGAGGGAATAGTTTGCATCCTGCACACCTGGGCCCTGAGTGGTGACCAAGCAAAGCACTTTCATTACCAGCATCTGGAACACAGAGCCTGCCAAGTGCAGCGATCATAAGTGCAGTGGCACGCAGCTGAGGACTGGCGTTTAGAGCAGTGTCTGTATAGCTGAGCTTCTCAGAGCACCAGGAGGTCTCACGCACGCACTTCCTTGGGCTCTGAGGTCATGAGTTCCTTCATGCATTTAGCACTGAGTCAGGCTGGTGGTGTGCAAGGCTGTGGGGACAAAGGGACAAAACATGGACCCTGCCTGCATGGGTTGGCAGCCCTGGACAGGGAGTGGCCAGTGTGGTGAGTCCCAGCCCAGAAGTGTGAGGCTGTGATGGACACTACACTGGGGTTCTTCCCCCAGGCCCCTGGAGCTGGTACAGGCAGGGCACACAGGCCATGAACCGCAGGATGCGTGGGGAGGTGCCTCCGCATCCAAACCACCCACTTCCCCGCCCCTGCCCTGCCAAGGCACCAGGAGAGCCACTTTCCTCCCCTCCTGGACTGTGGGTCCCTTGGGGAAGTGTCACTGATTAAAGCATGAGGCGATGGGCTTCTGCGACCTCATGGCTGTCCCCACTGCCCTGACCCCAGCCTGCGAAGCAGCCCAGGGCAGAAGCATCGGCATTCCTGTCTAGCACCCGGCTCCTGTTAACCTGGATGTCCACCTGTCATTCCGGTTCTTCCCCTCGATGACCCTGTTCACACCCTAGGGTGCAGGCCCTTTCTCTGGAAGGCCTTGGGTTTCTTATGCACCTTGCACCTCCTTTGCGAGCCCCCAGCTTGGCAAGGGATAGTATTGGGGTCTACCTTGGGGGACTGATAGGGTTAGGCTTTGTGTCCCCACCCAAATCTCATCTTGAATTATAATCCCCATAATTCCTATAATCCCCAAAATTCCTATAATCCCCACATGTCAAGGGACAGACCAGGTGGAGGTGGTTGGATCATGGGGGCGGTTTCCCCCATGCTGGTCTCGTGATATTGAGTGAGTTCTCGTGATATTGAGTGAGTTCTCGTGATATTGAGTGAGTTCTCGTGAGATCTGATGTTTTTATATGGGGCTCTTCCCCCTTTGCTCAGCACTTCCTCCTGCCGCCTTGTGAGGAAGTTGTCTTTATTCCCCTTCGCCTTCCACCATGACTGTAAGTTTCCTGAGGCCTCCCCACCAATGCTAAATTGTGAGTCAATTAAGCCTCTTTCTTTATAAATTACGCAGTCTCCGGCAGTTCTTTATAGCAGTGTGAGAACGGACTAATACAGGGACCTAAAAGGTTCTATTGCACCCCTCCCACAGGGCAGGAGGTAAACAGCACCCACCTCTCCATTACCCAGGAAGCCTGCTCAGGTGACTTGAGAGGGCAAAGCTTCAAGGTGACTTTCCATCCCTTTCTGCACAGAAGCAGCTGCTGCTTCCATGGTTTAAAATAAACAGTCTCAGCCTTAACACATCTCAGGCTCCGTTCCTGACCTGGGAAAGCAGGTGTGGCCCCTGTCCTCCTGGAGTCTGGCAGTAAGAGGAGAGCTAAACCCACCATTGTGAATTGTGCTGCCAACAGCCCACATCACACAGGCCATGTGCTGGAGTGGGGGAAAGAGGATGTCTCTGGAGAGCCTGTGTTGGGGCTCCAACAGACCTGGAGGGTCAGGAAGTGAGGTGTCACCTGAGGCCTGGAAGGAGACCCAGCATAGCTAGGCAGGGAGCAGTTAGTAGGCTCATGATGGGAACAGCAAGTGCAAAGGTCCTGTGGTTGGGGGGGGCTGTGGCAGGAATGGGAGTGGGGGCAGAGAGGGGAACAGGGCCTGGTCAGATGGAGCCTCATAAGCCCCGCGGTGGGGTTTGGATCTTATAAAAGCCACAGAGAATCCTTGATGGGATTTAAGAATAGAAGGAGTGAGGCCGGGTGCATATCTAGAGAAATTCTTGGGAGGCGTGGGGGACGGAACCTGAGGCATTTAACACAAGAAGGGCCTGGTGCTGCTTGGGGGCACTGAGGAGGGAGCGTTCAGGGCGATTCTCCGGGTTGGACTCTGGGTGCCTAGGTGGGTGGAGGTGCGCAGTCATGGTGGGGGACGGGGGACTCTTCGCTCCCAGATCCTGGTCAGCACCGCCTTGGTCAGGCAGCCTGGCGATGACGCTGCTCTGCGTGACTGTCCCCAGTGTTATTTTCCCCAGGGCAGTTGGCTTGCACTTCCTGCCCCACTTACATGGGAGTGGAGCTGAGCGTGTCCCCGGCAGTGGGGGCACCAGGGTCTGCAGGACGCGGGGCTGGAATTGGTCCTGGCAGCCCCAGGTCGGTGGCAAAGAGCAATAACTGCTTCCCAAAGGGCTGCTGGAGATTCCTCGAACGCCTAGAGAGCAAACCGCGGCCCCACGGCTTCCTGTGATGGCTGCTCCCTTAGGACTTTTCCCAGCTGCTTGCGGGATTGGCCACATCCGGACTCCACCAGGGCCTTGACCGCGCCCGCATCTGCTGTGTCTCCCAGGACTACAGCAACGGCCTCGCTGAGGTCCTCTGAGCCTCCCCTGCTTTGTTAAAGCCCCCTGAAGCTTTGCATCTCTGGAGGAAGAACTAAAACTCCGTGACCTCGCTTCCTGGGGCGCCCCCTCCCCGGCCTGCCCACCATGGCCACTTGCTATTCCTCGCCCTAACCAGGCACATGGCCATCCCAGGGTGTCCCCAACGGGGGTCCTTCTCCTCCCCGGACAGCCCCGTGCTGTCTCTCGATTCCTCTGTTCTCTGTTCGACATCACCTTCTCGGCAAAGCCATCCCAGACCTCCCTTTTAGAACAGCCCCCTACTCACTCTACCTGCTTCCTTGAGGACCGCAGCTTCCCCACCCTCCCCACTGAAACTCCGCCTTGTCCCCCAGGTGGCCAGGACTTGCTGGGCATTCCTGGCAGGAGACACAGCCACCCCTCATGAAATGCATTCCGTCCTCCCCTTGTGTTCCCCACCTTCCTTTTGGCCTGCCCAACATGCCTTTCCTTCCAGGAATATTTATTTTTCCAGCCTAATCTTCCCTTCCAGGGGTGGGGTAAGAGCAGGACTCTGCGGCTAATGGGATAACACACCTGTGTGGACTCCTCCCACCTCCGTGTGCTGAAGCTGAGTCCTCGTTTAGCCAAAAAGTGATGGGGGCAGGGGTCTCAATCAGTAGAGGCTCACAAGCCAAAGTGTGAGGACACGCCTAAGGAAAACACACGTCCCAGGAGCATCTGTGACCTGCGCGTTCCAAAGAAGGTTTTGGGAACTCAGTATTTAAGGGGAAGGGAGTACTTAAGGAGAGGGAAGGCGGGAGGGGTAGGCAGTGAGGCAGATGCTGACATTCTTGTGAGACTTTGAGTAAATGTACATTTTATGTAAGATAAGGTGAACAAGTGAAGGGAAGGGGGAGAGGGGACAGCTGTGCATCCGGCTCGGGACAGGTGGAGAGGTGACTTCTGATCTTGTCCTTCTGTACCTGGAAAGATACGCTTGCAGTCCATAGGCTGAACGGTGGCCTCCTAAAGATACATCCACATCCCAGAACCTGTGGCCGCGACCTCATTTGGAAAAGGATCTTTGCAGATGTGATGAGACTGATTTGGGGCTCCAAAATTACTAAGTTGAAGGGAAAAGTCAAGCTGGGAACTGCTTAGGGCCAACCTGCCTCCCACTCTACTCAAAGTCACCCCTCTGCTCACTGAGATAAATGCAGATCTGAGTCCTCCTTTGGAGAGGCTGATCAGAAACTCAAAAGACTGCAGCCATTTGTCTCTTATCCACGTACAACCTGGAAGGCTCCTTCCCATTTGGAGTCTTCCCGCCTTTCCAGACTGAACCAATATTCATCTTGCAGATGTCGATCAATGTCTTGTGTCTCCCTAAAATCTATAAAACCAAACTGTGCTCTGATCACCTTAGACACATATCATCAGGACCTCCTGAGGCTGTGTTACGGGCACACATCCTCAACCTTGGCATAATAAACCTTCTGAAGTAACTGAGACCTGTCTCAGATTTTCAGGATGATCTGGTGAACGCTAAATCCTATGGCAAGTGTTCTCATGAGAGACAGAAAAGAAGGCACCAACACAGAGGGAGGAGGAGGCCACACACGGAGTCGGAGGCAGGGAGTGGAGCCGTGTGGCCACAGCCAAGAGACGTCTGGGACTACCAGGAGCAGGGAGAGGCGGGAAGGAGCCTGCCCGCAGAGGCTTCACGGGAGCCAGCCCTGCCATACCTTGGTTTCTGACTCCTGGCTTACTGAGCTGTGAGAGGATGGTGGTTTTAATCATCTCTCACACCCCCTCTTGGGGTAAGTTGTTTGGGAACTCAGGGTGTGGAAGAGGAGGCCAGGCGAAGACCCTGGAAAGGGCACAGAGAGGGGGCCTCTGAGCTTCCATGAGGACATGGAGGCTGGGACTCCATACACGGGTCCTGCGACCTCAGGTTCACCGCATCTCTTTCCTTACCTGTAAAATGGGTGAATGGCGCCCTCTTTGGCCATTTTGAGGATTTGGTAGCCTGTTGCAAACCAAAATAAAATTCCAAGATCCCCCAACCATCTGAATGGACTTCCTCCTCGGCCAGGCTGCTCTAAAGTTTAACCTGAAAGACTGGTTCAGGCCATGAGAGGAAGTGGGGGTCAAACGTGCCTCGTTGTACCCTCCCTGAACGGCTCCTAAGATCTGCACTTGAGATATTTCGTAGACCCTGAACTTGATGGATCAACTGGCGCCACCCAGTTCAATAAACTAGCTCATCTGATCTTGTGGCCCCCACCCAGGAACTGACTCAGCACTACAAGACAGCCTCCACTCCCAATGACTTCACCCCTGACCAGTCAGCACTCCTGGCTCACTGGCTTCCCCCGACTCACCGAGTTATCCTTAAAAACTCTGCACCCTGAATGCTCAGGGAGACTGATCTGAGTAATAAAACTCTGGTCTCCCGCACAGCTGGCCCTGCATGAAATACTCTTTCTCTTTTCATTCCCCTGTCTTGATGAATCAGGTCTGTCTAGGCAGCAGGCAAGGTGAACCCCTTGGGCGGTTACACTGAAAGCCTCTATTTCCTCACCTGTGAAATGGGCTTGTGCCTTTTCTTGGGCTGAGATGGCCAATGAGGTGGCGTTGAGGCTAGTGTCTGGCCCAGGGCCTAGCAGAGCCTGCAGGCTCTCAGAGCAGGGGAGTCTCATTCCCATGAGATCAGGAGGAGGACAAGGAAAAGCAGGGACTCCCTCTGGGGGCAGCGGGACCTGCCCTGTGAGCTTCCTTGTCCTCTAGCTGCATGGCCCCTGGAGGTGTCTAGGACATGCCATGGTTTAGACAGGCTCCCTAGAGGCAACTGCATGACTGGTGCCACACACACGTTAGGCCCCACACATGGAGATGGGGGGCAGAGGGCGCATCTGGACACACACCCTGGGGCTGTCTGGGGTGGGCCCAACAAGGCTTGGTGTTTGTCTTCTGTCTCCCACAGGCAGTGGTTGCCGGGGTCGGCCGCTGCCTTAGGGCAGATTGTTACACGCTCAGGAATGTCTTGCGCAGGCTGATGCTATGCATCAACTCACTGGGGCTTGGGGGTGCCCAGGTAGCTGCCGCTGCAACATTATTTCTGGGTGCCTGAGAGGTGTTTCTGGAAGGGACTAGCATTAGAATGAGGAAACTGAGGAAAGAAGATGGCCCTCCCCAGTGTGGGCGGCATCATCCCATCTACTATGGGTGCAGAGGGAACAAGGCAGCGGAGGAGGGAGGCAGTGGTTCTCTGCCTCCCGGAGCTGAGACGTGCACACCTCCTGCCCGCGGTCCTTGGCACCTGGTGCTCCCAGTTCTCAGGCTGTGGGACTTGATTGAGTCATACAACCTGCTTTCCTGGGTCTCCAGGTTGCAGACGGCAGATTGTGGGGCTTCTTGGTCTCTGTAACTGCAGGAACCAATTCCCATACAAAAATCTGTCTCCTCTCTCCTCTCTCCTCTCTCCGCTCTCCTCTCCTCTCTCCTCTCTCCTCTCTCCTCTCTCCTCTCTCGTATTGGTTCTGTTTCTCTGGAGACCCCTGACTCAGACCTCTGGGGAGGCAATTGTGTCATGGTTGGAAGCTTGGAGTCGACCAAGATGAGAGTGTTTACACCATGAAAATTGGCAGGAGTTACAGAGCAGGGCCATCCACAATTCCTGTCCTTACCAGCCCCCCCACTGCACAGGGAGGAGATGCAGGTGACTCACCTGTGCCCAGCACCTTCTTTTCCTCCCAAGAGAAACTGCTTCCCCTCTCAGAAGCCCGCATTACATCTGCTCTTTTCTGACGCGGTGCCATCTGGCGGATGCGTCTTGCGCACTGCTGACTGGCGGGCCCAGGGAGTGGTCGCATCTCCCGTGTCTCTGGTGTGTTGGGGGGGCTTGGTAGCTTCTGCTAATACATGAGCAGCTTGTACCTCCTTTTTCCCATCACAGTGCCGTAGAGTGGCTGCCTGAACCCCACAGCTGGCAGGCATCAGGGCTGGACAGGAGAAGGCAGAACCCATGACCTACTGGCTCTCTGTCCTGCCCCCAGAGCCCAAACACAGTGTTTGCTGAGTGAGAAAACACGCAGGGCTGAATGAAAGCACCTTGCAGGCCCTTCCTGCCTAAGCTTCTTTGCTTCTGGGCCTGCTGCCTTCCAGGAAGTGTCCCCAGACACTCTTTCCTGGAACCTGGAGGACACGGCCTCTCACTGAAGAGCTCCTGGTTCCGGAATCGGCACCACCCAGAAGGTGGCAGGATTCTGGGCCCGTCGGTGGCAGCAGTCTTGCTCTGTGATGGTTCGCCTTGTGAGGCTGAAAGCCGGCGGCCACCTCTGCATGTGGGGGTGGGAGGCCGGGGTCAGGGAGGTGCATGGAGTTTTCAGATCACAGCCTAGCCCTTATCAGTGGCTGCCCCAGAACCTGACAGTGGGCTTAGCTCCCGTGAGCAGTGAGCCAGGGGGTCTGCAGCCTCCCTGCTGTGGCCTCCTCCTTGGCCTCCCTTGTCCCTGCCCCACCTGCTGCCAACACTTTGCTGTGACAACGATAAAGGCTGCCAAGTTGGGACACACTGCAGGGAGGCTGAGGCCAGGAGTGTAGGCCCAGGGTCTAGGAGTGGGCTCTATCTGCCCTGTTCCTGGGGCTGAGCCTGGCTGGACACCCCCTCCCACCCTACTGCACGCTTCTCTCTTTGCCAGCTGCCCTCACTGGGGACCCTGGTTGGTGGTTTCAGCCTTTTGGCCTGAGCTTTCTAGGAGTTAGCATGAGTTTGGCCCCATTTCCTGCTCTGTCTCCTGCATTCCCTTTCACCTTCTGCCTTCCACCATGGGATGACCCTTCACTAGATGCCAGCGCCATGCCCTTAGACTTCTCAGCCTCTGGAACCAAATAAACTTCTGCTCTTTATAAGTCATTCAGGCTGCAGTATTCTGCTATAGCTGCAGAAAATGGACGAAGACAGCATACCTGTTTGAAGAAATTAACTTCCCCATTATTGCCCGATTTATTTGGAGGAATGACATGTTCCCAAGTCTAATGCCACCTTCCCTGCTGACTAGCATAGGAAAAACATTTCTTTTTCTATTCCTATTTTTCATGGCAAGGGGAAGAACCCTGACATTCTGTGAAGGCACGTTCTAGAGATTTCTACAGTAGGGAAATTGCATGCCTTAAGTTTTGCCCGTAAATTGGGTTAACCTCCGTTCAAGGTACAGCCTCTCATTCCTAATAAGCAAGTGAGTCCATGAGAACTGTGGGCTGTGGGCCTGGGTCTTCCATTTTCATAGAGTGAGTTGTATTTTGAGCTGGACTGGCAGAGACTGGGAGCTGCTCCCTCGTTGCCTGGCCCCCCTTCTTTCTTTCTGACAGAATCCTGATTTTATGCTGCCCCACTGTCAGCCTGGAAAGCAGAAACCCATCCAAGAATTTCAAGCAGGTGGGATTTAGTCCAGTGCAGTGGTCAGAGCATTTGGAAAGGCTGCAGGAGCGAGAGGAAATGCAAGGAATGCTCCAACATCAGAGGCTGCTGCGGCAGCAGGGCTGACCCCGAGTCTGGGTCTGCTGGTGGAGACGCTGTCAGGCCCAGTTCGGGGGCCACTGAAAAGCTGCTACCTTGGCCAGCTGCAGCCACTATCAAGGACATCGCTGCTGCCATTGCAGGTGTCTAGAGACATCGTGAAGAACTGGAAAGAGCAGGAGAGTTCCCCTGTCTCCTTCCCCGTCCTACTGCAGGACCCTAACCGGAGGCCAGCTGGCCTGGGAGGCTGAGGGGTGCACAGGTTCTGATCATTCATGGCAGGAATGAGGCAGAGAGCAAAGCAGCAAGTGACCAGCCCAGTGGTGATGTGCTCACTTAAGAGACTGTATCCTCATCTTCCCTGGTCACCCAGGATGGTCAAAGAGATGTAATGGGAGTCACTGAATGTGGCTACTGGGAAATCTTCAAAGGAGTACAGGCTATTTGTTTTTGTTAGTTGGTTTGTTTGTTTGAGACTGAGTCTCACTCTGTTGCCCAGGCTGGAGTGCAGTGGCATGATCTCAGCTCACTGCAACCTCCACCTGCTGGGTTCAAGCGATTCTCGTGCCTCCGCCTCCCAAGTATCTGGGATTACAGGCATGCACCACCATGCCTAGCTAATTTTTGTATTTCTAGTAGAGATGGGGTTTGGCTGTGTTGGCCAGGCTGGTCTCGAACTCCTGGTCTCGGTTGGTCTGCCTGCCTCGGCCTCCCAAAGTGCTGGGATTACAGGCCACTGGGATTATAAGCCACTGTGCCCGGCCATTGACAGGTTATTTGTATATATCCTTTCCCTCTGCCTCCCCTTTCTTTCTGCTTTCTGCCTGGGACTTGGAATGTGATGGCTGGAGCTCCAGCAGCCATATTGTGGCAGGAGGTGACTTTGAAGATGTAAGTTACTCTTCAAGGATAGTGGAACAGAAGGATGGAGCCTGAGTCTCTGATGACCACGGAGCTGCCTACTGGTCCTGGCTTTCTTCCCTCTGGACTCCCATATGCAAGAGACAAAACCTCTTTCTTATTTGGGTTTTCTCTTCATAGGCAGCAGAGCCAAATCCTGATTGGTGTGTTGATTTTAGCTGTCACCTTACAGGACTGACATGCAAGTACCCCCTGCATAAGATGGGCATAAGAAATGTCTATCAGTCTGTTTGTTGGAAGGACTGCACCATGGGTGGCCAACCATGGCCTAGGACCTGACTTAAGAATGCCAGTTGCCCTAGGAAGGGAGTGGGAGTGTGCAGCCTGGGAAGCTGTCTATCCCCTGATTGGGAATGAAGAATGAGACTTTTGGTGTGGCTTCTGGGCTCACATTAATTACTGTGAATTAATGTTGGGGTTTCCAAGGAAGCAGCTCAGGCCTGGGATGGGGCATGGTGGTGTTAAGACAGTCCCTGGTCCCCAGAGTTCAGTGCGGTGGCCCACATGAGTGGGTGATTGCAATGCAGTAGGAGAAGGGACAGTGAAGGCTGTGGGTTTACTCCTGCTTGCACCCCCAGCTGGCTGGACTGCAGGGCCCCTTTCCTGGGAGTGTGGCTCTAATCGGCTGCATTTCTTTCCAAATGCTTCCCGGCCTCCTCCGGCATCTTTGCTGCTTTATCTCAGCTGCCCATGACTTAAGTCCCTCTCATGCCTGCAACTTTCCTGGAGTTCTCTCCCTGCCAAGGGCATCCCCATCCTCCCGACTGTCCAACTCAAACCCTCAGAAGCATCTGTGGCTTCTGTTGCTCTGTCCTCTTGCTTCTCAGTCCAGCTGCAGGTCCTGTCCCTGTTCTTGGACATCAGCCTTTGCTTAGACACCTCCAGGAATGGGGAACTCACTTACTGGTAAAGCAATTCATTCCTTCATTCTAACAGCCTTAAATTTCTTCCTCTTAACCTCAGGTCTTTGCACATGCCATTCCCTCAGCTGGAGTGCTCTCCCAACTCCACCCCAGCCTCCGCTCTCCACTGCCTCTGACTCTCCACCAGGCCTCACCTCTAGGGAACCATTGCAGACCCTTCCTCAGTCTGGGGCACATGCTCCCCCTGGGTCCTGACAGCCTCAGGCCTGTTGGCAGTAAGGTCTCTCTGGGCATGGTGCCTTTAAATGACCCAAGGAGGGGTCTTCTCACCCTCCTGCCTGGTGCCAGGTATGCAGGGACCCCAGGTGATAATTAGAATTTTGGCAGGTGCTTCTAGGCTGCTGGTTGAGGAGCTTGCCTGGCTTCCGTTGCCTCATACATGCCAGCATCGCTGCTGTGGGTAACCCGAGGCTGGGGACTGCGCTGCATCTGCTTCTATGCCCCCAGGCCCAGCAGGTGCGAGCCCAGAGCTGATGCTCAGCACACGTCTGTTGAGTGAATGCAAGGATGACCCCAGTCCTTGTCCTAATTCACCTGTAGCCTCCATAATTCTCTTCCAGCACGGGCTCTGCTTCCCACATGTAAAAGGGGCATGTGCCATCTCCCAGGGTGGTTGTGAGTCCTAAATGAGAAAATAAACAGCCCGTGGGGCCTCAGTTTCCCCACCTGTAAAACAAGCGATGGCATCTGCCATCTCCAAGTGCACATGAGCTATAGCATCAAGAATTGCAGGGCTGGGCCTGGCCTAGATTCTGGAGCTGCAGGGCCAGGGGTGAGCCCCAAAGGCCAGAGCCCCAGGCTAGGCTGCCCATGTAACCAGAGCTGCCACCTGAGCGTTGGTGCCCAGCACAGACCAGCTGCATCAGCCGCCCCACCCGGGAGGTCTCCAGCTCTTGAGAGGTGGGAAGAGAGCTCTGGGGACCTTGCCAGGCAGCCAGCGTAGTCTTGGGGCTGCAGGTGGCTAGAAGGGAGGGTGCAGGATAGCGTCTTCATCAGCGGATCCCAGGGGCCAGGTTCCCTGGAACTGCATCCCCTCTGATCCTGGCTCCTGGTGCTGGAGCTCTGGCAGGATGGCTAGGCCAATGGCATTGGCAGCAGCTTTTCCTGTTCCTGATGTGGCTGTGAAGGGGAGGGGCAGCCGGAGAGAAATACTGAGAGTTCTTTTTTTTTTTTTTTAGTTGGAATCTCACTCTATCACCCAGGCTGGAGTGTAGTGGTGCCATCTCAGCTCACTGTAACTTTCACCTCTCGGGTTCAAGCGATTCCCCTGCCTTAGCCTCCTGAGTAGCCGAGATTATAGGTACCCACCACCACACCTGGCTAATTGTTCTATTTTTAGTAGAGATGGGGTTTCCCCATGTTTGTCAGGCTGGTCTCAAACTCCTGACCTCAGGTGATCCACCTGCCTCAGCCTCCCTAAGTACTGGGATTACAGGTGTGAGCCACTGGGCCCGGCTGGCAGTTCTGACTAGTTCTGCAAATAATGACCAGAGGACTAAAAGCCTGGGCAAGTGCTCAAAGTACCATTAGGAGGGCAATGCGCAGGACGCCACCTGGCAGGGAGCGAGGGCTGCAAGAGTGAGCCATGACTGTGGCGGGAGGAATTCCGAGATGGCCCCAAGATCACGCCCCTAGTGTACCGCCCAATATAATCCCCTTGGGGGATGTGGGCCTGCTGTGAATCTGCTGGGATTTGGCAGCTGTGATTAGGTTATCTCCTGGTACTGTGGACCTTAAGAACGGGGGATTATCCTGGGTGGGCCTGGCTAGTCATCGGAGCCTTCAAACCGACGGGGCTCCTCCAGGAGGGAGGGATTTTACAGGAGAGACCGTTCTTGCTGCTCTGAAAATGGGGCTCCACCTGGCAGGGACCTGGGCAGGAATTCTAGCTGCCGAGAACAAGCCCTGCCAACAACCCTGGGAAACCAAATTCCACCAAACCTGAGAGCTTGGAGGAGGCCCCTGCGTTTCAGATAAGATCACAACCCAGCGGACACCATCACTGCAGCCTCGTGAGATGCTGAGCAGAGGACCTAGCTGAGCCCTGCCCGGATTTTGCCCTGCAGAAATGAATATGTGGATGTGGGGTGGGTGAGGTTGATCATTCCTTACACTGCATAGGAAACTAACACCTAAGTAAAAGGGGTACCTGTGACTCCCTCCTCTGGCCTTCCACGTCCTCCGTGGTGCCCCGGCATCCCTTGCTCTCTGGTGCTATCTGCTTTTGTGCGAGGCCTTCCCCTGCTCCTTGTGCGCATCCATAAAGCCCCACGCATCCTGCGAGGCTGTGTTCGACCAGGCTTGGAGGAGCCTTCCCCGACCCCAGCGACCCCCAGGGTGCTGCCGATTCCTGGGCCAGCCTCACTCCAGCACAGGCTCTGCCTCCACGGTGTGTGTTGAATGAATGGATTTTTAACTACAGTTGACCCTTGAACAACATGGATTTGAACAGCGTGGGTCCACTTATACATGGATTTTCACCCACTTCTGCCACCCCTGAGCCGGCAAGATCAGCCCTCTTCCTCTTCCTCCTCAGCCTGCTCATGGTGACGATAATGAGGACGAAGACCTTCATGATGGCCCGATTCCACAGTGAATACATCTCTTCTTCCTTATGATTTTCTTAATGTTTTCGCTAAAGCTAGATGGTCAGATTCTTCCTTCATTGTTAGAATACAGTAAATATTTGTGTTCAGGGACTGTTGATGTTATTGGTAAGGCTTCTGGCCTGCAGTAGGCTCTTAGTTAAGTTTTGGGGGTGTCAGTCGAGCATGGTGGCTCACACCTGTAATCCCAGCACTTTGGGAGGCAAAGGCAGACAGATCACCTAAGGTCAGGAGTTCAAGACCAGCCTGACTAACATGGCAAAACCCCGTCTCTACTAAAAATACAAAAATTAGCTGGGCGTGGTGGTGCACACCAGTACTCCCAGCTACTTGGGAGGCTGAGGGAGGAGAATCACTTGAACCTGGGAGGCTGAGGTTGCAGTGAGCCGAGATTGGGCCACTGCACTCCAACCTGGGCAACAAAGTAAGACTCTGTCTCAAAACAAAAACAAAAACAAACAACAACAACAACAAAAAAAAAACCACAGACACACACAAAGTTTTGGGGGAGTCAAAAGTCATACACAGATTTTTGGCTGCCCAGGAGTTTGGTGCCCCTAACCCCACATTATTCAAGGGCCACCTGTAATTCCTAAGGATTGCTCTGGTGCTTGGAGGCCCTGGGTTCCCCCGGGGCAGGCCTGCACCCAGGACGGAAGCTGCTGGGAGTGGCCACCTGTGACTGCCTCCCTCGTATCCAGTGTCTCTTGGCAAGGGGAGGCTGGCGGGGCCTGCCATGGGCACTCCAGCCCTGTCACCAGCCTGCAGAGGAAACCATTTCAAGCTGTTCTTCAAGACTGAAAATACCTAAGAGGGCTGATGTGTATTTTTCCACGAGTTCTCTGGGGGTAACTATACAGAAAATTGTTTTGAAAATAGCATTTTTATTTTAAAACATGGCATAGGGATGTCATTAGGAAGCAAGGCATTAGGGATATCATAAAGAAGGGATATCAAAGAAGTAAAAAGAAATATACAGAAAATTAGAGGAAAAAGAGATCGATGGAGGCCCGTGACCAGAGAGATGGACGCTGGTCTTTTGATGAACATGATTTCAAGGTCTTCTCTGGGCACATGAAGGTTACCCCCTTCCACACACACACCCCTCCACACCCCAAGCCCTCCCGTGCACACTCAGATGTGGACACATAGTGAGATCATATGATGTGCCATGTATGATCTCCTGTGTTATTTTTTAAATCAACTCCATAAGCCTAGGCAGATTCCTGTGCCCATGAATGTGGAACTGGCTCGCGGATCTCACAGCTCCTGGTGTTTCCTTGGCAGGGAATCCACTCTCCAGGTGTGTGTTATATAAACACCGCCGTCCTCTATGCATCCAAAGCATTGGACTCCTATGCTAGGCTCCTCGGTGTTAAATTCCTGGACAAACAGCTGTCAGACTTTACAGGCACTCAGTAAATGATTGCGGAATGGATTTAAAATTGTGCATAAGGATAAGCCTGTTTTTAGTATCAATGCCCAGACTGCCCCTCCCTGCCAGCAGGGCAAGCGAAAAACCTGTGTCCATTTTCCCCATCACCATCGGGAGGCAATTTTACCAACCTCATGGTGAAGAGCTCTGTCTCTTCTTTCCCTATCTTTAAGGACTAGGACATTGAGACCACTTTTTTTTTTTTTTTTGAGATAGTTTTACTTTTGTCACCAGGCTGGAATGCAGTGGCGCAATCTCATCTCACTGCAACCTCTGCCTCCTGGGTTCAAGCTATTCTCCTGCCTCAGCCTCCCGAGGAGCTGGTATTACAGGCATGCGCCACCATGCCCGGCTAATTCTGTATTTTTAGTAGAGAAGGGGTTTCACCATGGTAGTCAGGCTGGTCTCAAACTCCTGACCTCATGTGATCCACCCGCCTTGGCCTCCCAAAGTGCTGGGATTATAGACGTGAGCCACCCCGCCTGTCCGGGACCACCTTTCACACAGTTTTGCTATGGTCCATCTGTATACAGTATTTACGTTTTTTTGTTTTTGGTGAATTTCCTGTTCATTTACTTTGTCAGTTTTCTGTTGGGCATTTTTTTCCTCTTATAAAAACAAACAAACAAACCCGGAGAGTACTTCTTGTGTGACTGGTCCCGAGGCCTGGAGGTGAGGAGGGGCCTGAGCATTTTGTGCAGAAAGTCCGAGGGCAGTGTGACCTGAGCATCCAACTAGGGGACCCTCGTGGCTCCTCACTGTGGTGGGAGGCCCCGCCAGCGGGTCCTGTGAACAAGCGGAAAGTGGGTTCTGGGAGGGAATTTTTAGTGAAAAGAAGAAGGTACTCAGAGTGCCAACCCTTCATGGCATGTGGAAAGAGAGGTTACTTACCCCAGAGCCAACATGATCACAAGGCAGCCAAAATGGGCGGGGGCCATTGGCAGCCTCAGTTTTCTCATCTGTGAAGTGGGTGCTGTGAGCCTCCTTCCCTGCCACATCCGGGCTCGGGCCCTTGGCGTCCTCTCCTCGGGACAAGTGGGGCAGCCCTTCCCCAGCTCTGGGACACCTGTGCCCCTCCCACACACCCTCCGCTCAGCACAGGACCCTTTAAAGCATCTGCCCCCGCTGACCCGCTGCTTTGGGAATCCAGCTCCAACAAGAGGCTTCGAGCTGCCCCCAGCCCACCACAGCAGTGTTTGGCACCCCTGCCGCTCCCTCTGCCACGGTCACTCCTCCAGCCTGCTCCCAGCTCCCACCCTGGCCCACAGCTCTCGGCACAGGCCCCAACCATTGAGAGCTCACCCCAGTGCTCAAGGTTGGGCTGGGGGCCTCCCATCTGCCCCTCCTGATCCCTCACCTCCCTGTGCCCGGGTCTGTCTGTCTGTCCACCCCAGAGGCCACCCCTCCTTGATCATTGCTGTGACCCAGCACCTGCCTGAGGACCCTGGGAGCTGGTTCAGGTGTGCTTGGGGGGCGGTGGGGGGGCACTGATTAGGCAGGGCATGTTTGGTGCCACCTACCTGTTAGCTCGCCCACCCTGTCCCCAGGACTGGCTTCCTGGCTTGGCACAGAATTTGGCTGGCTTTCCCACTGAGAGGCGGCAGTGATGAAGAATGGGCCAGGGACAGTGCTGGGACTCGTGGAAGGGCAGTGAGGGTCAGCTGGGCTCTCTGCTTCCCGGCCTTCCAGGAAGTCACGGGTCGCCTTCTCTACCTTAGCCTCAGTTGTGCCCCAAGGAAGGGGGTGAAGTTTCCCATTGTTCCACGTTTCCAGGGTGGGAGTTGGGATCTGGGGGCAGTGGAGAGGCGGGGTGCCATGCTGGGGAGGTGTTGTTAGAATGGCCATGGTGGCATGCTGTACACTCTTGCCCTCCCCCAGCCCCACCCAGGCCTGCCTTGTTCCTGACTCACCCAGGCTTGTCCGGGAAGCCCGGCCAGAGCCACCATGCAGAATTCAATCATCCTGAGTGTGGAGCCAGGCCCAGCCCTCACTGGCCACAGCTCGGCCCCCATTTCCCTGGCCAGCACCGAGCCGCAGGGGAGGGTGAGAATCTTTGGCATCTTGGCATACGTTTGTTGTTCCAGAGTCGGGCTGTGCCGAGGGAATGTGCTGCTTCCCCCATTTTGCAGACAGGGACACTGAGGCTCAGTGAGGGTGAGGGCTCACCCAGGTTGCAGAGCCTGCCCAAAGCTGGGTCTTCTGGCTCCAAGTCGGGAGCACGCTGCACACCTCATGCCATGGATCAGGCCTTGAAGCTCTCCGTGAAGGTGTACATTGTGCCCCTCATTGACCGGCAGAGAGCCAGGCCTCAGGGACGAGATCCTGGACAGGTGAGTTTGGGTGGGAAGAGAGGAAAGAGAAACTGATGTAGTTTAGGGAGATCTCTGGTGGCGTGGATGGCAGGGCCCCTGGAAATGCTGGTTCAGCCTCAGCAGGAAGGGGTGCCGACCGACCACAGGATCACCCAAATTAGAGACCCGCAATCTGTCTCTCCCAGGCTGTAGCTTCCCGCAGCAGGGCTGTGGGCGAGGCAGTCACCATCCTGCATGTTTTGGGGCAGCAAATTTCCCTTGCACCTGCTCACTTCCTGGGATCGAGGGAAGACCAAGTCACAGACCCCAGCCTCAAGGAGCCCGAGAGGAGACAGGCAGGCAAACAGGCACCCAGTGAGGGGCAGTGGTGATGCTGACGAGCTGTGCCTTCAGCTCACTCTGATGGGCATTGGGAGGGTCGGTCTTAGCTGTCAGCTTGGTCAGGCGATGAGCCCAGGTATCCAGTCGAACATGAATCCAGGTGTTGCTCCGAAGGTATTTGTGGGTGTGATTAAAGTCCATAATCAGCTGTGGGTGTGATTAAAGTCCACAATCAGCTGCCTTTAAAGGAAATTGTCCTAGATCACCCGGGTGGGCTTGATCCGGCCAGTTGAAAGGCCTAAGAGTGGAATCAATCCTGGGGGCAGCAGCTGCAGCCCATCTGAACTTCCAGCCAGCCCCGCTGATGACCTGCCCTATAGACCTCAGACTCGCCTAACTGGCTCCGTGATCCTCTAAGCCAATTCCTTGCAATAAATCCCTTGTGATAAACCTCCCACTGGCTCTGCTCCTCTGATTGAACCCTGACTGATACCATCGTCATAATCCAGCTGTGAGAACTAGGCTTTTTCAACTATTCTTTCATTCCACAATTATTTGTTGAGCACCTACTATGTGCAGTCTCTGGAAAGGCTCAGAGTCTAGCAGAGACCACAAAGTTCAAGCCCTTACCCCTGCCTCTAAAGGGGGAGGCCCATGATTAAACAAGCCCAGAGGTCAAGAGTGGACCAGGTGCCATTGCATTGTATTTGAGGAGGTGAGGTCATCTCTAGCCTTATCTAGGGAGTCTCTCCGAGGGCACAAGTGTCAGACAGGCTGGAGTTATTCAGGCAGGCCCTCCACAAACCCTTTCACCCTTTCACTCTCTCTGAGCCTCGGCACCCCGCCCCACCATCTGAATAGATGGCACCTGAGCCGTGCTTGGTAGATGCTTAGTTTCTGTCTGTGCTAGGGGCTGAGAGGTAGCCTCCCTCCCTCGCTCCCATGGACAGGCATCCGTCCTGGCCTGGGTTTGGCTTTGTGGCATCAGATGGAGGACAATCAACGGCAAAGCCTTAACTCTGGAAACGGATCTGGTTTGGGGTCTTGTCCTTCCTACTGGCCTGCTGGCTGCAGGGCCGTGTGGGGCCTCAACACTGTCAGCAGCTTAAGGCAGGCCATTCGTACACCCCTCCTCCATGCCTCAGGGTCCCCAGACTTGGCCTTGCAGAGGCCACAGCTAGGGGGAGGGTTGGGGCCTGGACAGTGTTGTGCTGGTAGATGTTGAACAACCAGCCCCGCAGGACAGGAGCCTTGGTTGGAAATGTTTGTCGGTTCCACAGTGTGAATACTTCCACTGCAGCCCATCTCCAGTTACCAATGCGGGGTACTGTGCATGGAGCTGGAGAGAGGTAAGTACAATCGCTTCTCCACCGGGCCCGGGCTTCTCTCAGGTTTGAGGCTGGAGGTGAGTGAGCTCCCCCTGGGAAGAGGCTGGGCTGCCGGGGGAGGAGCTGTCTGGGGGCGAAGAGGGGCCCACTGAGCCCAGGACTCTGCAGCCAGCCTGGCTCGCTGGCACAGCCGGGAAGATTTCCCTAAGACTCACCACTCTGTGTGGGGCTCTCAGTAAATGTTTATTGAGTGATGCATGATGGATGTTAAGACATTGAATCAAATCTTGCTCTGACCTTTGAGTCAGTCTGTTGGGTGTGAAAGAACCAGCTTTTCTGCTCTGTTTGCTGGAAGCGTCTGAACCCCTCCTGGGGCCTCCTGCTCTCACCCTCCTCCCCTTCTCTGGGACCGTCCTCAGGGAAGGCCTCTGGGCTTGGCGTTTCACACAGCCTCTTTCCCACCTAATCTCAGGCGTTCTTGCAACAGCCCGTGGAGGTAAACAGCTGTGTCTCTCAGTTCCACCACTGGCCACAGGCAGGGCCTTGGGTGAGGTTTTCATCCTCCCTGGGTAGTGGTTTCCTCTCTCCAAAAATAGAGGGAGTAACAATATCTACTGCATAGGCTTGGCGAGAGGACTGCATGGGGTAACACAGGAAAGTGCCTAGGCTGGGTGCGGTGGCTCACGCCTGTAATCCCAGCACTTTGGGAGGCTGAAGCTGGCGGATCACGAGGTCAGGAGTTCGAGACCAGCTTGGCCAACATGACGAAACCCTGTCTCTCCTAAAAATACAAAAATTAGCCAGGGATGGGGGCAGGCACCTGTAATCCCAGCTACTTGGGAGGCTAAGGCAGGAGAATTGCTTGAATCTGGGAGGCGTAGCTTGCAGTGAGCTGAGATTGCACCACTGCACTCCAGCCTGGGCGACAGAGTGAGACTCTGTCTCAAAAAAAAAAAAAAAAAAAAAAAAGCTCCTAGCATGGGGCTTGGGACACGGTGAGGACAATTAAATGTGAATATCACCCTCGTTATTATTGCATATCATCATCACCACCAGCAGCACCTTCATGACCACCATCAGCACTACCAGCATCACCGCCATTATCAGCACCGCCACCCTCACCATTGTTGCTATCATCCTTGTAAACCAAGAAGTATCTGAGACAAGTCTCAATCAGTTTAGAAGTTTATTTTGCCAGGGTTAAGGACCTGCTCAGAAGAAAAGAACACAGATTGACAAAAACGGTGGGTGGTCTGTGCCATTCTCCAAAAATGATTTTGAGGGCCTCAATATTTAAAAGGGAGAAGCAGGCTGGAGGGGAAAAAGGGAGGGTGTGGTTGCATTAGTGAATCCTTATGTTGCAAGAGAAAGGGAGCAGGTATGGAAATAGTCAATTAGGTATTTGTCTTGTGCTCATAGAGTTGCTATCTGTGCAAATAACTTTTTATCTGTAGCTCTCTATCTGCTTAGGAACAAGAGGAAAGGCAGCTTCTTGCACAGTGGGGCTTTCAGACTAATGTTCTTCCAGTTGACATAGTGAATTGTGCTCAAGATTTTATTTTCCTTTCACTTTTCTCCTCCCACCCCCATTAAAAAAAATCTTTCAAAGAAAGCATCTTAGAAGAAAACTGAGTCTCTGGTCTTGGGTTTTGTCTGATGTCTCTCGTGGCTAGGATGGTTTATTCTGAGATGGCTTAGGTCCCAGGTGGTTAGGAAAGCTGACTTTTAGTAAGTTATGTAGTCTCGAGTCTCACAGAGAAAAATAGGGGAGGAAAAGAGAAAAACAATGGGAGGAATAACAACAAAAAGGAAAACAATCCTGGAAAACTGACATAGGCCATATGCCTCTGAAGTCCATACGTCAGTCAGTATGCAGGGATGAAAGTAGCTTAGGTCTTAATATATCAATAGGTTGCTGTTATTGTCTTTCAAGGTTTGTCTAGCTTCAGCTCACAGGGCTTAAAGGCACCGCTTTAATTTTTTTGTGATTCTAAATCAGGAGAAGATGGAAGGGAAAACAATGAAAAGAAAGAAAAAAATTGAAAATATTATTCTGGAGACTTGTAGCCAGGAAAAATTGTAGGATTCAGTCCAAATTGTAAAAAATAATAAAAATTGAAAAATCCTGGACAAGGCTACAATCTAATAACAAGTCTATTATAGTTTTTCTTGAGACATAATTTTTCTCTTTCCAATTCCCCAATTTTGTTAGAGACAAAATCATAGTAGGACCAATTTATTTGTAAAATTACGTTTTAGTTTAATGATAGTTAGCTTGATTATTTGCATAAAGTGCAGCAAGAATTATCTGCCGTATAGGCTTTAAAAAATTTTTGCTTGGCTGGAAACTTTTTCATAAGGAATCTAAGATTAGACCTTTCCAAAAGGCTTGAGCCCAGCCAAGGATTTATCTGTGCCTGCAGATACCTGTATGAATTGGGTGACTTCCTCTCTTTTCGAGGTCCCAAGAAAACGATCCTGGGCCTGTCAGAAAGTGACATTCTCACCCGCCACAGGTCAGAACCCTGTAAAGGACAAGGTATGAGGCCAGTTTTTCAAGGGGCTTTTATTGGCTCTATAGGTCAGCTTCATTTTCTCAAGGCAATCTGAAGATGTCATTCTAAGCAAAGCCTTGGTAAAATACCCAGTGTCTCCAATTGTGTCCTGCTATAAGATAGAACAAATTCTGGTTGAACCTATGTAAATAACTATATTGCCATAGATTAAGAATACCGACAGATAGTTTTCAAATTTCGGAGAAATTAAGTAGAGAGAAAGGAATTAGGTTTTAAATTTTGCTCATAAAAATTTACCTTAATTGTTTAAGAGTGTAAATATCTTAAAAGAAGAAAAACAAAACAAAAATAATCAAATGTTTTAAAGAGTCATAAAAGATTATTTCAGGCCAGGCACAGTGGCTCACATCTGTAATCCAAGCACTTTGAGAGGCCGAGGCAGGTGGATCACCTGAGGTTGAGAGTTCCAGAACAGCCTGACCAACGTGGTGAAACCCCATCTCTACTAAGAATACAAAAAAAAAAAAAAAAAATTAGCTGGGTGTGGTAGCAGGTGCCTTTAATCCCAGCTACTTGCGAGGCTGAGGCAGAAGAATCACTTGAACCCAGGAGGTTGCAGTGAGCCACTGTGCCACTGAACTCATGCCTGGGTGACAGAGCGATATTTAGTGTAAAAAATAAATAAATAAAAGATTATTTCAGGCCAGGCATGGTGGCTCATGCCTGTAATTCCAGCACTTTGGGAGGCTGAGGCAGGCAGATCATAAGGTCAGGAGTTCAAGACAAGCCTGGCCAACATAGTGAAACCCTGTCTCTACTAAAAATACAAAAATTAGCTGGGTGTGTGGTGACACACGCCTGTAATCTCAGCTACTCGAGAGGCTGAGGCGGAACTGCTTGAACCTGGGAGGCAGAGGTTGCAGTGAGCCAAGACCACACCACTGCCCTCCAGCCTGGGCAAAAGAGTGAGACTCCATTTCAAAAAAAAAAAGATTATTTCAATCTACTGTTAGTTCAGTCCATGCAATTAACTCCTGTTCTGCTTGGTATTGGGTCAGGAAACCTCACGAATACATCAGCTCTTTATGAGAACCCTGGAAGTTTTTATCTTTATTCCAATGGCACAATCTTTAAAGTTATCAGAGTACTTCTCAGAATTCTATAGCTGATTATAAACCATGCTATTGAAAGGATTAAAGTGAAACAATTGTGGATGTCAAAAGTGTTAGAACAGCCGTAGTTAAAGACATAATTGACAAGGAAATTTGGTTATTTCTGTGGCATACAACAATTTAACGTAATAATCATAATTGCTACTGATAACATATATTGAGATATACCAGAATCACAGGAATCTGGTACAATTTAGGAACACATACTAATAACACACACACACACATATATATATATATAATCCAAAGAAAGTTAAATACCATTTCATATTCAACAATGCTTCCTGTGTGATTTTAACATACCAAATCAGCTGAATATGTTTCTTTTGAACTTCAGGACCTAATATCAAAATAATTAATGAGGTCAAAAAGACTGAATTAATCATTTAATTCTGGAAAGCTTGTCAAACAGCAAAGGTTTAAAACTCTTGATATCACAAAACAGGGTCACAGGTCATTGTATCATTCATTTATTTAGATATAGTGCTGACTCAAACTTTTTTTTTTTTTTTTAAAAAGGCAAAAACTTTTACTCTTTGAGAGGAGGCTTACTTTCCCAAACAATACAACCTCATGAAGACAGCATGAAGTCAATTAAATTTGTCTCTCTCTTTCTCTCCTGGTCCCCCCACGCCCTCTCCTTTGTTTGTTTGTTTGTTTGTTTAGTTTTCTCAAAGGATAGTTGAACAGAAATCTGTTTCAGAAGAGAGAAAGACAAATTTTACCTCTATATGAATATATCACTTATCCTGCCAAATTTAATCAAATAAACAAATGTTTTATTTATTTTCACCATAAGATACAGTTTCTATAAACCTTTTTTTTTTTGAGATGGAGTCTTGCTCTGTCATCCAGGCTGGAGTGCAGTGGCGCGATCTCAGCTCACTGCAAGCTCCACCTCCCAGGTTCACGCCATTCTGCCTCAGCCTCCCAAGTAGCTGGGACTACAGGCGCCCGCCACCATGCCCAGCTAATTTTTTGTATTTTTAGTAGAGACGGGGTTTTACTGTGGTCTTGATCTCCTGACCTCGTGATCCACCTGCCTCAGCCTCCCAGAGTGCTGGGATTACAGGCGTGAGCCACCGCACCTGGCCTTCCATAAACCTTTTTATAATCTTTTATAATTTTTTTACTTTTTAAATTTATTTTAAAAAACTAATCCCCAGTATTTATACAATTATTATTATTATTATTATTATTATTATTAAAGAGTGGGTTAATGCTCCCAGAAACCTTGTTAATCTGACACAGAGGCCCAGATACTGGTCTTATATCAGTGTGCGTTTGATGTTAATGTTTAATTTGTAGAGAAACTCTGAACTAAACTTTATCTCTCAAAATTTGTCTTTACAATCTCACGCGTCCACCTCTTCCATGATAGTCCCTTGGCCTTGAGAGGTTGAATGGTTTTAATTTCTGGCCCTGCTTCTCATAAATGCAGCTTATTTTGATTATCATCTTCTCCTGGGTCTGAAGATGAGACTTTAACTGCTGTCAGTGTTTAAGGTTTAGCGGTCTTGGTGTCCTTTTGGACCCAGCCATCAAATCCTTGTAACTTAACAGCACGAGGACTTTAAAAGCAATACAAGGCCAGGCTTGGTGGCTCATGCCTGTAATCCCAGCATTTTGGGAGGCCGAGGTGGGTGGATCACCTGAGGTCAGGAGTTCAAGACCGGCCTGACCAGCATAGTGAAACCCCATCTCTACTAAAAATACAAAATTAGCCAGGTGTGGTGGCACGTGTCTGCAATCCCAGCTACGTGGGAAGCTGAGGCAGCAGAATTGCTTGAACCCGGGAGGTGGAAGTTGCAGTGAGCCAGGATTGGCCATTGCACTCCAGCCTGGGCAACAAGAGTGAAACTCTGTCTCAAAATAAATAAGCAATACAGAAAGTTACATGGACATAATAATTTTTTTTTAAATCTCAGTTTTAGTAAGCAAATAAAAAACTTAATAATGATGACATAGGAATTATTTCAATAAAACATGAAATATGGCCAGGTGCGGTAGCTCATGCCTGTAATCCCAGCGCTTTGGGAAGCCAAGGCGGGCAGATCACTTGAGCCCAGGAGTTTGAGACCAGCCTGGCCAATATGTCAAAACCCCACATCTACAAAAAATACAAAAATTAGCTGGGTGTTGTGGCATGTGCCTGTCATGCCAGCTACTTGGGAGGCTGAGGTGGGAGGATCATTTGAACCTGGGAGGTGGAGGTTGCAGTGGGTCATGATTGCAGCACTGCACTCCAGCCTGGGCGACAGAGAAACAAACCCCAAAACATAAAATATGTTTGTTAGGCCAGTTACCAGAAGCCAAAACAAAAACCCCACCTTCTGCAGTGTGATTTTTTTCCCTATGGGAAATCCAGTTAGTTGGCCTTGCAAGTCAAAACTGAAAACGGTACTTGAATTAATTAGACACAGGAAGAGTGTCTCCTGGTTCATAAGAGAAGGTGTTGGGTTTCATAGAATGATTTAGACAGGAACAGCAAAGAGTACAGAATGTTATAGTAGAAGAAAATACCCTTTAGGGCCGGGCACTGTGGCTCACACCTGTAATCCCAGCACTTCGGGAGGCTGAGGAGGACGGATTGGATCACAAGGTCAGGAGATCGAGACCATCCTGGCCAACATGGTGAAACCCGTCTCTACTAACAATACAAAAATTAGCTGGGCGTGATGGCGCATGCCTGTAATCCCAGCTACTTGGGAGGCTGAGGCAGGAGAATCGCTTAAATCAGGGTATTGGAGGTTGCAGTGAGCCAAGATCACCCCACTGCACTCCAGCCTGGTAACAGTGAGACTTTGTCTCAAAAAAAAAAAAAAAAAAAAAAAAAGAAAATTCCCTTTAGACCTTTAAGATAAAACATCTTTAGCATCAGATCACAACAATAGTTAGAATCCGAGTAAAAAAGTGAGAGGAGTTGAGAAAAAAGTTGAAGGGGAGAGATTATCTCAGACCTTCTCAAATGGGAGAGAAAGCTAAAAATAGCATGTCGACGAAGAGTCAAACTCTAAAATATTTAAAGAGATTTATTGTGAACCAAATGTGAGGATCATGACCCCCTGGCACAGCCCCAGGAGGCACCGAGAACAAGTGCCCGAAGTGACTGGGTTACAGTCTGATTTTATGCATTTTAGGGTGTCAATCGAAGAAAATGACGAGACAAGTTTCAATCATTTTAGGAGATTTATTTGCCAACATTAAGGATCTGCCTGGGAGACAGGTCTACGCCTTTCTCTGAAGATGATTTTGAGGGCTCCAAATTTAAAGGAGAAAGGGTGGGATATTGAGAAGCTCAGTTTTCACATTAAAAAAGGGGCGAAGGAAAAATGTGGGGAACCTGCATTTTACATAAGAGAACACCGACAAAATGGGGTAGGGGAGCAATCAGACATGCATTTGGTCTGGCGGTGGGGTGGGGGGGCCAGTGTGACTACACCCGTAAAGATAAGCTATCAATTTGCATTGCCATCATGAAGTTTTAACAGCTCACTAGGAATTTACTTGTGGGCAAAATATGGGGGAGGCTGGTAGCTTTTCATCCTGTAGCCATCTGATTCAGGAACCAAAAGATGGAGGCAGGTTTGCGTGACCCAGTTCCCAGCTTGACTCTTCCTTTTAGCTAAGTGAACTTGGGGGTCCCCAGATTTAATTTCCTTTCACAGGGGAAACTGAAGTTACAGGCAGATGTCAGTCAGTACATAGAAGGTATACATTGGTTCAGTCTGGAAAGGCAGGAGCACTGGAAGTGGGGGCTTCCAGATCCTAGATGGATTCAGAGATTTTCTGATTGGCAATTGGTTTAAACAGTTAGGATTATGACTTAAAGATCTAGAATCAATAGAAAGGAGTGTCTGTGTTAAGCTAAGGGATTGTGGAGACCAAGGTGTTTTTATGGTGCAGATGAAGCCTCCAGGTAGCAGGCTCCAGAGCTCTGATCAGACATGAAAAGGTGCCAGACTGTTAGCTAATTCTCTCCTGGATCAGGGAAAAGATCTGGGAAGGAAGGGGATTCTCTGCAGGATGCAGATTTTCTCCACCAGAGACAGCTTTTTAGGGCCATTTCAAAGTATGTCAAAGGAATGTACTTTGTGGTAAAATACTTCAGTTTCTTCCAGGGCCTGCTATTTCTCGTGATGCTAGGCGAGAGTCAGGTTGGAATTTGGTGTCTTATTGCTATAAAGAGTCTGTTTGTCCTCCTTAAGTCTCTGTTTTAATGTTAATGCTGGTTAGCAGTGCTCGAATTCCGAAGGGAGGAGAGTATTATGAGGCATGTCTAGCCTGCTTTTCATCATGGCCTGTGCTAGTTTTTCAGGTTTCTTTGGAATGCCCTTCACTGACTATGGGTCGGGGGTCCATCAGCTTGGGGGCTTAGAATTTTATTTTTGGTTTATGAGCAACACGCAATAAAAGTTGAACTTTTGGGTTAAAAATTAAAATCTCTTGCAATTTTATTAAGAATAAATACTTTAAGAGAATTTTGTTCTAGCCAATTCTTTAGTGTATTAGTGCATTTTTTAATTTTCTGAGACAGAGTTTTGCTCTTGGCATCCAGGCTGGAGTGCAGTGGCAGGATCTCAGCTCACTGTAACCTCCACCTCCCAGGTTCAAGCAGTTCTCCTGCCTCATTCTCCTGAGTAGCTGGGATTACAGGGGCCTGCCACCATACTCGGCTAATTTTTGTATTTTTAGTAGAGATGGGGTTTCACCACATTGGCCAGGCCGTATTAGTGCATTTTTAATATCAAGGCCTAATCTGTAGAAAGACTATTATACATAATCTCCTTTTAATTATAGACAATTTAATCACATAAAGTTTATATATATATATGTATATATATATATATACGTACAAACACACATATATATATAAATTCTCTTTTTATAAACCTTATTAGGACTTGCACAAACCATTTATGACATGCCTGGCCCTCCCATGTTATCCTCAACATTCTTTTTCTTAAACAGTCATTTTATTTCAGGACAAAAATTTATCATAGGAAATTTTTTTCTCATATAAAATTATTTTTCTTTTAAGCTTTCTTGCCAAAAATGCCTGCATATATGTATAACTTTGTTTACATCTCTCTTTTTTACCAGTTATTTTTACTTCATTTCATAAACTTTGAATTAAACAAAAATTATTTTCCTTTTAATAACACGTTTTTTTGAAAAATGTTTTACTGTAATATAATTTTTTAAAAACTTTAATGAATATTTAATATGACTTTAGATTCTTAATTATATATAAATTTATTTATAAGTTTTTTTTTTTTTTGGAGACCCAATCTCACCTTGTTGCCCAGGCTGGAGAGCAGTGGCACATTCTTGGCTCACTGCAACCTCTTCCTCCCTGGTTCAAGCGATTCTCCTGCCTCAGTCTCCCAAGTAGCTGGATTACAGGCATGCATCACCGTGCCTGACTAATTTTTTGCATTTTTAGTAGAGACGGGGTTTCACCATGTTGGTCAGGCTGGTCTCAAACTCCTGCCCTCAGGTGATCCACCCACCTGGGCCTCCCAAAGTGCTGGGATTGTAGGCATGAGCCACCGCACCCAGCTTACTTATAGGTATTTATTCTATTACATTTACCTAATTAGTTATTATTTTTATTTTTAATAGTTTACTTAGATTACTTATGAAAACTGGGATGGTCATTATTTAAAGTTATTTTCCTGTTTTAACCATTTTTATAGCCTGTGAATATCAGGTGTTTACTTAAATGAGAAACTTAAGGTTAAATAAATGGGATTTTTGCCAATAACTCAGGATTTAGCTGTTTTCATTAAATAAATAATATTAAATACTTATCAACAATTATTCAAGGGTCATTTGGCTTCAGGCTGGATTTATAGTTTTATAACCTTCATGCCAAACCTTGACACCTTATAATATCTAGCAGAGATAAATATAAAACTGATCAATAAACTTAAACAATAAGGTATGCTGATAATTATGAAGACATCTCTAATTTTATTTTACTAATAATTTTAAAGCCAGCTTATTTATAAAAGATTTACTTAAGTCGCATTAACTTGAAAAGCACTAGGGCTTATTACTTAATTTATGAGTACTTGTATTTTTAAGCCAATTTGGTAACTTGCCATAACACACATACATACAAGTAAACACATCTAAGCATACACATACACACATACAAAGATCCTGTAGCTTTTACTTCAGAACTCTAGCCATGAGATATCAATACAAACTCACCAGTATGCAAAAAAAAAAAAAAAAAAGATGCCAACTAGTTGTTACCTCAACACCAGTAGAAAGGTCATGGCAGATTTAAAGCAGGCAGAAAAGAAAATAGAGCAGTAGGCAGAGAACTTAGGAAACCTATAGTCGCAGGTCCAACTTTGTGCTCTGAATTTTTCTTGATGAAATTTGCCTATCAGTTTAAAATCTGCACAAGAACAGACCATCATATGTAACCAGCTGGAGTACTAGAAAACCTGGCATGCTTTTGACTTTCCCATTTTTTAAACCTTAATTATCCTCATATTTTCTTAGGATCTGAAAGAAAGCTGCAACAACATTAAAAAAAATTATCTTTTGTAGAGACAGGGTTTCACCATGTTGCCCAGGCTGGTCTTGAACTCATGACCTCAAGTGATCCAACCGCCTTGGCCTCCCAAAGTGCTGGGATAACAGGTGTGATCCACCACACCCAGCTCTACAACAACAAATTTGAGAGAACTTCTTAAATTGTTGTTTGATTCTGCAGGAGTAATGTCACTTGGGGTGCCCACATAGAAGGGACCCCCTTAACCACAGCATTTACCATGACCTGGGTAATGGGTATATTCTATGGGTGAATATCCTGGTCATCATAAAGCCAGTCCCACATGGCTTGTATATGAAGCATATCAGTTGCTTCATCTGGGGTGCTCCACTTGGCATTTATAGGAAGAGTTGGGCAGTCCCCTTCTCAGGGTAAACAGACTCCATGGTGGCTTTCATCTAGTCAGACAGGCTGGCCGTTGCCTCAGGCATAACCTCCTGTGCAGCTGGATCACATATACTGATCAGGGAGTGTTCAATAGTGAGCTGTGGGTCCTGCATCAACCCAAACGTGCCCTTTCATTCTGTAGCATTTAAAATTAAAGATACTGTCCATGAAGTAGTTACTCTCACCACCTATTTTAGTAAAAGTTTCACAGGAAGCTGATGATACCAATCTGTAAAATGGAACAATTCCTTGACACCACATCCTCTGGGTTTCATAGTTAGTTGGTTTTTCCCTTTCTCCACATGGACTGTCTTCTTGGTACCCACAGGTCTCAGAGGTACTTTCTGCTGCCCTGGCTTAATTTTTCCTTCTGTGGATAGCTTTGAGGCTGGTGATCTGAGCCCAGACAGACCATATCTGAGTTTGGTCCAGCCTCAAGGCTCCCCACCCCAGGCCCAACATTTCATTTGACTTTTAGTTTAGCTATTACAGATAACAGTAACCAAGGGGCTGAGTATGTTGCTTTATGCATCCAGTGAACCAACTCAACAGTGTGCCCCATCTCCAAATTCTACTGGTGCCTTTGACCCTCAGTGACTGAGGCAGCCCAGCTGCAGCTCCATACCATGGGACACTTAGTAAGCACCTGCTGTATGCTTAGCCTGGGCTGCTTCCAACTTGTTTTATCTCTTCCTGCCACCCCCGACAATCTAAGCAGATGGCTCCTGCTGTCTTGCAGAAGAGGAAACTGAGGTGCAGAGAGATGAAGTGACTTGTCCAAGGTCATACAGTGACCCAGTGTCTGAGCCAGGGTCGGGACCGCTTTGCCAGATGCTGGCTACAGAAGCTGGTGCTCTGCCTCCCATAGGCACCCCTGAGTCACCAGCCACGGTGCAGAGTGTAATTAGGCCTGACTCATGCAGTCATTATACTCCAGGTTTTAATTATCCGCCTCCTCATCCTGGTGTCCTCTTTGGGCCAGTTATGGAGGCCATGGGACAGGCCTTCTGGCTGGGGTGTCTCCTTGTATCTGTCAGGCAAAGAATTGAAAAACTGTTGGGGACATGCCCAACAGTGGCTGAAACAGAAATAATGGGTGCTGTGCAGAGTGACAGGGAGAGCTTGAGTTCTCTGCAGGCAACTTAGCTGCAATTCAGCAACTGGAATTCCCAGTTTGGCCACCAGCATGGAGGGTGGGCAGGGCCCGCCTAATGACTGCTTGGATTCCAGCTGGTGCCAGAGGGCAGGGTCCAGGGCTTGGAGTCCAACAGTGGGGGTGGTTCAGGCTCCTTTCAGCTCTGTGGCCCCAGGCCAGCCCCCTGGTCTCTCTGGGGGCAAGTTTCTCCAGTGGCAAATTGAGAAGAAAAAAAAACCTGCCTCATTGTTTGGGTGCTTATCAGATGGGGTTAAGCAGGTGAAATGTCCAATGCACTCTAAGAGCTGTTGACAATGTTTGCCTTGTGTCTTCATCCAGTCATTGCATATAAGCCGTGGTGAGTAGATATGGCTCACGGGAACTGGGCAGGTGGAATCCACACCTCACCGCGTTGCTGGGAAGATGGAGGAGGTGACGCATGGGAAGACCTCCCCAGTAAGTGTTGGCTGCTCCCAGTATCACGAGAATGATTCCTGGTGGAGGTCATAACTGTGTTACCATTACCTGCGATGTCTGGAAACATTTTTGCCAAAGGTGGCACTGCCTGTGCCCAGGCTATGTGTCCTGTCCAGACCAGGCGTGTGGTGGGCTCCTTCTAGGCTCCTCAGAGGTGCATTTCACATGTTTATGTTGTGTGACAAACGCTGGTTTTATCCATCTTGTCCTCAGACCTACAACCAGCATTTCCTAAATGAACAGTTGGACTGTTTATTTAAAATGTTATTCCCATGAAGGCTAAACTCAGATTGAAGCCTTCCTGGGAAGCTTCACACATCCTCTCCCCAACCTCTTTCTTCACATTTTCAACCAAGTTTCTTTTCTTTCTTTTTGAGCCACAGTCTCGCTCTGTCTCCCAGGCTGGAGTGCAGAGGTACAATCATAGCTCACTGCAGCCTTCAACTCTTGGACTCAAGCGATCCTCCTGCCTTCCAGAGTAGCTGGGACCACAGGTGTGTGCCACCTAGGTCCACCATCCAGCTTCTTCCCTGGAACCATGACGCAGGTGGTTTCTGCTCTGACAGGGCCTCCCATGTCCTAGGTGGAGGGGCCGCACCTTGCGGGGACCCACAGCCTCAGCCTCAAGCAAGCAGTGGGCCCTTGTGGCCATGGAGGCCCCACTGTGTCTCTTGATTCCTACTTAAAGATACACCATGGTTTCCCTTACCTTCCACCTAGTGAGAATCCTAACTGTTCTCATGGTAAATGTCACACTTACTGTGCCTAGGCGTCCATGAGAGACAGGAGAAGTTTCTTCCCACACTAAAGATAATAAGATGGCGGAAAGATGGTCACCTTCCCTGCCTGAGGCCACTCACATCCAGGAGGCAGCGGGGGAGGGGAAGAGGGGAAGGATTTGAACCCAAGGGAGAGCCTGTCTCTTAGGCCGTTCTGACTGCCCAGTGAGAACTGATGGCCTCTCCTCTGTGGCCTGCTGCGCCTTACCTGCACCCCTCTCTCCAGGCCCCTGTTCCACCCTGGGTGTGGAGGCAGCCATCAACCTCCTGGTTCCTGGCTCAGCCCTGGCGCATAAGAGGGGCAAGCGCTTGTGGAATAAGTGGGTGAAAGGATGCCCATGGGTCTCCTTTGTCCTGGCTGCAGCCCCTCTGTGAGTGCACCTTGGGTGGCATCGTCTGAGCATCGGCGTGTCCGGGTGACCGCTGTGGGGGCGGTTGTGACACTCGTGGTGACACTTATGCCTCTTTTATTTATTAAAAAAATGTTTTTTGGGGCCAGGTGCAGTGGCTTGTGCCTGTAATCCCAGCACTTTGGGAGGCCGAGGCGGGTGGATCACCTGAGGTCAGGAGTTCGAGACTAGCCTGACCAACATGGTGAAACCCCGTCTCTACTAAAAGTACAAAAATTAGCCAGGCGTGGTGGTACACGGCGTGTAGAGTGCCACTACACTCTAGCCTGGGTGAAAGAGACTCTGTCTCAAAAAAAAAAAAATTTTTTTTTTTTGAGACAGGGTCTTGCTCAGTCGCACAGGCTGGAGTGTAGTGGTGTGATCTTGGCTTACTGCGGCCTCTATCTCCTGGGCTCAAGTGATCCTCCCACCTCACTCCCCTGAGTAGCTGGGATTACAGCTGTACACCACCATGCCTGGCTAATTTTTACATGATTTTCTGGAGATGGAGTTTCATCATGTTGCCCAGGCTGGTCTCAAATTGCTGGGCTCAAGTGATCCGCCTGCCTCAGCCTCCCAAAGTGCTGGGATTACAGGCATGAGCCACTGTGCCCAGCAACTCATGCCTCTTTTAATCCTCATACCAACCCTATGGGGAAGCTTCTGAGTTCCCACGCTGCAGATGAGGAAACTGAGGCTCAGGGAGGATGAGGCCATACTGCTCAGAAGAGAAGGTGCAGAATCAACCCAGGCCTGAATGGCTCCTCAGCCGGAACCCTTTTCCTTCCTAGTGCCAGAGTTTTCTTCCAAGTATCGGGAGACACTCTTACCTTGGCTGTGGATTCTTTCCATCCTGATGTCCTCCATCTGGTTGAGGCTAGGGCCTACCTCCTCAGCCTCCTGTTGCAGGAGGCCTGCCAGGGTGGGCCACCCCTGGGGCCAGAGCAGCCAAGGGGCCCGGTTGGCTCCCTGCACTGGGGCTGCCTCTGGGAACAGCTTTCCAGAGTTGCAGGTGCTTCAGGAGGACAGGAGGCCAGGTGAGTGGCCCAGCATGATGCCCTGGCTGCAGGGTTGTCTCTGAGGATAAAGGGACCCTGTGCAGGTGATCAGGTAGGCAGGGCTCCGGGCTGCTTCGTGACCTTCAGCTGAGACTCTAGGACCAGCCCACACAAACCCCTTTCTCCTCTGGAGGGTTCTTCACACAGGGTGGGGCCAGTGCAGAGCTGGTCCTTCCCAGCTGAGAGCTTCTTAGCAGCAGGAGCTCAGGCTGCACTGACCAAGACCCCAAAGGCCTCCAGGGCTGCCAGACTGAAAGGTCAGGACACAGCCCCTGCCAGCAGCCTTTGCTGACATCCCACAGCCTCTAGGACAAATCCCAAATCACTTAGCCTGGCATTCCAGGTTTTTTAGGGGTTGCCCTGGCCATAGTCCACAACCTTGAACTTTGCTTCCCGCTGACCCCTTCCTCCTCCTTACCATCTGATAATCTCTTACTCATCCCTTCTTGTCAAACTCTGCTGTCCTTCAAAATTCTCTTGCTCTGGGGAGACCCAGGCTGGGTCAGGTGCCACCCAAGGGTCCCCCAGAGCCTGGAGCCTCCCTCAGCCTCAGTCATACCTGGAGGAGTCATGCCCAGTTTCTGGCCTGCCCTTGGCCCCCGGCCCGTGAACTCCCAGAAGACAGGGACAGATCTTATTTGCCCTGTAGTCACAGGTCCCAGCTCCATGGCACTGAGGGACCCTTCCGTGTTTCATTGAGGAATTAGTGGGAATGTGTTGCTGCTGAGGGCATGTGTGATTTCTAAGTGTGTGGATAATATTGCCAGCTGTAATACTTTCCTACCTCTCTGCTATTCTAAGGAATTCCATGCTCATGATCTCTCTCTCTCTCTCTCTCTCCCCCTCCCTCTCCCTCCCTCCCTCCCTCCCCCTCTCTCTCCCTCCCCCTCTCTCTCCCTCTCTCTCCCTCTCTCTCCCTCTCTCTCCCTCTCTCTCCCTCTCTCCCCCTCTCTCCCTTCCTCCCTCCCTCCCTCTCTCCCTCCCTCCCTCCCTCTCTCCCTCCCTCCCCTTTTCTCTCTCTCCTTTTCTCTGTCTCTCTCTTCCCTCCACATTTCCTCCCTCCTCCTGGAAAGATAATTTCTACTGGGATTTTACAAAACTAAGATGCTCCAAGGCAGGAAAACAAAATTAAATCCAGTCATGATGGTGAGGCCTCCAGATGGAGTGCTTGATCTAGGCTTTTCTTCCTGAGTGATTTTCTGATTTTCAAAGCATTTCGTGCTCTCACAGAAAATGTAAAAGTGACAGGAAAGTGTAAAGACACAGAAAAACAACCAACCACTCCTAGCTCCATCAGCCATTGGTGACCATGACTGGTGGCCTGGCATCAGGATCCGGTGCTTCTATACCTTGTTCAGAGGTCCCAGTGTTCTCAGTGGTTTCCGCTAAACAATCCACAGTGGGATTTTTCCTTGGGACATCTGCTTTTCTTTCTCTCTCGCTCTTTCTCCCTCCCTCCCTCCCTCCCTCTCTCCCTCTCTCCTTTTTGTCTTGTCTTTTCTCTTTTCTTTTCTTTCTTAGATGGAATCTCGCTCTGTTGCCCAGGCTGGAGTACAGTGGCACGATCTCAGCTCACTGCAAACTCCATCTCCTGGATTCAAGTGATTCTCCTGTCAGCCTCCTGAGTGGCTGGGATTACAGGTGCACACCACCATGCCTGGCTAATTTTTGTATTTTATTTATTTATTTATTTATTTATTTATTTATTTATTTATTTTTAGTACAGATGGGGTTTCACTATATTGGTCAGGCTGGTCTCAAACTCCTGATCCACATGCCTTGGGCTCCCAAAGTGCTGGGATTCCAGGCATGAGCCACCATGCTGGGCTGACACCTGCTTTTTAATGGCCGCACAGGACTATGCTGTAGGGGAATAGAATCACGCACTTGCCGCCTTCCCGTTTTTGGAAGTTTCATTCATTTCCCTGTCTTTCCACCTTCCTCCTTTCTCTTTTCCGCCTGTCTATGAGCAATCATTTTTGTTAACATGCCAGATTGTTCCTTCCAGTTGCTTTCCTGCAGTCAGGGCTTGATAGCTGTGGGCTCCCCCAGCCCCTCCAAGGCTTCTAAGTGACCATGTGCGTGCAGCTCTGGGGAGTGGTGGAGGTGTCAGGAGGTTTCACAAGGGGACTTTGGTGTAGCCACTCACAGCGGCCCCTGTCACCTCTCAATGACTCCAGGGGGAGACGATTTCACTTGCAGGGGAGCAGAGAGCATCTCTTCTGAGACATGAGCGCAGGGAAGCTTCGCCAGCCTGTATTACGGAAAGGCAGGCCATTCACTCATCTGCAAGGATGTACTGGGCACCCAGCGTGTACAAGAGAATGTGCTGGATACAGCAGACTGTGGTGATCACACAAGGCTTGATTTCTTCACTTTGTTGAGCAGAGAGAAGACGTGGACAAAGTCAGATCTGATCAATACAACCACCCTGGCCCCCCAGGAGAAACAGCAAGCTTATTTTGTGAGATAAGTGAATTGTATCAATTACATCATATTGCAGTGCTATCACTGATGACAAATTCATTTCCACAGATATACACCGACAGCTTGTTACATGCAACTGGGGAGGAAAAATGAGAAAAGCGGGAAAAGAACAATGGTTAACTGAGCTCATTTGATTTTATTTAAACTTGCTTTAGTACTAAGCTTATTTCTTTTACACCTATTGAATGTAACCTTATTTAATTCTTACCCCACCCCTCGAAGATGGGTCTTCCTGCCCCTATTTTTCAGATAAGGAAACAATTAAGCCATTCACTTTAATTAAGCAGCAGTGGCATCTCAGCCTCTGCACTTCATCTCAGCCCAGCACTTCTGTTGGGGCTGAGATGGAAGTCTCGGAAGGTGCTCTGAGGAGGTGTGACTCTCCCTGGCTGACAGGGGAAGGCTTAGCAGAGCTTTGTCTTAGAGGAGTAGATGAAAAGGAAAGTACAGAGAGGGCATTCAGGCCAAGTCAGCAACACAGACAAAGTCAGGTAATGTGGGTTAAGTGCATGGGTGATGAGTAAAGGGGATGTGGCTAGATGGTGTGAGTGTGTGTGTGCTTGCATGTGTGCCTGTGTGCGTGTGTGTGCATGTGTGTGTCTGTGTGTGAGTGACAGCAACAGCAAAGGGCCCGTCATGAGTGGCTAAGACCAGATGTAGGTAGACTTGGAGGGGCTGCTAAGGAATTTCATAGGCAATGGGGAACCATGAACTATCACTAGGCAGGGGAGGAGCCTTCGGGAACTAATCCTGAACTTTATCATTGCAATGCGTATCTCAGCAAGAATGGGCAGGATTGCATAGTTAGGAGTACTGCCTTACTTTTTAAAGAAGTGGTGAAAATATTTAATATTTTCATATACTTTTTCTTTTTGGAAGATAAAAGGATTAGGTCCAGCATTTCACCCTACAGAGGATTTAAATTTTTCATCAGGAATGAGATTTGAGTGTAAGAAGATGAAACGATATTATACTGATAAGACCACAGGGTTCAAAACCACCCCCTACAACCCAGGGAAGGGGGGCAGCCAGGCTGGCAAGATCTGAGGCCAGAAGCACTGGGGCTTTGGGGAGAGCAGCAAACAGAACAGATCTAGACCTATCAAGGTGCCCTCACCAGAGTCCAGAGATCTCACCACACACATTTTCTCATTCATGCAGTTGTCCAGTACATCCTTGCAGATGAGCAAATGGCCTGCCTTTCATAATACAGGCTGGTGGAGCTTCCCCATGCTCATGTCTCAGAAGAGATGCTCTCTGCTCCCCTGCAAGTGGAATTGTCTCCCTTTGGAGTAGTTGAGAGGTGACAGAGGCTGCTGTGAGTGGCTAGACCAAAGTCTCCCTGTGAAGCCACGTGATGACTCCACCGCTCCCCAGAGCTGCACATGGTCGCTCAGAAGCCTTGGAGGGGTTGGGGGAGGCCCCTGCTCTCAAGCCCCCACTATCACAATCACTTTGTCCCAGCTATTCACCTGCAAACTTGCTTGATCTGCAGAAGCTGCAGAGTGGCCCACTCTTCCTGGACATGTCAGGAAAACTTTGACGTGGCTGCTCTAGCTTCAGGGAAGGTCTAATTTGGTGAAAATTTGAAAGCAGGTTTGTGGGAGTGCCAGGGAGAAATGGGGAGAGAGAAAGCCTCTGTATTTGATGGATGGCAATGGCTTGGAGCTGGTGTGATGGCCTCTCTGGATGACAAGGACATTGGACTTAGAGCCAGAAGGACTGAGGTATGAATCTCGGCATTCCTGGTTTGTAGTTATGGGGACTTGGCAGAGACACTTGAATGAAACTTCCTTTGCCCAGGTATAAGACGGACCCCCTAATAAAGGTTGACTGTGTTCTGATCCTTCACTGCCTGCTGGGATGTCCTCAGCATTTTGTGCATGTTGGCCAATTTAACCCTAACAGCAACCACCAGAGGCAGATGCTATTGCTGGCTATTAATATCCCCATGTGACAGATGAGAATGTGAGGCCCAAGGGGTTTAAGTGGGGCTATGAATATCCCCATGTGACAGATGAGAATGTGAGGCCCAAGGCACAGAACCAGGGGTGCCCCAGCATGCCAGTTGTGCACCTGTGGCTTTTCCCTTGGCCACTTTGCAGCACCGGCACGAGAGAGGCCCACAGGGTGAGCCTCCACACCACCAGCCACCCTTTGTCCCTCAGAAAGGGCTGGCAGAGCCTGCAGGTGAGGGTGGGTGTGGGGAGGGGTGGGCAATCGTCTGCCCTTCATTTCTGTCATGTTGTGGCTGTCACTGGGGAGAAAATGCCAAAAAGCTTCCTGGAAGAAGCAGCTTCCAGGAGGCTTCACCATATCCTTGTCCTGCCAAGTGGCCACGAATGGATTAGAAGATTCCCACTGGGTGAGAAGGCTCAGAAGCCACCACAGAGGATGGCGGAGGTGGGAGAGGCCTCGCACCGCGGGGCTCCAGGAGCCAGGTGAAGGACAGGCATTTCTGTATGGCACCCAGTTCTGGGTGGGTCCTCCCAAGGTGCCCCCTTCTTTGTCTCTCCCTCTGTTGCTTTTCTCTCCTCTTCCCTCTTCTTCCCCCCACTTCCTCTTCACTTTTTCTTCACTTTTTCTTCTTCTTCTCTTTCCTTCCCCCATGCCTTTCTCAACCTTGTTTCCACTTCTTGTCGCTCTTCTTGCTTCAACAAACGTCGATGCAGTCACAGTTCCTGGGCTGAGGCTGGGGGATGGGAGGAAGTCCTGAGGGCAGCCCCCGCCCCCTTCCCCGCCCCGTCACTCCCTCTGCCCCGCCTGCACAGCTTCTTGCCAATTCATTCCCGCCCCTACCGCCCCTATAAGCCACCAGGTCGCTCCAGTTTGGTGCCAGCGCCTGGAGGGAGAGGCGTGGCGAGGGCTGTGCTGCCTAGGATCCACTGAGTGGCTCTTGCTGGCGTGTCAGCTGCGCGCGAACCAGGGCTGGGAGGCTCGGCTGGAGGTGTGACCAGGGCAGGGACTGACCTGGCCCGGAACAGAAGCGCGCAGAGTCCCATCCTGCCACGCCACGAGGAGAGAAGAAGGAAAGATACAGTGTTAGGAAAGAGACCTCCCTCGCCCCTACGCCCCGCGCCCCTGCGCCTCGCTTCAGCCTCAGGACAGTCCTGCCGGGACGGTGAGCGCATTCAGCACCCTGGACAGCACCGCGGTTGCGCTGCCTCCAGGGCGGCCCCGGGCTGCTCCTGCTCCGCAGAGCTACGCCCTCCCCCCGGGTGCCCCGGACCCTGCACTTGCCGCCGCTTTCCTCGCGCTGCTCTGGACCTTGCTAGCCGGCTCTGCACCTCCCAGAAGCCGTGGGCGCGCCGCTCAGCTGCTCCATCGCCTCACTTTCCCAGGCTCGCGCCCGAAGCAGAGCCATGAGAACCCCAGGGTGCCTGGCGAGCCGCTAGCGCCATGGGCCCCGGCGAGGCGCTGCTGGCGGGTCTCCTGGTGATGGTACTGGCCGTGGCGCTGCTATCCAACGCACTGGTGCTGCTTTGTTGCGCCTACAGCGCTGAGCTCCGCACTCGAGCCTCAGGCGTCCTCCTGGTGAATCTGTCTCTGGGCCACCTGCTGCTGGCGGCGCTGGACATGCCCTTCACGCTGCTCGGTGTGATGCGCGGGCGGACACCGTCGGCGCCCGGCGCATGCCAAGTCATTGGCTTCCTGGACACCTTCCTGGCGTCCAACGCGGCGCTGAGCGTGGCGGCGCTGAGCGCAGACCAGTGGCTGGCAGTGGGCTTCCCACTGCGCTACGCCGGACGCCTGCGACCGCGCTATGCCGGCCTGCTGCTGGGCTGTGCCTGGGGACAGTCGCTGGCCTTCTCAGGCGCTGCACTTGGCTGCTCGTGGCTTGGCTACAGCAGCGCCTTCGCGTCCTGTTCGCTGCGCCTGCCGCCCGAGCCTGAGCGTCCGCGCTTCGCAGCCTTCACCGCCACGCTCCATGCCGTGGGCTTCGTGCTGCCGCTGGCGGTGCTCTGCCTCACCTCGCTCCAGGTGCACCGGGTGGCACGCAGACACTGCCAGCGCATGGACACCGTCACCATGAAGGCGCTCGCGCTGCTCGCCGACCTGCACCCCAGGTATTGGCCCAGTGCATGCCGACAGGCCCAGGCCAGGGACTTGGGCGCTCCCTGGGCAGTTGGCTTGAGGAGCCTGTGGGCATCACCACCGTTACTCCGCCCAGAGTTCACCAGCCACAGCACTGCCCCTGCACGCTGCTCACAGGGGTTTCCTGTTGGTTCATTGGTGCAGACACTGCGGGGGCCTCTGCCTCCTGGGATATGTGCTCAGTGCACAGGGAGCTTTGCGCAGAGCTGTGGGGTGTGCTTCTCCGGGAGGGGTTCCGCGGGCTCTGCTGTGGGCGGCCAGACACACCCCTCCTGTGCATGGCTGTGGGTCTGAGGCATCTGCTTGTTTCTGCCCACTGCTGACCCAGTGCCCTTGCATGGACTTGGGCTTCAAGTCTTGAGCAGGGTCCATCCCCCATGCTTTCTGCTCACTACTTGGCAGGATTTGTCTCCTGAATCTCTAGCTGGTGTCGCCATTGTTCCAAATTACCTCCTGTAGGTGTTCCCCTTTCCCCCTTGGCCCCCCACAGAACACCCAAGAGGCTCTCCTGCTCCTGGGGTGGGCAGGCCACGTGACTTCTCCCTCCTTGAGGGCCCCAGCCTTGCCCCTCCATCAGCAGCCTGCCTCAGTTGCCTCTGTGTGGAGAAGGATGAGCCAGAGGGAAGGGAGGAGGAGCTGGCCCTTCTTTCCAGACTTCCTTTATTTCACCTACAAAAAAGCAAGCCTACCCCTTGTTCTTTCTCTCTCCCCCATCCCTCTGTCCTCCTCAGGTTCCAGGCTAAACATCCTCCTGAAACCCTCCTGTCTGCCCTCACTTCAGCCCCTGGGCTCTGGGCCTGGGTTCTGTCCCCACCCTGCCATCATCCTGACCACTGTCCTCTGTCCCCACAGTGTGCGGCAGCGCTGCCTCATCCAGCAGAAGCGGCGCCGCCACCGCGCCACCAGGAAGATTGGCATTGCTATTGCGACCTTCCTCATCTGCTTTGCCCCGTATGTCATGACCAGGTGGGTCCTGGCAGTCCGGCTCCTGTTGTGGGAACAGCTGGGTGGGCTTGGCCTCAGTTGAGTAGGCCTCTGAGGTTTCCCAGCAAGATATCTGGAGGGCGGCCACCACCAGAGGACCCTCCTCCACACCTGACGGGCTCAGGGCTGTGCTTCAGCTCCTGGGAAAGATCCTGGGAGGGAGGTGGCACTGGCTCCCATCCTGTCCTATAAATGAGGAGACTCTCCTTGTCCAGGCACAGGCAGATATGGGGTCTGTGAATCAGCACCTGGCTCTTTAAACCTAGAAAGCTTTCAAAATCAGGCAACCTGGGACTAACTCAGGCCTCAGACTCCGCATCTCCTGGGCGTGGAGTTGGGAATCTGGGTGGAAGCTCCAGCTGGAGCCTCGGGGCAGTAACACTGCCAGGTGAGTGTTCTCTTTGCTTCTCTCTTTCCTGGAGACCTTGGCCTGAGTGCTTGTCAGGTCAGAATTACCTGGAGTCACAGGTAATTTGGGAAAGAGTGTGTGTAAAGGGCCTGCTGGTACCATCATCACAGTGCTGTGCTGAGGGGCAGGGGAGTCTGTAGTTTTTGCCTCCGGGGTTCCTGGGTCACCCACTCGGCCACTTGGTTACTACCTTAGCTCCACTCAAGGAAATGTGTGCACCCTGCCTTGCTGGAAGGCACCGTGGTTAGAGGGAGGCAGGTTGTTTATTAGAGATGGTGACTGCTTGCTATTACGTTTTGCCTTTCTTGGAATCTCCATGGAATTTCTGGCCAGGCCCCTGAAGCGCTCAGGCTGTCTGGGAGGTCTCCACCCTATGTGTTGAGCCATAGCAGGAGGATACCCTGAAGGAAGACGCTCCTGGGAGGGGTCCATGGCCCTCATCCTCAAGGGGCCCAGGTCCCCACCCCAGGGGAGGGAGCCAGCAGGGAGTATAGTACCAGGATCCTGGCTCTGTTTGTGTAGGGTCCTCCTGAGGTTGCTATCTAATGCCCTACAAGGTCTGCCAGCCTGTCCAGGATGACTGCTTGTCTTCCCAGGTTACTGGGTGGCTTAGATATGTTGTTGGGTGGGTGGGGGGGAAACAGTTGTGTCCCAGGAACCCGGGAGGCCCCAGAGTGCCCACGCTGAGTGGCACCAGCTCTCTCCTGCCTGCCAGGTTCCCTCTGAGCTCTTCAGAATCAGCACGTGGGACAGGAGCTCTTGGCACCACTGATCCCATCTGGCTTAGGGACAGGGAGCCAGGTTTCTTGTGGATCACAGGCATCCTCCTTCCTCACATAAAACCTGGCAAAGGCCTCTGGTTCTTAGGAAACTTCATGGGCACAAGTGTGGATGGGGAAACTGTAGCATCCTTCTCCCGGGAACCAGCTATTTATCTGATTATCATGTTTGTGTGTATGTGTGCCCATGTGCCTGCGCATGCATGCATGTGTATGTTGTGAGGGTTCATGTGTATACACACATGCATGTGTGTATTCATACATGCACATGCATGTACATATGTGTAGAAGGTGAGTGCTAAAATTTCAAGAGCTCCAGCATTTAGTTTTGAAATTTTAAATGAATGATGAGTGAGACTGGCTTACTCAGCCATATTATGTTGATTCATGGGTGTAACTGTTATTTTCCTGTGTGTTTACAATGCCCTGAACATGTATGTGAGCATGCATAGCTATGAGTGTGCACACGAGTGTAAGAGGAAGAATCCCAAACAAAGTCATGAAGCCTGCCTTTGCAGTGTTGTTTCCACAATGTCGTTACCAACTCTGGGATCTGGGCAGCTCAGGCTCTCTTCTCTGTGAAAAATGTGGGTACAATATAGCACTAACGAGGTTATATATTTCTTCATGCACTCACTAAGCATTTAATGAGCACCTACTCTGAGCTGGCTTTGTGCCTGGTCATGCAGTTACAAAAGCAAATGGAACACAGGCTCCTCTCGGTTCTGATGGTGGGAGATGCAGGTCAGCAAGACCAGGCAGGTGTTTCAGTGGGGGAGGGGTCTTGAGGGCTGGCGCCTGGGAGCAGCACAGCTGGACCAGTTTGGACGGACCTGCCTCACAGGCGCCTCTCACATCATAGGAGTGAACCGAATCAGAACCTCACTCCTGAGTGTGTGTGGATGAGGTTCTAATGCAGTTGGTGGCTTAACCCACAGGAAGTCAGAGATCCAGGAGTGTGTTGTCCCTGCTGCCCCTTAAAAGGTAGTGCACTCATTCCAATTGTCCTGCAATTGCTGAAAATATTTCAGAGCTCTTCTCCTGGGAATTGTTTTCAGAACTGGGCTGCATTGTTAGACTCTTCTGTGGACATCTAGAAGGTGAATTTAATCTGGTTAGAAATAACTCCAAGTCACCTTGAGCCAGTTCATGCGGATAAAGCAGGTAAAGGAGATGGGGGACATGGGATTTTTATTTTGTTTCTTGGTTGTCACTCTTGAGTTTTACTGACTCAATCAGTCGTGCAGATGAAGCCCGTGGGGTGTGCGGCAGTGAGACCAGGAGGGCAGGGATACAGAGCCCTCCCTTGTGGAGTCTGTGGTCTACTGGAGACGGGGGAGGGCAGATGGCTACGGTCACAAGGTGTTGAGCAGCAGTGGACACGTGAGCGAGCCCTCTTCTCTGCAGGGTCATGGCTGGTAGTTGATACATGAGTTCTGGTCCCATTGTGGCTCCAGACACAGCCTCAGCTGGGTGTTTCTGATGACTTCCACCTGCACCGTGGCTTAACTAGGGGATAGACACTCTGGCATGTGTGTGGCTTTCTTACTCACCTGCAGCCCAGTCCCCTAGTGGCTGAAAGAAATGCCAGCCTCCTCAGATCCTTCGATAGGACCTTCCTTCCCACTTGCCTGATGGTTGGCTGTGACCAGTCTCCAGTCTATGCCTGATATTGGGCTCCCTGTATGTGGGGGTGACAGTGTACCTGATGTGCATGTGCTGGCCGGTGGCAAAGCCCTTTCCGGACTATCACTTACTGTAACTGGATCCTCACCACAGCCTGGGGTAGGTGGTTAGAGCCATGACTGCCTTGGATCTGTGTCCCTGCCCTGATTTTTGGATTCTGGATGCCTCTGCTCTGGCTGTGCCCCTCACCTTCTCTCTGTCGTCACATTCTGGCCCTGCCCCTCAGCTTGAGGTGGTTGCCTGCCTGCCTGCCTGCCAGCCTCCTCATCCCCATCCCGCCGGACTGGGTGCCTCGGAGGGAGGGAGTCAGTCTGATCCATTGCTGCACCCCAGCAGCTGCTGTGTTTGTGGGTGGTCCAAACTAATGAGTGACCCAGCCAAACTTGTAAATCACAGGGCTGCAGTCCTTCTGAGTGGGGGTGGGACATCCTGGGACAGAAATTCACTGCCTGGGAGATCATCAGGCTGTGGGGGAAAGCCCTGGCCTTTGGGGGCCCTGGTTCAAAGCCAGGAACTGGGAGGTGGAACAGCTGCCACTGGTCAGCAAGTGTGCTTGTGACAGCTGTCAGAAGCCTCGTCCTCACTCTGTGGCCCCCACCTAAGGCTGTGCTGCCGCTGGTCAGAAGCCTTGTCCTGACTCCATGGCCCCTACCCTAGGCTGTGCTGAGAGCGGAGGGGTCCGTCAGAGTCCCCAGAGGCCCATCCCCCTGCTGCTTTCCCCCACGCAGAGCCCAGTCCCTTCTACTCTGAGTTCTAATCTGATTTCAGAAAAGCACTGGGCTCAGACACAGAGTGTGAGACTGAGCCTTTCTTATGGGAGTTGTGTGCCTGGTGGTCCTAGAGACACCCTCGAGCTTCTCTGAGTGATGCTTCGGGACAGTGGGTAGGGAAGCACCCTGCGTGGTGTGTGGTGCCCGTGGACATCCTGTGAGTGACTGCTGTTCATGTGGGTGAGGTGGTCACACTTGCTCAGGGTCTGTTCTGCAGCCCAGGTTGACACCTGTTACTCCAACCTGGTTATGAGCATTGTTCTGATCTGTTCTCAACATTGTCCAGGTTTGGGAGATAAATGCCAGAGGAGAGTCTGGTTGGGGGCTCCCAGAGCTCACATCTGGGGTGTGTTGGTCTGCAGCCTGGTAGTGGTAATGGCTCCCTCGGTAGCTGGTTGTGTGTGCAGGTGTCCGCGGCAGGTGTACGTGCAGGTGGGTGGACTGAGCTGAGTGTGAGGATGGTGGGAGAAGGCCTTGGTGACGGTGGCAGTGCTGCCACCTACTGAGCACCTGCTGTGTGGTATGCGGGCTGATGTCGGCTTGCACCGCAGTCCCAGGACTGGGCCTTGTAATCCCATTTTAGGAAGAGGAGCCCAAGGCTCAGGGTGCTGGTGCAGAGCCCCCTGGCTAGTGAGCATCAGGGCTGCGGTACGTACTTGAGTATGGTTCTAGCACCTTCCCCCGGAGCGTGAGTGCGTGGCAGGTGCTGTCACTGTGGCTGAGTTAGCTGCTCCGCTTCCCCAACAGGCTGGCGGAGCTCGTGCCCTTCGTCACCGTGAACGCCCAGTGGGGCATCCTCAGCAAGTGCCTGACCTACAGCAAGGCGGTGGCCGACCCGTTCACGTACTCTCTGCTCCGCCGGCCGTTCCGCCAAGTCCTGGCCGGCATGGTGCACCGGCTGCTGAAGAGAACCCCGCGCCCAGCATCCACCCATGACAGCTCTCTGGATGTGGCCGGCATGGTGCACCAGCTGCTGAAGAGAACCCCGCGCCCAGCGTCCACCCACAACGGCTCTGTGGACACAGAGAATGATTCCTGCCTGCAGCAGACACACTGAGGGCCTGGCAGGGCTCATCGCCCCCACCTTCTAAGAAGCCCTGTGGAAAGGGCACTGGCCCTGCCACAGAGATGCCACTGGGGACCCCCAGACACCAGTGGCTTGACTTTGAGCTAAGGCTGAAGTACAGGAGGAGGAGGAGGAGAGGGCCGGATGTGGGTGTGGACAGCAGTAGTGGCGGAGGAGAGCTCGGGGCTGGGCTGCCTGGCTGCTGGGTGGCCCCGGGACAGTGGCTTTTCCTCTCTGAACCTTAGCTTCCTCACCCTTGTTCTGGGGTCATGGCGATGCTTCGAGACAGTGGGTAGGGAAGTGCCCTGTGTGGCATATGGTACTCGTGGGCGTGCTATAAGTGACTGCTGTTCATGTGGGTGAGGTGGTCACTCTTGCTCAGGGTCTGTTGTGCAGCCCAGATGGACACCTGTTTCTCCAACCTGGTTATTAGCATTGTTCCGATTTGTTCTCGGCATTGCCCAGGTTTGGGAGATAAATGCCGGGGCGGAGTCTGGTTGGGGGCTCCCAGAGTTCACATCTGATAGTCTGTGGTCAGGACCTGGCAGGCACGGGCAGTCCCTGGGACATGCCCATCTCTGGAAGCCTAGGGGTCCCCAGCTCCAGGCCTGTCCGCTGTGACTGCCTGTGTGGGCACGCAGATGGAGCCTGTCTCCTGCCTTCCTTTCCATGGTTTGCCAGGGGTTTGGCATCTTGACTGCGGAAGCTGTGGAGTCTGTGTGCTCAGAGCCTTTTCTGGTGAAGATATCATCAGAGCATGTGACCTCTGTTTCCTCCCCCTGAAGGCCACCGCTGGGCCTCTGGATCTTAGACATGAGACGGTCAAGAGATTGAAGTAGTAGCCAGGGCCCAGGTGTCCAGAGAGGGTGGCCTGGGATGGGGAGGGCCCTTGCTCCCCAACAGCAGTGCTGGGGGAGCCAAGAGAAGGTGGAGCATCCCTGAGTAGTGGTGTGCATCACCCCCAGTTTAGTAATCACGGGGTGCCATTCCCCGGTGGGAGCACCCACCATCAATGTCATTGAATGTCCCCATGGGACAGTGTTGAGGACTTTTGTGACATCTGTCCTATTTCACAGCTCAGGGAAAGGTGCACAGTGCACACGGGCACCCGGTGGAGAGGTGTGTGTGTGAATGAGTGAGCGAGTGAATGAATGGACACGATTCTCTCTTCAGCCTCTGTCATTGCTGTTTTCTTCAAGGCCCAGGGCCATCCCCTGCAGAGGTAGGGTGGGCTGCAAGACCTCAGGCCCCTGCCTCATGGGACTCTCTGATGGGCTTCAACCGTGGGCTCTTGCAGGCATGGAGCCTGTATCATGACACCTTACACCCAAGGCCAGCAATGCAAGGAGAGTATGGACATCAAATTCTTTCCTTCCAGAGGCTGAATTCTTCAAAGACACACGCGGTCGTCACTTGCTCTTGGCATTAACGGTGGAGAACCCAGCTGAGGTGGCTTCACAGATTCTTCCCCAAAAACACAGGTGTTATTATTATACTTTTAAAAAACTTTTTGAGACAGGGTCTGACTCTGTTGCCTAGGCTAGAGTGCAGTGGTGCAATCTCAGCTCACTGCAGCCTCCACCTCCCATGCTCAAGCCATCCTCCCACCTCAGCCTCCTGAGTAGTTGAGGACACAGGCACGGGACACCATGCCTGGCTAATTTTTGTATTTTTTTTTGTAGAGATGGCGGTCTCACTTTGTTGCCCAGGCTGGTCTTGAATTCCTGAGCTTAAGTGATCCTCCCACCTCAGCCTCCCAAAGTGCTGGGATTACAGGTGTGAGCCACCACACCCAGCCAAAACCAGGTGTTATTTGCTGACTCACCAATGCCTCCCCCAAAAGGATAAATTTAAAGGTGTGTATAACCCATGAAGTGTAATTCAAATAAAACAAATTATCGTTTGGAATAATAACAACTATAGGTATGTGGTCAGGAAGCAGTTAAAAACATTAAAATACAGACCTGGCCAGTTCAATCCAACCCAGGGGTTCCAAGCAGGAGGTGGGGCAGGTGGGCGTCATGCCCTGATTCACAGAGGGCACAGGTGGGTGTCATGCCCTGGTTCACAGAGGGCACGTGAACTCGAGACCGTGCTGCACCCCGGTGCCCCTGTGCTTATAAGGGAGGGCACGTGCACAGCAGAAGCAGGTTGTTCCCCATTTAAAGTTCTGGAGCCCAGGCTGTGAGCTCCTTGGCTGAGCCCTCTCCTGTCCCTGGGAGCTCCCCAGGTGCGAGGAGCCTGCCAGCCAGTGGGGCCTACACTCTGTGTTATTGCATCTCCGCCAGGCTAAAAGCCTTGGTCACTACTTTAGAGCCACTCAAGGAAACGCGTGCACCCTGCCCTGCTGGAAGGCACCATGGTTAGAGGGAGGCACACTGTTTCTTAGAGACGGGGACTGCTTGCTGTCATGTTTCGCCTTCCTCGGCAGCTCCATGGAATGTTCTGGAGCAGGCATCTTAGGGCATTCCCTCCGCACTTCTCTGCCAGCCCATGTGGCTCCCACACTGGGCTATCCCTTGCCTTAGGCTTGTGGCCTTTTTTTTTTTTTTTTTTTTAATTTGAAAAATATTTTTCATGTGCACTTAAACGTGTTGTGGAATGATGCTGGGTCTCAAGAATGCTGTGAATCAATAAACATTTTATTCAGAGGGTGTCTCATTTCCATGGAAAGGGGGGAATTCTGCCGTGCATTAGCCACAGTCCAATTACCAGGATAGCAGAGCTTTCTAGATGCCTGGGCTTGCAGGCAATCCCCTGCTGGGCTTCCAAGACCTCCAGGCTAGGCCCTGCACTGTGTGCAGCGAGCGAGGGAGCCTTCTCCTGTTGTTTTGACGGTGGAGCTGCAAGCTTGGGAGGCTTTCCCGTGGGTGGGCGGGAAGCAGAGAGCCGTGGGGGCTGTGAGGCTGGCAGGGAGCTTGCAGGACATAACTGCTCATTTATTTTATTTGGGGGACCGGAGTTTTTTTATTGATTCCATCTGTCAGAGGGCTGCAGCATTCCATGACGGGTAAGGCAGAGGGAGGCCCTGTGGGAGCCCAGAGTGACAGTCCTCTCTCTCAGCTTGCCTTCTTGTCCTTTTGAGACCATGATCTGCTTCTCCTGAGCCTCCCTCCTGTTCACATGGGATACAAAACTCAGCCAGAAGGGGTTCTGAGCCAGGAGCCCTCTCTCCATCCCCTCTGTGCTTGCTGACCCTCGCCCTCCTGCCTCACCTGGGCACCCATCCGTAGCCAAGCCTCCAGAACCCTTCCTGGTCCCTGTCGAAGCAGTCCTTCCTCTCACCCACCCTCCACCAAGCAGAGCCAGCTCCTAGAAATGCAGCTGAGAGCAGGTTGTGTTCCTGCCAGAAGCCCTGAGAAGTCCCCAGGCTATGGTCTCTGCTCCTGAGCCTGGCATTGCTGGCCCTTTCTGTTCTCTGTCCTCACTGCTCCCCACTCCTATCTACGTGGCCTCGGGCTAAAGTACTGGGTGCCCTAGTCTACTGGCCTCTCCCCAGGGGGCCTGGATCCTTTCTGGGCCTTCTCTTGGTACTTCCTCCTCCTCTGCTTAGCCAAGTCCTTCCACCTGACTGAGGCAGACACAACCCTCCCTCCTCAGGTGCTCATAGCCCCAGCACCCTTCTCTCAAGGGTCCAGCCATAGGGTGGGTAGGAACAGGGTCAGACCCACTTTTATCCCCAGCACCCGCTCTGCAGCAAGTGCTGGGGATGCCGGCATGCACACACCATGTCCAGCTGGGGAGCAGGCTTCCAACGACTGACAGGCTCCTCCGGCTGCCATGCTGACCCTACCCCAACCTCATGAGCCCCAAGGTGGGCCGCTCTTTTGAGCGGTGAGTCTGTGCTCTTTTGATGACACAAAGTGGCTTCTCTCCTAGAAACTTGTCCTGCAGGGCACCCCCCATGGGACCACACACCCGGCCCCAGGGGCTGTGCTCTTGCAGACTTGGCTCTGGCCACACCTGCTGGTTCACTGGCCCCACCTTGACTGCACAGGTGTGGCTGGGTCCTCTCCCCGTGGCCTATTGCCCGCTGGGCTGGCTGGACAGTGTCTGGGGATTTGGTGTGATGGGGACGACTTGGATGCCTCTTTTACCCCTGGGAACGATTAACCCTGTCTTGTGATTTGCCCCTGATGAACCATTTGGTGGGTTGGGCCCTCGTGGGTGAGACGCTGTGGATTAGAGGCTGTCCCTTCCAACTTAACTGTGGAAGAGAGAAGCTGGTTCCAGGAAAGATGACCAAATTCTTCTCCCCGAGTCTTAAAAAGTGACACAAGCTAGCACTCAATTTCCTCAAATCTAAAATGCCGTTGATTTTAAACTGTCTGTTTTAGGTACCACTGGGAAGGAAAAGCCCAGAATGAGGGCTGTGCTAGGAGACACCCTCAACAGGTGGGCCACTCACGGCTGAACGCTCAGCGTCCACGAGAACTAAGCCTGCCACAGCAGGGGACAACAAGGAGGCACGGTGTCCCCACCCCAGCTCTCAGGGAGGAGGAGGAAAACCCTCCCTGGGACTGTGCACTGCCAGCTGGGGCTCGGGAAAGCATGGAGTCTGAATTCGCCCTCAGACCTGGGCTGGAAAGCTCAGACAGGGAAGTCAAAGACTGTGGCCCCGGAGGCTGGCCGGGGCAGTCAGAGTTGCTTCTGGAAGGACCCAGCTGAGTCCAGGCAGAGAGAGGGCAAGGTTGAGCACCAGGCGCCCCAGATCCCGGGGGGTATTGAAATGGGCATCTTTGAGCAGATGACCTGCAGGAAGCAGCACCTGCTGGGTGCCAGCAATGAGTTGGGGCCACAGTGAGTACTGTCTCCATTACCCCAGCCTCTGGGCGAAGGGGCTTGTCCTAAGTCTCAGGGCTGGCTGAGTGGCAGCTGGCTCTGGGGACTGCTACTGGTGCACTGGTATAGCTGGCAAAGGAACCCATGAGGCACATGGCTCCTAAAGGTCCAGCCACCCAGCAAAGCCCCCTCCCCGCATCCACACAGGGGACAAGGGTCAAAAGGTGGGGACATGCCTTCACTTTCCTCACCTGACAGGCCCTGGTCTGCTGGGATCAGCGCTGCAGCCAGAACCCGCATTCACCCGCGACGCAGCCTGTGCAGGGGACCAGGGGTTTTAGGCAGGATCAGCAGGGAATCTGCATACCAGCTCCACAGTGCACTCAGGTGGCAGATGGGGAAACTGAGGCCCAAGGAGGGGCGGGGAGCCCCTTGGACGGGGCGGGGCACTCCGCCCGGGGCAGGCAGGGGCCTTTATCTGCTGTCCTGCCCCTCCTCCTCCCCCAGCGGCATCCTCTCTCTAGCTTCTGGCGCTGCCCACTGTAACCCGACTCCGGCATTTGCGTTTGGGGCGCCCTCCCTGCGCCGGGGGCGGGAGCCCAGCGAGCGCAGAGCCCCGGCCCCGCGCGGCCCGAGTGCCACATCACTGCGCTGGCCGTCCAAGGTCCGCCGCCCCACCATGCCGCCCCCGCTGCCGCTGCTGCTCCTTACAGTCCTGGTCGTCGCCGCTGCCCGGCCGGGGTGCGAGTTTGAGCGGAACCCCGCCGGTAAGGCCGTCCCCTGCCCCCACCCTCCACCCTCCACCCTGCAACCTCTGGGGAGTGTGATCCGTCGCTTCCCAGGGGCCCGGGAGCTTTCTTCCAGTAGGTCACGCGCCTATGGTCCTGGCGAGAACGTCTCCAAAGTGGGCAGCATGTGGCCTGGGACTGGTAGTGTGACCTCTCCCCTGGACGGGGACACCAGGGAGGCTCTCTACGGCATCCAGGCCGGGACCCCAGGCAGCAGAGGGTCACCACGCCTGGGCCGGGGGGTGAGATCTTTTTCCTGTCGGACACAGCAGCAGGGGCGCCCTGCAGGTGGGTTCGAGGGAGCAGGTGCCAGGACTTTGCAGGGTGAGAGGCCATCTAAGGTCCCCGGGTCTTTCCAGGAACGGGACAGTCTCTCTGGGCTGTGGCAAACTCTTGACCCCTCCCTCCCAGCTGGGGCTGTGATGTGGACAGCAAGTCTCCGGAAGTGGCCCTAAGGGCTGGGAGGGGGCGTGGGCCCCCTGGAGGGATCTGGGGCCCGGAGAGGGAATGGACGCAGGGATCCTCTGGGAGGTCTGCCCGCACGACCTCACCCAAGGGGTGTGCAGCGGGGGTGGGGAGCAGGAAGGTAGAGGCTGGGGGCTGGATCCTGGGCTCCCGTCTGGCCTCACGGCCTCTCCAGGTGTGGGGGTGCATCTAGCCAACCGTGCTCAGGACTCTCATCAGAAGCAGACATCTGGGCTCCTGCGGGAGTGGGGCCGTGTGTGGGTTCAAGGGTGCAGGGTGTCAGGTTCTGAATCGCTTGTTCTCTGGGGTTTGTGGATACCTGAGAACTGCCTGAGCCCTGCGAGTGGATGTGCCAGGACCACAATACCCCACCCCAGTGCGCTGTGTCGACACTTTTCCTTTCCGTCCTGTTGATGCCTGGATTTTCCTCCCACCTCTGCTCCTCGCCTTACCTCTGGGCTCTTTTCTACCCGCTGCGTGTGTGCTCATGCAGGTGTGCAGGTGGGGTGCTGCTGGAGCTTGTGCCGTGTTGTGGGTGGGCCTCCCCTTGGCCCCTGAGAGCCCAGACAGTATCTAGAATCATAGGCTTGTTGGAGACCACAGCCCCCTCCTCCAGGAAGCTCTCCTGACCTGCCCTTTCCCAGGAAGAAATGCAGCCTCCTCCTCTGCACGCAGGCAGCACAGACCACCCTGTCCTCACCCAGCAGGATGCATGGGCTGGTCTCTGTCCCTGGCAGGTGCTGAGCACAGCCGTGGCATCGGCAAGTGTTTCTGGGAGAAATCACTCATCCCCCAGTCCAGTCTCCCCTCTTATGGACGAGTGTGGAAGTCAAGGACGTTTCCAGCCCACAGGCAGAAGTGGGCAGAGCCGGTCACCTGCAGTGCAGGTCCCCCACCCCGGGCTGCCATGTCCCTGTCTCGCCATCTGGGTCTTGCTGAGAGCAAGCCTGGTGCTCTCTCCTCTCTGCCTCACCCTTCCCTGGTGGAAGATTCCCTGTCCTCACTGGAGCCTGGGGACGGAGGTAATTTTCATGTCCTAGGGTCTGGGATTCAGATTCTGACTCCTCAACTCTGCTGTGTGACCTGGGCAGATGGCCTGACCTCTCTGACCTCATTCAGGTCTCATCCCTGACCCAGGCACAGCCACTGGTCAGTTGAGGAGGGGGAGGACTGACGGGCTGTCACTCCCCTGTTGAAGAAATGCTGCCACCTCGTGGTTAAGAGGCTTAGAACTATTTCAAAAGCCGCTTTCAGACCAGTGCTGTCCAACAGAAACACAAAGCCATCCACGCACAGAATTTTATATTTTCTAGTAGCCACACTAATGAGGTAACAGAAACAGGCGAAACTGATTTTAATAACAAATTCTTTTTTTTTTTTTTTGAGATGGAGTCTCACTCTGTCGCCCAGGCTGGAGTGCAGTTGCGCAATCTCAGCTCACTGCGAGCTCCACCTCCCGGGTTCACGCCATTCTCCTGGCTCAGCCTCCCGAGTAGCTGGGACTACAGGCATCTGCCACCGCGCCCAACTAATTTTTTGTAGTTTTAGTAGAGACAGGGTTTCACCGTGTTGGCCAGGATGGTCTTGATCTCCTGACCCCGTGATCCACCCGCCTTGGCCTCCCAAAGTGCTGGGATTACAGGCGTGAGCCACCACGCCTGGCCTGTAACAGATTCTATTTAACCCAATATGTCCAAAATATTCCAGCATTTTGGCATTCATATAAAAATTATTAATGAAACACACTGTTTTTAGTACTAAGTCTGAAATTTGGTATGCATTTCACACATCGCACACATTGGTTTGATCTTGCCACATGTGAAGGGCTCAGTGGCCACGTGTGGCTCGTGGCTGCTGTACTGGAGACCATGGCTTGAGAGCCTTCTAGGGGCATAGGCTTTCACCCCACTGTGCGTTTGCAAGTCTGCAGGGGGATCCGGGGATGTCTGTGTCCCACGGTGGTTGGGGTGGGGAAGCAATGGTGAATAGCCTAACCAGCCACAGTCGTCCTGGCTTTGCTCTGTGGCTGCCAGGGCAGGTGCGGCCTGGGAGAGGCAGAGGGTGGGCTTTGGGTCAGCAGGCCCACCCCCGTGTGGTAAGGGGCAAAACCAGAGGCCTACGGAGGCCAAGGCAGCTGGCAAAGGCCCAGCCACATCATGGGACTAGCTGTGTGGTCTTGGGGCAGTTGCAGCCCCCGAGGGCTCCTCCCAGACCATCCTGACTCTCTTGTGGCCACAGCAGCACCCACTGGGGCTTGCTGATTGTTGGGGGAAGAATTGTGTTTTCCAGAAAAGACATACTGATGATGTAATCCCTGGCACCTGTGAATGGGAGCGTACTTGGAAACAAGGTCTTTGTGGATGAAATCTGATTCAGATGAGGCCTCACGGGATTAGGGCAGGCCCTAAGCCAATAACTGGTATCCCTAGAAGAAGAGGGAGATTTGGGCAGAGACAGACACAGGGACAAAGTTCACACATGACAACAGAGGCAGGGACTGGAGTGCTCTGGCCACGAGCCAAGGAGCACCTGGGGCCACCAGGAGCCGGGAGGGGCGGGAGAGTTCTTCCCTTAGAGCCTTGACAGGGAGTGCGGCCCTGCAGACCTGCAGACTTCCAGCCTTCCAGCCTCCAGGGCTCTGAACTGTTGTTGCTTTTTTTTTTCAAGATAGAGTCTCTCTGTCACCCAGGCTGGAGTGCAGTGGTGTGATCTTGGCTCACTGCAACCTCCACCTCCCAGGTTCAAGTGATTCTCCCACCTCAGCCTCCCGAGTAGCTGGGACTACAGGTGTGTGCCACCATGCCCGGCTAATTTTTGTATTTTTAGTAGAGACGGGGTTTCACCATGTTGGCCAGGCTGGTCTTGAACTCCTGACCTCGTGATTCACCCGCCTAGGCCTCCCAAAGTGCTGGGATTACAGGTGTGGGCCACTGCACCCGGCTGTTGTTGATTTAACCTAAGCATGGTGGGCGCTTTGCTAGGGCAGCCCTGGCAAACAAACCCACCCCTCTCTGTGCCTTGCACATGGCGGCCAGTGGAAGTGGGGGTGACCCAGCCAGCAGACACTCTTCCTGCCCCTTGGGAAACCCCGATGGGGCTGCATGGCTTATTGTGGGGTCACAGGGGATAGTCCTGCTCCTGCCCACGATATGCCCCAAGACTCTGTGTGTTGAGCATTCACTGGGCACCTCACCCTCCTGTTGTATTAATCTTGATGGATCCTCCAACAGCCCTATGAGGTAGACGTGATCCTTATCCCAATCTACACATGAGGAAACTGAGGCACGGGCAGTGGTTCATCCTGGAGTCTTAGTGCCCTCATCTGTGAACAAGGGAGACTGGAAGCCACAGGAAGCCAGGAAGGATCGCCTGTCCAGTCCCTGTGTGATGGTCCAGTCACTTGTGTGGGCGCTTGGTGGCTTTGGAGGAGCAGGTGCAGGGATGGACACCTCACCTTGTAGCTCCCTGAGGCCAGCAGAGTTCCCAGGGTCAAGTCAAAGTTAGTTCTTCCAGTCGCTCATGTCTGCTGAGTGAATAAACAAAGTTCCAGGTTCACCCAAGCTCGCCAGCTCAGGGCCAGGCCACGCTCAGTGCCAGCCGGGCACCGTCAGAGCCTTGTGATGGGTACCCAGGGAGTGGAGCAGGGGTGCTGGGCTGAGATCACCTTGACCCTTGAGCTGACTGTGCTGTAGCATCTGCCTCGGTCCAAGCTCAGTGCAGGATGAGACCACGGGTCAGCTGAGTGCAAACCCTGCTGCCAGAGTGGCCCCACTGGTGGCCAGCTTTGCACACCGGTGCTCGCTCAGGGCCCTGCACAGGATGGGTGCTCACACAGGGCCCTGTGTGGATGCCAGCCTTTTATCTGCTCTTCCCAACATCACCCAGTTGTCTTTAGCCACACTGACAGGGGGGTGAGGGCACAGTATTTCAAGCAGAATCCCGGACCAGCTTTTTTTTCATTCCTTTTTTCCTAAAGTTCAAGCTGTCATGCCTCCTTTATGCTGCAGATTGGTGGAGTCTGGGGACGCTCTGTCTGGACCATGAAGGCCTGGGAGTCACGTGAGGGTGCCAGGGAGGGTGTCTGGACAGTCTCACGCCCACAGGCCCGTGACAGTCATCCAGGGGGACTCAAGCTCCTCTGTGCTCATCCCAGCGCGCGTTGTGGGCGTCCGCGGGCATGGACGGGCAGGTGGGCACACTGCAGCACCCCTCTTGGGTTAGGGCCGCCCCACTCCCAGGTGCTTTAGGAAAACAGTGCCCTTGCCTGCTGCTCTCCCACACTCAGCACAGCAGGGCTCCTGCAGCTTGTCTCCGGGTTGTTCTGAAACCATCGCAGGAATGATGCACACTGTGGCTGATGGAGCCTCTTCCCCCCGGAAGATCGTGTGCTGGGCTCGGACCATAGGTCGTCTCATCTCACAGTATTCCTACAAAATGATTATAATGAACCCATGTGAAATGGGGGAAATGGAGACACAAAAGAGCCACTTGCCCGGGGCCCCCGGCTGTGATGTGGCGGTTGGCACCTGGGCCCGGTGGTCTGGGGCTGGGCATCTTCCCTGCCTTCCACAGCCCTTGTGGTTCATAGTCCATGTTCCCTGCCAGCTTGGACAGGGAGGGAGAGTGAGCCCAAGGGCAGCCGTGTCTTCCCCAGGGCCGCCCGCACACGCCTGTTCCACGCCCGGAGAGCGCTGTGTGGACCTCTTTTGTCATCTGTGATGAGGATGGAAACGGGAGCTCTCCTAGGAGTGCCTGGTGGAGGACTAGTGCCCTAAACGTCCCCATCCCACAAGAGCTCTGTGAGCTGAATGGTGTAGGGATCCAGGACTGTGGTTGCCCAGTCCCCAGTGGGGAAACCCAGTCCCAGGAAGTTCCCGAGGGTGGGAGCTGCCTGGCCACAGAGCAGCCCAGGTCTCTCTGACCTTTGGAGAGTTGCCATATGCTCAGCCAAGTTTTCACAGCCCCCAGATCCTAGGGTGAGCTCCGAAAAGCGGCCTGCACTCTCCTGGCCTCAAGGTTCTGTCCCAGGTTTTGGCTGGAGGTGAAGTCACAGCCAGGCAGGCAGGCCTTTTCCTCTGCTCCAGCCTGCTTGCCCCCTTCTCCCTGGCCCCCTGCACCCACTCCACACGTCCTGCCTGTGGGTCACGTCCCCTTCTCCGGGTTCCTGCTGCTCCCACTGCCCAGCCTGCCCCCTCTCTGGCCAGGTGGGCTCCGGCATGGGCCCGTCCCAGCACTAGCCGGGTTTTAAATCTGATGCCGGGTTCCCCGCCTTGGATGCGTTCTCGCTGCCTGATGCACACAGAGCCTTGGGTCCCACTTCATACAGGGCCCTTAGCAGCCAGCATTGCTTAGGGTTGGCTGTGTTTGGCCTTCTCAGAGGCCTTACTGTTGGGTTCACATGTCTGGGTTCAGAAAGGGCCCTCGAAACCCCACGATTGTGAGGATGGTTTTGTGTGTTGATCCTTTGTTCTTGGAAGAGGGCCCCTGATTCAGGAAATGGGGAGAGGCCACACCCTGGTGGTGTCCTTGGGGGCACGGAGCCTGCGTGGCTGACTCTGGGAGGGGCCTGGGTCTGGGTGCAGCAGTGCCTGCTGGTGAGGGCTCCGGGGGCTGACAGTTAAAACTTTTGGAATCTTCTGAGGACTCAGCGGCTTACGGTGGGAAGCTTGAGATTGGCCACAGTAGAGGTACTTGTGCCCCAGCACTCACAGATGCCACCTCAGGGCTCTTCTGTCCTGGACATCAGGCTTGTGGGCACCATGGCCCAGCCCCGGGCTTCGAGCCAGATGGATGCCACTGACGCCTGCTGCTGCCTGTCTGTCCTTAGGCAGGTCATGTGACCTCTCAGACGCAGCTTTCATGCCTGGGAAATGGGGGTGACTGTGGTGTCTGCCTCAGGGGCTGCTGTGAAGACTCCATGAGATGGAGCTGGCGGAGGGTGGCCTGGGCTGGTCCCTACCTGCACTCAGGGCCCTGGCCGTGTGTTGCCCGGTGAGTGAAGGATGGCGAGGCAGGTCCCTAACAGTGCCATGTCTCTCTTTCCAGGTGAATGCCACAGGCCACCAGCTGCAGACAGCGGTACAGTACCGGGACCTCCCTGGCTTCTGTTCTGTAGGAGGGCTGCAGCCCCCACACTGTCAGAGCACTTTAGGCAGCTGAATCCGTGATTTCAGAAGTGGGTAATGGATAACACAGCCCATTAATCAAACTAGAACCCCCTCGTAAACAGCCAGAGAAAAATTAGACATAACAAAAAAAGACCAGCTAGGAAAAGGTGCACCAGCTTCCCACCGGGCTATGCCCACCCCAGCCCCTGCAGAGATGTCCTCTCCATCCCTCTCCAGTCCCCACTGCAGTCACACGTCCTGCATTTGGGCCTTGTCCACATGCATTTCATGGTCACTGGCTCTGTGCCGGGCCCCTGCTGAGTCTGGGGTTTGGGTGAGTCACCTCCCCCGCCAGGCCCCGATTTCCTCCTTGTGACAGGAGGAGTGCTGAACGAATCTTGTGAGATGGTTTCAAAAGTGACGTGGGAGCCAACCAATGTGAAGTGCTCAGGTCAGGGCTGAGGACAGGGCTTTTTCCCTGAAAGGGGCAAACATTTCATTGTCGCCTCCTGACGGATTTGGGCATCTGGTGTATTCTAAGTGGAGGCTTTCAAAATATCAGAAAAAAAATTCTGGGTACCAAGTCAATGACATATGTAAAATGTCTATTTTATTTTATTTTTTATTTATTTATTTTTATTTTTAGAGATGGAGGTCTTGCTGTGTTACCCAGGCTGGTCTCAAACTCCTGGCCTCAAGTGATCCTCGCATCTCAGCCTCCCAAAATGCTGGAATTACAGGCGTTAGCCACCTTGCCTGGCTGTAAAATGTGGTGAGCAGGGCAATGTGAGGCAGAAAGAATCCTGTCCTTTCTAGACTTTGACATGAGACGTGGCAAAATGTCATGACTTGTCCTATGCGATGCCACATCGGGAAAGTCCAGCTGAGGAAAAGAGGAGAAGGCCATCTGGGGGTGCGAGTGTGGAGCCAGCGGCTGCGGGGACACAGTCAGCTCCCGACGGGGCTGGAGGGCCCTGCTAGGCCGATGAGGGCCTTAAAGATGGGGCTTTTGGAGCTAAACAAACAGCTGTGATGAGGAAGCAGGAAGGTGCCCAGCAACAATGAGGACCCTACCCTCTGCCTGGGCTTACGGCATCCCTGCGAGCTGCAGAGCAGAGATGAGCCGGCTGAGCCGCATCTGTCATTATCCACTTCTCATCCAAGTCCTGAGCCCCAACTGACCCATTAGGGTCCCCAAAGACACTAGACGCCCAAAGCAGGATGTGTCTTTTGGGACGTCTTTGTGCTGCGGCTGTGGCTCCTGGGTGGTCTGTGCCTGTCCCTGCCTAATGCAGCATCAGCTGGCTGCCTTCACGGGCCCTTGTGTGGCACAGCTGCTTTGCAGATGGAGACGCCGAGGCTCAGGGCAGCCTGCTGCGGCTGGCTTGCTGGTGGGTAGTTGAATCTGGTTGGTCTTAGGCTCCTCCTCTGGTCTCTCACAGGCTCTGATTCCTGCACAGTAGCTGTTGTCCTGGTCCTCCCCTGCCAGACCGTGGGTGCCCCTCCCTGCAGGCCCTGGCCCTGCGTGGGGTCCCCTACGTAAATGTCTGATGCGTGACGGTCAGGGCCACTGCAGGAGGGACTGACCTGCCGACCCTGCCTCCCCAGCCACCTGCGTGGACCTGCAGCTCAGGACCTGCAGCGATGCCGCCTACAACCACACCACCTTCCCCAACCTGCTTCAGCACCGGTCGTGGGAGGTGGTGGAGGCCAGCTCCGAGTACATCCTGCTGAGCGTTCTACACCAGCTCCTGGAAGGCCAGTGCAACCCGGACCTGCGGCTGCTGGGCTGTGCTGTGCTGGCCCCCCGGTGTGAGGGCGGCTGGGTGCGCAGACCCTGCCGGCACATCTGCGAGGGCCTGCGGGAGGTCTGCCAGCCCGCCTTCGACGCCATTGACATGGCCTGGCCCTACTTCCTTGACTGCCACCGCTACTTCACGAGAGAGGACGAGGGCTGCTATGACCCGCTGGAGAAGCTTCGGGGTAAGGGAAAGTGGCGGGGGCCTGTGTGGTCATGGGGTCCAGGTGGTCAAGGAGGACCAAGAGCCACACTGGAAGGAACTTGAGGGCTTTTCCATCGACAGTGACGGTGCAGGCATTGGTAGAGGGCGGGGCTGCTCCCCGAGGCAGCATGTTCCCCACAAAAGGGTGCCAGGCAGGGTCGGGGGCTCAGTGCAGATGGAGGATCCTCTCGCTGCCCAGGGCCCCCTAGCAGAAGTCTCCAGCCCCTTAGAGGCAGGCTGGGGTGGAAGGGTGCTGAGTCCAAGTGGGGGCAGTGCCCCCGCCCAGGGTGCAGTGAGCAGGCCTCGTGTGGGGGAGCCTGGGCTCAGAGTGCAGGGCTGGCCCTGGGGGTCCAGTCCTCAGCCACAGACCCTCCAGAACCATAGTGCTTACCCCTGGTCAAGGGGGGGCGGGGCATTTACATCCCCCGGGAGGTCTGGCGGGCAAAGCTTCACGATTGCTCATCGCTGGGCCTGGAAGATCACACAGAGGGTTTGGCTTGGAGTGACTCCTCCAAGCAGGGTCTGCACCGCCCTGTGGGCTCAAGGAGGGAGAGGAGCTGTGGAGAAATGCTTTGATGTCTCTTGCAGATGAAACAGTGGAGGGGGAGTGGGCAAGACTGGGCCACCATGGGCCACTTGTCTCTGAGGTGTGCAAAGAGGTGCCAGAGGGCCACTTGGCAGCGGGGCTGGTTGGGGGCCCTGCATGGAGTCCCCTGTGTCTGTTGTCTCACGAGTCGGTGTCCACCAGAGACCCTGCATGATCCGCAGCAGTCCTGGCCCGTTAGACCTTTCTGTGTAAAAGAAATGTTCTATTGTGTTCTGTCCAAGACAGTTACCACTGGCCGCATGTGGCCCCCAAGGCTTGGGATGTGGCTCTTGCCACTGAGGCCTGGATGTGGGCGTTTCATCGCATTTGAATGAGTCTGAACCTGTCTTTGAAGAGCCTAGGGCCAGTGTGTGCCACATTCAACTGTGCAGGGCAGTGTCCGCTCATGGTTGGGTTCAGAGGATCTGACTGCGGGTGCCACACATGTGCTAGCTCACGCGAGTCTCACGACAGCCTTGCTCCATGGAAGAGGAAGTGGAGCCTCGGGAAGGGTGACAGCAGTGGGGTCTTTAGCTGGAGTGGCCCAAGCCCATTGCGGATGGAGGGATGGATTTGGCCATTTGTCAAACAGCTACCGAGCACCCACTGTACATGTGGCTTTGTGCTGGGACATTGAGGAGGGCAGGAGAAGGAAGGCAGACAAACACCCGGGCCGGGCTCCAGCAAGCCCTGGGTTCCGGGCTATGTCAGGTGCTCAGGGCTGAACCTGGCATGTCTTGCAGCCTCTGGCTCCCAATCTGAGAAGGGTGGACCCTGGGCTCCCATGCGATGCAGCGGTAGGGGGGGTGCCCTTTGCCAGCAGGTGGGAGCCGTCTGTCTGCAGAGCTCAGTCCCTGTAGAGGTGGTGGAGCTGCCTGTGGGAGGCCAGGGAGGCGAGGAAGGAAGCCAAGCCCACAGCCCTGGGAAAGCCCAAGGAGTCGGTTGGAGATTATTTTGGGCATCTCTACCACCAAATTGCCGGCTTCCTCTGCTAGTCTTTCCCCTGGAGAACCGTTTTGAGCAGAAGCAAAACCACAGGGCAAGGAGAAGCTTAGAGGAGCACATTAACTCTCTGTGGACCCAGGAACAGCCTGCGGGCACCTGCGTCCTGCTCCTGTGGGCCTGACTGCTGCAAAGCCCCTGGCGGGGTGGAGGGAGCTAAGCGTCATCGGGGTGGCCCTCAGGGCACCTCTGTTCTAGTGGATGACAGGATGGTGGGGAAGCTGGTGCGTATGTGGTGTAGAGACGTTCGTATTCTAGTTCCAGAACCCCTCCCTCTTCCCCAGCCCCCTTTTTTCTTCCTCCCCCAAGTACTTCCCAGAGCCCCCCTTTCTGTTTCCTTCCTGGACAGGCACTCACTGTTGTACCGATGAGGTTGTAACAGAAACACTGGGAAGCCTCACAGCAGCCGGAGGGGGCACCACAAGGAGCCTTCCTGTTTCCACCATTAGCCAAGCAAATGAAGCAGAATACTGAACTGCCTGAGTGCCACTGTCATGGAAAACACGCCCAGGAAAATCCCCTCTGCACACCCAGCAGGGGTTTGCCTTGGGGGGTCCAGGACCCCATATATCTGTCTTCCTTTCTGTTGTCCTGCTCCGTATTTTAGGAGCTTCCCACAGTGGCCCCATAGTATGTTTACTCACAGTCACGTTAGGAACCATGGCGCTGTGCTGTGTACATACCTCAGGTGCCGTTTGGCTTAGATATCGTTGTAGGCACTGCAGAGGGAACTCTAATTAAAGATAGAGATGTCCAAGCATGGCTGTCGTGCAGAGGGGACTAAGGGTGCTGTGTGTGGTCAGCGTTCCCAGGCAGTGGTAGGAAGCCTGGGGGCCTGACACTGACTGAGCCCCCCCACTGCTCCCCCAGGAGGCCTGGAGGCTGACGAGGCACTGCCCTCAGGGCTGCCGCCCACCTTCATCCGCTTCAGCCACCACTCCTACGCCCAGATGGTGCGTGTGCTGAGGCGGACGGCCTCCCGCTGCGCCCACGTGGCCAGGACCTACAGCATCGGGCGCAGCTTCGACGGCAGGGAGCTGCTGGTCATCGAGTTCTCCAGCCGCCCCGGCCAGCACGAGCTGAGTGAGTGCCCTTGGGAGAGCCTGGCCTGGCCCCGTTTCGGGAAAGGGCTTGGGCCGCTCCACCTTCGGGTGCACAAGTTGGTGGGGTGTTTGGGGTCCTGGGCAGAGCTGGGGGCCTCAGGGAGCTGCTTGGTGCAGGCCACGTCCCGCTGGGCATGTGCAACCACTATATGTATAAAGAAGAATTTCTCCAGATATCCATCTTACTTCAAAATGTAGGGTGGCAGACTAGGTTATTTCATAATAATGGAGACATTGATCTAGTGGCTGAAAAGATATAAAACAAACAAGAAATTTTATTTTATTTTTTTGAGACAGAGTTTTGCTCTTGTTGCCCAGGCTGGAGTGCAGTGGCACGATCTCGGCTCACTGCAACCTCTGCCTCCTGGGTTCAAGCAATTCTCCTGCCTCAGCCTCCCGAGTAGCCGGGACTCCAGGCATGGGCCACCACACCAGGCCAATTTTTGTATTTTTAGTAGAGACAGGGGTTTCACCATGTTGGCCAGGCTAGTCTCGAACTCCTGACCTCAAGTGATCCGCCCAGCTCGGCCTCCCCACTCAAACAGAATCGGTTATTTTAGAAGCAGCCTCCATTTGACCCTTGGTCATCACCAGTTACTGAAAAATGCACCTGCTCTTTGTTTATGGACTCAGGGCCTTTTCAGTGCTGGCAGCCTCAGCCAGTCTTCATCCTACTGGTCTGGGCAGCATGAACACCATGAGCCCAAAGGCTCTATCTCTTACCAGGGGCCAGAGGCCACCTGGCCACACCCTGGCCCCCAAGGCTCACTATGTTCCCTCTCCAACTGTAACATGCTCTGGGCAGGAGGCAGAGGCTCTCCCTACAGCACTGGAATTTGAGGGCAAGAGGTGCCCCTGTGCAGAAGGCCAAGGGAGGTAACCAGCGCAGAAAGCTCCCAGGTCATTTATACCCCGGGATGTGGCATCTGAGGAACACGGGTGTTTCCTCTCATCCCTGGCTGTCCCTGGGCCACACACAGCTGGGGAGGGAGACATCATTTTCCAGGGGAGCAAGTGCGAGGCTTAGAGAGGAGGAGTGACTTGCCTGCAGTCACACAGCCAGTAAGGCCATGGGGCCTGGTCCACTCTTCTTCCTATAGTCCATTCATTTATTCATCCATCCATCCATCCATCCATCCATTTATTCATTCAGCCATTACACATCCATCCATCATCCACCCATTCATTCATACATCCATGCATCCATCCACTCATCATCCATCCATTTATTTACACACCCATCCATCATCCGTCCATCCATTCATGCATCAATTTATCCATTATTTCATCCAGCCATTATTCACTCATCCATCCATCATTGATTTATCCATCTATCCATTCATCCATCATTGATATATCTATCCATCCAGCCATCCAGCCAGCCATTATTCATCCATCCATCCATCCATCCATCCATCATTGATATATCCATTCATCCACTCAAGGGCCAACCACCTTCCCAGCTAAGTACCAATGTGCACTTTGACTTATTACACAAACATGAAGAGAGACCATCAGTTAAATTTGCATGAATCAATGATAACATATATTATTCATATTCTTGAGTTATGCTAACTAAGAATTCTGGCTAGGCATAAAAAACGAGCTTAACAAAAGTGATGACCTTGATGAGACCTCATTATATACAGAGGTTCTTGAGTCAAAACAAGTATGAATTGGTCCCAGCCCATCTGGTCATTCTTGCTGAGTGGGGGGGCCTCATGCCTTTGGGGACCCCCGGCTTTGAGATGATGCCCCAAGTCTCTGTATTTGCCCCCAGTGGAGCCCGAGGTGAAGCTCATCGGCAACATTCATGGCAACGAGGTGGCGGGCCGGGAGATGCTCATCTACCTAGCCCAGTACCTGTGCTCTGAGTACCTGCTTGGTAACCCCCGCATCCAGCGCCTGCTCAACACCACCCGCATCCACCTGCTGCCCTCCATGAACCCTGACGGCTATGAGGTGGCAGCTGCCGAGGTGAGCGCCCAGATGCCTGGATCCTGTGGGCCACCGCCCGAACCACCCCCTCATTCATCCATTTATGAGTAGTTTATCCCAGCAGTGCTTCGTTCCTGCCTCTCTAGGAGAGGAGCATTCAGCAGGTGTCGATACTGGCAAACCCCTGCTTCAGGGGCTGGGGAGAAGGAAGGCACTGAGAATTCTAGGTGAATTAAAAAGGTGATGCGTGTGATAGAGGAAAATGATGGAAAGGGAGTCGATGGTGCCCGTGTGTGTCAGCGGGGGGTCAGGGTAGCTCTCGGGGAGGTGGGCAACGAGCAGAGCAGGTGACTGTCGAGGGCGCCCCACTCAGGGGGAGCAGCCAGGGAAGGCCCCAAGGCTGTGACATCAGCAAGGAGCCCCGGGGTGGAGAGGAGGCCAAGGGTCAGGCATGCCCCCGAGCTCATCACATAAAGCCGGGGGAAACCGCAGCCCCTGGCCTTGACCCTCAGCCCAGCGTGAGACCCATCTGGAAGGAGGAGGGTGGGGTGTGCTGACCCCACCCAGTCGGGGGTTGGCCATGTTTTCAGGGTGCCGGCTACAACGGGTGGACGAGCGGGAGGCAGAACGCGCAGAACCTGGATCTGAACCGAAATTTCCCGGACCTGACGTCCGAGTACTACCGGCTGGCGGAGACCCGCGGCGCACGCAGCGACCACATCCCCATCCCCCAGCACTACTGGTGGGGTAAGGTAGGAGCCGCCGCTGCCCATGCTGGTCTCCACCAAGGCATCCAGGGGTCCCTAGTTATTCCAGGCTCTCTGGAGTTGTCCTTCCCTGGGGACAGGAGAGCCTGGTGCTCCCTCCCTGCCTCAGTTACCTGTCTGTGAAATGGGAACACCTCCTTGCTGGGGTGTTGGTGAGATTCAGAGATTCATGTTGGAAACGCCTAGATCCCCGCAGGGGCCCAGTGATGGGGGCCGAGTCCAGCTGGTGCGTTGATGTAGAGACCGTTAATAGTCTGCACCATTGGAGCCCAGAGGGCTGCTGAAGCCCAGGGCATGGCTGCGGGCCAGTGGGAAAGCCCAGCCCTGAGGGCGGCCTCGTCTGTCCTGGGCAGGTGGCCCCGGAGACAAAGGCAATCATGAAGTGGATGCAGACCATACCCTTTGTGCTCTCAGCCAGCCTTCATGGGGGCGACCTGGTGGTGTCCTACCCCTTCGACTTCTCCAAGCACCCCCAGGAGGAGAAGATGTTTTCTCCCACGCCCGACGAGAAGGTGAGAGGGCTGTCGGGTGTGTGCAGGGGAGGGAGACAGTGTGCGCGGTCCCCTTGGAGCTGGTGCCCCTCCAGTCCTGAGCTCAGTGAAGGCAAAGCTCCTAGGAACCTCTACTCAGAGCGGGTCAGCACCACCTGCTCCAGGCCCAGCTCTGCAGGGAAGCCCCTTCCTCCTGGAAGTCTGTGGCCTCAGGGGCCGTCGCTCCCCTGATCTCCCCGAGGCTGGCTGCACTGTCTTTCACATGTCCCCGTCTGGGAGCTCCTGGGGTGGGGACCCTGCCTCAGCGCTGCTGTTCCTTTGAGCTCCGCCCCGCGCCTGGCGGGGTCCCCAGTGCTTCCCACCGCAGAGGGGTGCGTTTCCGGGAGGCGCCGGCAGAGGGCAGTGCTGCAGCGCGCATGCTGCCCGCCCGTCCTGCTTCCCGGGGGTCGTGCTTGCTTCTCACGTGCTGGGCTCCTCCGGATGGGGAAGGAGTTCTGGTCCCACCGTCCACTGGGCCATTAGGTGAGGCCCTCCCTTTTCCGGGCCTCAGTTTCTCCTACTGTTCGTAGAGCAGCGGGCGATGAGACCCGTGATGATGCTGGGACCCTCCCAACCCACCCTAACCTTAGGACGACCTGCTGGGGGAGGGCGCGGAGTTGGTCCGTTCCCACACTGTGGATAAGAAAGCGGAGGCTGAGGGAGGGGTTGTGATCTGAGGTGGGCCCCAGCCTCCAGCCCCCAGCCCCCAGCCCCCAGCTGCGGATCCTGGAGCTTAGCTGCCTGAACTGCCCCTAGTGGTCCCCACTCCACCGGAGGCTGGGCCTGCCCTCCACCTGGCCCCTTGATGGCCCAGAGTCGCTCCCCAGGCTTCGCGTGGAGAGCCAGGCCTGCCCTCCACCTCCCTCCCTGCACTTTCCCTTGGTGTTTGGGGGAAGGAGCAGGGAGAGAGGGACTGGCCCTGGGTGGGCAAGTGCCAGGTGCCGGGCCCCTCATAACAGCAGTCACACATCGTTTGTTCTCCTTTCTGAGGCCACCCGGCCGAGCACATAGCTGGGCCCCTGGTTGGCACTCAGGTATCAGCCCTGCCTCACCTGGGCCCCTCCCTGTCCTGGGGCCATCATTGGGAATGCAAACGGGACTGGTCCCTGCGCTGGGGGTCCTCAGTCTAGGGTGGGAAATGGAGCCAGAAACTGGCAAGGAGAAGACTGCCAGGGCTGCAGGAGGGCTGTGAGTGCACGTGTGTGCGTGTGCATGCATGTGCACACGTGCATATGTTGGGGTGGGGAACCCCCAGCCTGGTCTGGGACTTCAGGAGGGCTTCCCTGAGGTGGCGGTTTCCCAAAAGGTCTCCACAGGTGAGGTAGAGATTTCCAGCTGCAGGGCAGGGAGGGGCACTGGAGGCACAGGCCACCTGGTGCAGAGACCAAGGGGAGCCCCAGGGAGCCGGGTGCAGGGGCCCATGCCGAGTGCTGTGGCCCAGCAGGAATGGGGAGAGCAAGCTGAGCACTCTGCAGACCAGGGGCAGTGACAGCAACACCTGGGCCACCGGCGCATTTGTCCTGCATTTGTTCATTCTTCCACCCATTCACTCTTTCACTTGTTCATCATTCATTAACTCACTCCTTCACTCACCCATTCACTCCCTCCCTCCCTCACTCCCTCACTCACCACTCATACATTCACCCATTCACTCACTCACTCCCTTCCTCACTCCCTCACTCATTCACTCATTTACTCATTCACCCACTCCCTCACTCATTCACTCACCCATTCACTCAGGCATTCACTCACTCCCTCACTCACTTACTCATTCACTTACTCACTCATTGTCACTCATTCACTCATCACTCACTCATTCTCTTATTCATTCACACACTAATTTTCTCAGTCATTCATCCATTCACTCATGCACTTATTCACTCACTTTTTCACTCACTCATTCTCTCATTCATTCACTCACAAACTCATTCACTCACTCTTATTCTTTCACTCATTGGTTTATTCCCGCACTCCTTCCCTCACTCATTCATTCATTGACTCTTGCAGGTAGTGCACACCAAGGGTGCGAGGGGTGAGGTGTCTGGTTCTCTGCTCAGACCTCTGCAAGTGCCCGCAGAGGTGACTGGGCGGCCTCCACTTCTGGCCTGGCCTTGCACCCCTGTGCTCTTGGGGGCCATGGCTGGGCAGGGCAGGTGTCCCCCTCTGCACAGGCCCAGTGTGTCTCAGCCTCAGAGCTGGCAGGGCAGGGCAGGCATCCCCTCTGCACTGGCCCAGTGTGTCTCAGCCTCAGAACCAGATGTGAGAAGACGTCCCCAGGGGGGATGTTCACCCCAGTGAGTCCCATCAGAGCCAGAGAAAATAACACTGTTTCCAAGCCATCAATCATCGGGCAGTGATCATGCAGCCCTGTGGCCGGCAGTGATCTCTGGAAACCAGGGTCCCAGGAGAGGCCTGGGTTTGGCAGGGGAGCATGAGAGGGGCTGGCTGGGGTGTGCCAAGGTACCCTTTCACCAAACTTCCATGGTGCCCTACGGACGAGAGCCAGTGCCTGGGGACAGTGTTCAAGGCCCTGCAGGCTGGCCATGGCTGCCTTTTGCTGCTCCACACGTGCCCCTTTGCCCGAATCCTGCTCATGCTGTGTCCTGCCTGCCAACCCCTTTCTGGCTTTGCCAACGCTTGCTGTGGGAATGAGCATAGCCAGTTTCCCAAGGGCTTCCTGGGGCAGGAGCTGGGTGGGCTGGGTTTCCCACGGTCCTCAGCCTGTGTTTCTGGGTCCCCATTCAGTCCCAGCTTCCCTGCTCCCGCCTGGTTTCATTTATCTGTGTCTCTTCCTTGCCCATGTGCGCCCAGCCTCTGGACCGACAGCTCCTCTGATGTCCTTGTCCTGCACCTGCCCTCCCAGGTCAGGCCTGTGTTAGCCAGATCTGGGCCCCTGCACCCCAGGGTTTTGGGGACTGGTGGTCGGCAGCCACCTTCCATGCCTTAGCCCTAGAGACTGACCAGTGATGGGAGGGAGGCCCCAGGGCAAGGGCAGGGAGGAGGGACTGTAGGGCAGGGAGGCCTTGTGGGTAGAAAGGGTGACACGGTGGGTTGGGTCAGGAGCAGACTTTGGAGAGAGTCTTGTCCCACCCTCCTACCCCCCGAGGCTACACCCTGTCAAGCTGACGGATAAAGGCAGGTCAGAGGTGGGACACAGGTAGAATGTAGCAGATGTGGCCTGGGCAGATGGACCGTTTGTTGGATGTGATTCATTCTTGATGGGAAAGTCCGCTGAGGCTTCCTGCTATGAGGCAGGGCAGGCCACTCCTGAGCTGATGCTGCCCCACCCACAGGTGCAGGGGCTGCTGGCAGGATAGTGGTCCATGGTCTGCCACCCTGGAACCACAGGGCCTGAGTGGGGTTGTGTTTGTGCCCTTGGTTTGTGTCTGTGGGACTGAGTCCAGATGGCACAGCCTCACTTCTGAGAAGCTGGACCCATTCCTCACCAACCCCAAACCTCACGTCTGGGAGTCCGAGTCTCATGACCCCCACCAGGGAGAGATCTTCACTCTGGCCTGGAGCAATCACTCATTCACTCAGTCACTCACTCTTTCACTCATTCACTCACTCATTCACTCATTCCCTCACTCTTTCACTTGCTCACGCATTCGCTCACTCACTCATTCACTCATTCATTCGCTCATTCACTCACTCACTCACTCACTCACTGGGCCCTGCCTGTCCACCCTCTAGTGTCCTCCACTCCTCCTTTCTGACAGAGGGAGCCCCCTCCTCAGCACAGACCTGTCCTGCTTGGTGGGGCCCTGATGAGCTCATGCAGGGTGAGCCCTTCGCCTGCCTGACCCACCAGGAGCCTCTGCCCAAGGTCAGTCTGGGACTTACAGACGGCCCAGAGCCCCCACAAAGGAGGATCTGTGGACTCTGCCTGGGGGATGGGCACAATGCGGGGAAGCTCTGGGCTGGGAAGGGAAGCCTGTGGGGAGGGACCCAGGATCCCAGCCACACATCCAAACATGTCAAGGGTGGCAGATCCTGTGAGCTGTGTTCTGTCCCTCTGCCAACTGCAGTGGAAGCTGGAGGGTGGGGTAGTCAGGGAGGGGCTTCCTGCAGGCTGAGTCCCAGCCTCTGATGGTGCTGGTCAGCCTGGAGGTGGAGTGGGGTGGGGAATGAAGCAGTGATTATTCATAGAAGTAGTTGGCTTTGGAGATGAAGTCGGGGAAAATGCAGCCCACCCTTGCCTTCACTGCTCCAACAGCCTGGGCTTTATAAACTGTCAAGCCAACCTGCACACACCCTGTGGACACCATGTCTGTGTGTAACCTCAGGAGAGAAAGCCCACACTACCCGGCCAGGTGTGCAGAGTCTCGGTGATTACCCCAGTTACCCATGGGACCTGGCCCCGAACTCCAGCAGTGCCAGACCGCCTGTGACCCACCTCTGGGCCTTCACATACACTGTGTCCTCTGCAGGACACCGTTCCCCTCTCCTACCTGCAGACACCATTCCCCTCTCCTATCTGCAATGCAGGTGTTTGCACGCGCAGCTCCTCCCCTCATTGACCCCAGCTCACAGGACGTCCTGCAGGGGACCCTTTCCTTATCTGAGCCAGGTTTCTTTTCCAGATGTTCAAGCTGCTGTCCAGAGCCTACGCTGACGTCCACCCCATGATGATGGACAGGTCGGAGAATAGGTGTGGAGGCAATTTCCTGAAGAGGGGGAGCATCATCAACGGGGCGGACTGGTACAGCTTCACGGGAGGTGCGGCTTCCGCAGGGCGGGACTGGGCGGGGGGTGGGGGGTGCAGGGGCTGGGTGGGGCAGGGGCAAGGCGTAACTCCACGGTCTGCTGCTGGGATCCAGCTGGAGAGCCCGGAAGACAGGGCGATGCCTCACCTGGTGGAGAGGAGGCTGGCGTGAGTTTTGTTTCTGTCTTGATGAAAAGCTGTCGTGTGACTGTTGTGGAGGACCCAGGCCCGTGGCTCCTGTAGTTTATTTCATGAACACTCAAATGTCACGGTTTCACCCATGACCAATACCTTTGTGACATTAGGGAAGTGGAGTTGCCAGATGAAATGCTGGACTTCCAGTTAAATTGGAATTCCAGAGAGACCGTGAGGAATTGTTTTTAGGACAATGTAAGGATGTTCCAATGCGTGGGATATGCTTACAAGAACCCGCATGGGGTGGACTGATACTACAATTGTATCTGTGGTTTCTCTGGAGCCCGACTTGAAGCGTGTACATCTTTATCTGCTAAATTTGCCCTTGGGGAGGCTGCACAGGAGCAATATAATGGGCATATGCCACTGTGTGTCCTGAGGGGTACCCGCCAGACCAGGCACACATGCTCTGGGCCCTGCCTGCACCTCTCCATGCCGGCACATCACAGATGAGAGCGCTGGGCTCAGCTGAGAGAAGGACTTGCTGGAGGCCCAGGGCCACAGGTGGCAGAGCCAGGACCCACGTGGCATCCCCTTCTGCCCCCTCTTCCCATGCAGGCGGGCAGAGAAGGTGGCACTTCTTGCACACTCTGAAGCCATCTTCGCAGCCTGCTCTGAAAACTTTTCTCTCCTGCTCAATGGTTGGCACCTGTGATCTTTCCCTGGTGCGGCGCAGCCTCTCTCCCTTCCAGAACCCAGGCAGAGGGCCCTCAGCCCCCGTCATAGCCCTGTGACTGGGGTCTGCAACAGACACCCACGAGCAGAGCTGGGAGAGGCCCCTCTCTGTTCCTTTTTTTTTTTTTTTTTGAGACGGAGTCTCGCTCTGTCACCAGGCTGGAGCACAGTGGTGCGATCGCAGCTCACTGCAATCTCTGCCTCCCGGGTTCAAGCGATTCTCCTGCCTCAGCCTCCCGAGTAGCTGGGATTACAGGCGCCCACCACCACACCCAGCTAATTTTTGTATTTTTAGTAGAGATGGGGTTTCACCATGTTGGCCAGGATGGTCTTGATCTCCTGACCTCGTGATCCGCCTGCCTCGGACTCCCAGAGTGCTGGGATTATAGGCGTGAGCCACTGCACCTGGCCTCTGTCCCTCTTGCCCCTGATACGGCCCTGGGAAAGCATGAAGCCGGGGACCAGAGCTAGCTGGACCAGAGAGACGGTGACTGTGGCTACACTGGGGTCTGGGCAGGGACTGTCAACAGCAGCTGCAGGCTCTGCGGCTCAGGAGCCTTGAACTTCAGAAGGGCGTGGGCTCCCTGTGGCCCCCGACACAGCCAGCCCTGTGGGTGCTATCATCCTAGGCCTGCCTTGGAGATGGTCATGGCTTCTGCTGAACAAGAAGCTCCAAGAGCAGATGGCACAGAGGGCAGAAGCGGGTATGGCTGGGGTCGACCCAGCTTGCTCTGAGGCCTTCTCGGCTGGCCAGGTGGCTGGTTGTCCACCCTAGCCTGGGCCCGTGGTCTCCCTGGGAGATGGAGCTAATAGGACCACCCTCCTAGACTCTGGTCAGGACAGCGTCTGGGTAAATGGACATTGTCACCATGGGGTCTCCAGGCCAGCAGCTGGGATGCCAGGGGCCTGTGCGGCTGCCCCGTGCTGTGGGCTTTTCTGTTAGAAACCGATTCATCCCTGACCTCACCAGAGACAGCATGGGGGTGGGGAAGCCTGTGGACTTTGCCGCCAAGCGGCCTGAGCTCAAGATGCAGCTCTGCCTCTTCCCATTGCGGGACCCTTAAATGCCTCATGCCGCCATCTGCGGATCTGCAAAGTGGGGATCATATGGTCCACCTTGCAGTTGTTCAGCCCCTCAGCTGCAGGAGGGGCGTCTGTGGCGAGTACCTGCTGCACTCACCTGCCTGCTGGGCACTTGGCTGACACCCCGACGTCCCGGCTGTCTCTGCGCGGCTGACACCCCGGCGTCCCGGCTGTCTCTGTGCGGCTGACACCCCTGACGTCCCGGCTGTCTCTGTGCGGCTGACACCCCTGACGTCCCCGCTGTCTCTGTGCCACAGGCATGTCCGATTTCAACTACCTGCACACCAACTGCTTTGAGATCACGGTAGAGCTGGGCTGTGTGAAGTTCCCCCCCGAGGAGGCCCTGTACATACTCTGGCAGCACAACAAGGAGTCACTCCTGAATTTCGTGGAGACGGTGAGTTCTGACGGTCTCAGGGCTCTGGTCCAGCTGTGGCCTGGGTGGGGTGGGTCACATTCAGGCCCCCAGGGCAGCCCCCGTAGCCTCACTGCCCCATACACACATGCTCCTTTTGCCACCACTTGTTTTGGGGTTAACTGTCCACCATGCACAACTTGAGATACAGTAGCCGGCTCTCCTTTGCGTGCTCTGTGGGTGCTGGGGTGGCGGTGCCATGTGTTGGAGTCCCTGTGAGCAAGGATGTTACAGCCTAAAGCAGCACAATTAAACAAGGGAGCATGGGCCTGGGCAGCCCGGCGAGGTGTCTGACCCAGCCTCAGAGGCTGGGGGGGCTTCCTGGAGGAGGCAGCCGCAGGGCTTCATCTTGAAGAAGGGTAGGAGAAATCAAACCACAGGACAGGGAGAGCTCCCAGCAGAGGGGAGCATGCTAGAACCCCAAGGGGACATCAAAACCCTCGAGAGCCGCTGGGGCTGTGGTGAGGACTCGAGCCGTGGGATGGGGCGGGCACTGTGCTCCAGGAGGCGCAGAAGTGAGGGCTCTGGGCAGTGGGGTAGCTGTGTGGTTCAGGCAGGGTTTTGGGGCCTCAGAGTGAAGGGTATAGGCAGGAAGTGGCTGGCAGAGGCTGGGGGCGGGGCAGGGCGTCCTGACTGAGGGGTGACTACTATCGTGAGGCTGAGGTCACCCAGAAGCAGGCAGGTGGGAGGTGAGTGGGGATGGCTGAGAATGTGTCTAAAATGACCCCCTCGCTGCCCCAGAGAGCCAAGGTCTCCCTAGCACTCAGTGTGAGAGTGGGGACTCTGTGCCCATGTCTGCTCCCCTTCCAGCACAGCTCACACCGAGGGTGCTGGGGACCCCAAGAAGGGTCCAGGATGTCACAGGGAAGGCAGCCTGCGTTCGAAGAAGCTTCTGCTATTTTTTTCCCAAGCGTTTTCAAGAATCACATAAATTGCATATGAGCACAGATGCCCAGTGAGAAGCAGGCCTCAGAAAGAGGGTTGAGCTGCAGCAGCAAGGAGAGGTGAGGGCGCAGCACCGTACAGTTGGCGCCCACCCACACAGGGCAGCCGGTTCTGACACCAGGCCGGGCGGCAGACGGGGCCGTCCCATTTTATAGATGGAGTTGAGGTTCTGGCCTGGGGTCTCTGGGCCACACACAGGCTTGTGCTCCAGGCTCCCAATGTCTGCGAGCCAGCCAGAGGAGGAGACAGAGGGTCAGAGAGTGACATGGCCTGTCTGGTGTCGCCCAGATCTGCTTCTTCCCAAGCCCTCTGTCCATGAGCCCCCTCCTTTCTAGAAAAATCAGGAACCTTCCTCCAAGTAAGAATCGAGCGAACTCCCTGGGGCAGCAGCCGCTGAGATAGGAAAGAAACAAAGCCCCACACAAAGTAAAATGGAACATTCTGCCATTTGAGTTTCTTTCTGATGGCTGTGCCGCAGCCCTGCACCACCTGTGGCGAGTCCCATTCTTCTATGAGCTCTCGCGCCAGGCCTGTGCACATTGCATTTTGCGGCTGTCTGATGAACATGAGGTTGAAGGAGCCTCGGATGTGGCTGGCATTGCTCCTGGATATTACACATGAAGTCTTGGGATATGAAGATTTACAGCAAGCGTGGACCTTGGAAGGCTGGGCAGCTCGCTGGCTGGCTCTTGAGACGGACGTCTTACAGGAGACCTGGGCGCGGGCTCCTGATAAGGATCAAGCCTGTCGTGGCCAATTGAGGCTTTTTTCAAAGTGATCCTGGCCAGGCCTCGGGTGGGAGTCTACATCACCTGGGGCGAGGGGAGGGGCGGCGTGGCAGCTCTCTTTCCCCACCAGAGAACCGCATGTGCCCTGTGTTTCATGAAGGTGACCCGTGGGCCCAAGAGCAGGGACAGAAAAAAAATCCGTCCACTGCAGGCTGATGCTGAGGGCCTCCTGTAAGAGACCCTCCTGGGAGAGCCCCTGCTCTCGGGTGGGGCTAGGGGAGGCAGAAGTGAGACCAGGGCTGGCAGAGAGGAAGACTGGGGCCGTGGGGCCCTGGGGTAGGCCCCCAGTGTGGCTGGTCATCAGGGAGGGCTTCCTGGAGGAGGAGGAGTGTGAGCTGTGTTTTGAAGGGAGGGAAGGAATCGGCCCGGTGAGGGGCTGGTGAGGGTATTCTTAGCAGAGAAGGCTCAGATGCTGTCTGGGGGTGAGGAGGAGCCACAGGGTGGGGTGGCTGAGGGGCATGGTGGCTTCTCGAGCTGTCCAGTTTCTCTTCATCACCTCTCATGCAGGAAAACCTTACTTTTTATGCTCTCCCTCCCGCTAAATGCGAGTCCATGAGACATTGTTTCAGGAGTGCGGTTCCATTAAGCAGCGAAGTGTGGACAAGAGCATCCAGGGTGGGGGTCACGAGCCCCAGAGGGCAGGGGGCAGTGGCTGTCAGTCCCTCTCCATCGCGTCAGGAGGGCTGGGACCCCTTGATGTGCTCATCATGGATTCCATGTGCTCTGGGTTCCCGAGATCCCTGTGGCACAGAGATAAGTGCTAGCATGTGCTTTGTGGAGCTAGACTGGGTGCCCACTCCCCTCTTTCAGCCACCTGCACCACTGACAGCTGGGCGTGAGCCTGGAACAGCAGTTAGGTGCCACAGGGTCTGAGCTCACGGGCCGCGTGTGTCAGGCCAGTCGGTTTCTGCATCGGTCACGGCGGGGGTCAGCCGCGGTGGGATTAGAGTTCACATGCTTGCTGAAATCATCGGTCCTGCAGAAGCCAGAGCTGCTTTGGCCTCATGAACATTTTACAGCTGAGGAAACTGAGGCACCCAGAAGCAAAGGTTTGTCTGAAGTGAACAGTCACTACGGCAGAGCTGATTTTCTGGCCCAGAGAAAAACCAGCCCCTCTCGGGCTAATGTCCCGGGGCCAGGGAAGGAGGATGCTCCTGTTGCCAGGGCTGCTTCCTGACCCTGTGGGCCCAGGCTCTTTGCTTCTGTGGACTCCTCCCTCCATATAAAGTATTTAAAATTATACAACAGTCGACATAAAGATGAATATATAGGAAAACAGTCTCTCCAACCTAAAATGTTTTGCTTTTATCCTGATTTTAAGAGGAGCAAGATCATTTTCATAGTTTCTGGAAGCACAGCAGGGCCTGGCTGGGAGCCCTTTCCCTTGAGAATCTGTTGCTGCTGAGCCCCGTGCAGGGCCCGGGCAGGGGGCAGCCTCGCTGGACGGACTCCTCTCCCCACAGGCATCCTGGTCCTGCTCAGCGTGACCTTCAGCATCCTTGGACCCCACGTTGTTTTCTGCTGACTAGAGCAGGGGCCGTGTGGGTGGTTTGTCATCAACTGTTTTACAAGAAATGTGGACAGGATCAGGCAGCTTTGGGAGGGCTTTCCAGGGTGAAAACGTTGGAGCTGTGGGCGTGCAGGGAGCTTGTGTGTTCAGGACCAGTTCGTGCCAAGGCCAGGCAAGCAGTAAGAAGGCAGGGCGTGTTATACACGTGTACGATGAAGAAACCGCGCTGCTCGAGCGAGGGTCCGAGCACTGTCCTCGTCCTCTCCCATGCCCACGCCACCTTCAGGAGCCTCAGCTCAGAGGGACCCAGGGAGTCCCGCTGGGGCTGGGAAGGCAGGGAAGGAATGCCGATCAGGCAGAAGAGTGGCAGGAAAGGGTTCTCTGCTCAATGCCCATAGAGATGGAGTCAGCCAGGCCTCGGGTGAGATGCAGGGTCATTCAAAAGCCCAGAACGTGCTCGGGTCAATTGCCAGGGAGGAAACTGAGGCCCAGAGAGGGGAGTGACTGACTCGTTAAAGATGGCAGAGCGAGGGCTGGCAGAGTGGGGCTCTGTGGGGTAGTTCCCCCTAGATACCAAGCTCTGAGGAGCATGTGGGGAACGAGCTGACGGCCTCCACGCTCAGCAGGAGAGCTCACGCCATCTCCCTGGCCTCCCCTTGGTCTCTTCAGGTGCACCGGGGCATCAAAGGTGTGGTGACAGATAAATTCGGCAAGCCAGTCAAAAACGCCCGGATCTCAGTCAAAGGCATTCGCCACGACATCACCACAGGTGAGCACGTCCCTGGCTGTCCCCTGGGGACCACGTCTGCCAAGGAAATGCCACACCGTGGCAGCCGGCACCCTCAGGCACTCACAGTGTGCCCAGCCCTCAGCAGGATGGCTCCATTCCTCCCCAGGCTGGCTGGGTCGGGGAGGGTGGGCAGGAACCAGGGTCTGCGTCTCCTTACAGCATTTGGTGAGGGAAGAGCTTGCCCAGCCGTAGCTACTGAATGATGGTGGATGCATGCTCTGTATTCCTAGGAAAATGCCGCCTCCTCCAACATTGCCGGGGAGAGCCACCTCCACCCCTAAGCCTGTTTGTTTCTATCCCAAAGTTCATACCCTGTTGATAGCTGGGGTGTCCAGCCCTGTGCGGGCTCTGGCTGTCCTTACAGGAATTTCACAGCCGATGAAAAATGACGGTATGCTGTGATATGTGTTACCTGGCAGAGATGTGGTCCAGAGAAGAGGGGGACTTTTGCTAACTGTGGGGTGGGTATGGGGGGTGGGAGTGGTCATCGAAGGTTTCAGAGAAGAGGGGTGCCTAAGCAGGGTTTTGAGGTATAAATAAGAGTTTGACAGAGAAAAGGGGTGGGAAGGACGTTCCAGGCCCACACAGAGGCAAGTGCACATTTGGCGCCTGCCTCCCATGCTAACCTCTCCCCACTCATATCCATCACCCATCACCCCGTGGCTGGGTCTGCAGTCCTCGTGAGAATCATTTTTAATCTATTTGTCCACAGCCCCAGATGGTGACTACTGGAGACTGCTGCCCCCAGGTATCCACATTGTCATTGCCCAAGCCCCTGGCTACGCCAAAGTCATCAAGAAAGTCATCATCCCCGCCCGGATGAAGAGGGCTGGCCGTGTGGACTTCATTCTGCAACCTCTGGGGATGGGACCCAAGAACTTTATTCATGGGCTGCGGAGGACTGGGCCCCACGACCCACTGGGAGGTGCCAGCTCTTTGGGGGAGGCCACGGAGCCCGACCCGCTCCGGGCGCGCAGGCAGCCCTCGGCCGACGGGAGTAAGCCCTGGTGGTGGTCCTACTTCACATCGCTGAGCACCCACAGGCCACGCTGGCTGCTCAAGTACTAGCCCCGGCCCCAGCACCCGCCAGGATGTGGAGACCGAGGCCCATCTCCGCATCCCGGGCTCCTGGCTCTTGATTTTGTCTGCCACAGACATCCCACAAAGCCGCTGCCATTTTATTAAAGTGTTTTGATCCACTTTGCACTGGAATGAGAGGATCTGTGTAAGGCACTTTCCAGGGAAGGCTGGGGACTGACCCTTGTTGCCTGAGGGCAGCTGTGGCCTGGGCCCCACAGGGCAATCCCGGGCAGCTATCCTGCTGCCCACAGGTCCGGATTGCAGGCCCGAGACTCCAGCCTATCTGTACTGGGCCAGGTGGACTAGCTGGCTTTTCCCAGACCACCAGGCCTTGAACTGACTTCAGATGGGAAACTGAGGTGGGCCAAGGGTGTGAGCATCTGTAGGAGCTGAGCTCCGGATCCTGCAGCTGAAGCTCATGTGTCCTGGAGTGTAGAGAAGGAGGGGCACTGAATGGGAGGATGGGGGTGGGCAGGAGGTGACCCCAAGGTAGGGTCAAGAGCTCAAGGGCGGGAGAGCTGGCCAGAGCCTGGGGCCTCATGGCATGATCGGGGGGACCACACTCAGGCTCACAGGCTTCCAGGGGGGCCTGGCTCCATGGGCGTGGATATTCCTGGGACCTCCCTCATCCTGATCATGCTACTTGGGTCCAGGGACCCTCTCCTGTCCCCTCTCTCACCATCGAGAAAGTCTGTCAGCCCCGGGATCTTCCAGGAAGGGGTCCCGTAGCCTGAGCAGAGAATGCAGCAGAGAAGGCACCTGAGCCGGCCAGGGCTGTGTCAAAAAGCAGCAGAGACCTGGCGCTTCAACAGCAGAAGTGTGTCCTCCCACAGTCCTGGGGGCTGACGTCAGAGCCATGTCCCCAGGGCGGGCTCCTTCTGGCACCACGCTCCCTGGCTCTTTGGCGGTCATCTTTCCCCCACTCTTCCCATCATCATCCCTCTATGTGTCTCTGTCCACATTTCCTCTTCTTGTATTGGGCTAGGGCCTAATATAAGACCCTAGCGACCCTCATTTTAATTTAGTTACCTTTACAAAGATGCTACCTCCAAATAAGATCACACTGAGGACCTGGGGCTAGGACTTCAGCAGATGAATTTTGTGGGAGGGACATGGTTCAGCCCCTAGGAGAGGGCAGCATCTCCCATACAGTGGCTCCTCACATGCTCCTGGCTGTGCCATCGGCCCCCCTGGTTTCCAGAGCTCCAGGCCTGGGCAGGTCCCTCCATGGAACTGGGCATCCACTCTGAGCAGTGCCTTGACCTCAACTGAATGACAGCATGGTCCCCACCAGCACCCTCAGCCTCGTTCCATTGCCTCCTGGCAGCTATGCCCTGAGGCGAAGGCCTCGGGGTTCCCAGCTGAAGCCCAGAGGAGCAGGCACACCCCCGGCGCTGGGTGGCGTGCTCTCGGGGGAAGGCATGGGGAGGGCTCAGGCAGCCTACAGCCCTCAAGTCTTACACTGGCACAACAGCGCTTGGTTTGCGGAGCAAGAATGATCTGGAGTGTTTGGGGAACATCTCACAGCCTCCTGAGCCCCTGCATCCTACATTCACCCATGCGCCTAGTGACTTGTAAGTTTACATTTATTTGGCTCCACTGCATACAGGGCACCGTGCAGGGGTCCTCTGAAATCCCGGGAGGCCCGTGGAGCAGACCTCTGCTTCGTGCTTTGCTGAAGTGGGTGTGGAAACAGCAGGCGCAAGGTGCCCAGGACTCGGGGTGTGCAGGTGGCCGCTCAGTCTCAGTCCCCCCGTGGGGCACCTGCACGAGGCCTTCCCTGCACTTCATTCTGTCCCCACCCGTTCACGCTGTCTAGGGAAGAGCCTGCTGCAGTGGGTGTGTGGGGTGGAAGGACTCATTCCAGAGCCCAGTTCGTGTCAGGGGCCAAGGGCCAGGCCCCCGGCATAGAAACTGGGCCGAGGAGTGGGTCAGGGAGCCTTGGGGAAGGCTGTGCAGGGGGGCCGTGGCAAGAGTGGGGGCCGGGGAGGTGGAGACGAGGAGATAGCATTCTCTTCACACACCACCCCGGATCCAGCCAGCGGGGGGCCCTTCTGCACTTCCATGTCCTTTTTTGTTGGTTTGTTTTGAGACCGAGTCTCACTCTCTCGCCCAGGCTGGAGTGCAGTGGCGCGATCTCGGCTCACTGCAACCTCCACCTCCTGAGTTCAAGTGATTCTCCTGCCTCAGCCTCCCAAGTAGCTGGGATTACAGGTACCTGCCACCACACCCGGCTACTTTTTGTATTTTTTTTTTTTTTTTTTTAGTAGAGATGGAATTTCAACATATTGGCTAGGCTGGTCTCAAACTCCTGACCTCAGGTGACCCACCCGCCTTGGCCTCCCAAAATGCTGGGATTACAGGAGTGAGCCACCACGCCCGGCCCCTTGTCATTTTGCTAGAACCTGCACAGTCCTTAGTGACGTCCTTGCCTCTGGCAGGATCCCCTGGCTGGGCCCTGCTGCCCCCCTCACTTTCCTCAGTCCCTGCTTTCCAGTGTGAAAGCTGTCAGAATCAAAATGGAGACACTTGTCTTAAACAAAACAAAACAAAACCCCAACCAATAGAGCTGGGAACAGCCCTGACGGTATTCCCCATAAAACCATCACAGAAGACAGCAAACACCACAATCGTGAGCAAAGTCCATCACAACCTCACACAAAAAACACTTCTGTGAGGACACCTGCCCAACCTCAGACTGTTACCACCCGTGTTCTCGATTCCTGTGGCAAGGATAAATATCCCAAAACAATTCTGTGATTCTCTTCACTTTGCCATTAAAGCCTCTGTGCTTTTACCTCCCTGAAAACGCACAGCGGACTCCAGCATACGTATTTGCACGCAATGCCCGACTCCTGAACGAACCTCGTTTTCATTTGGAGAGCCTCTCTGGCGGTGGTTCGGGTGGACGCTAGTGTGGACATGGCATTGGGAAAACGCTGCCTGTGCACCAGGGCTGCCTGTTGCTCCAGGGGTGCTCACTGCTTCCAGGCCCGTCCGTGGACAGAGCTAGATATCCAATTGTTTTTAAAGGGAAAACACAAGGCCAGGCGTGGTGGCTCACACCTGTAATCCCAGCATTTTGGGAGGCCGAGGCCGGTGGATCACCTGAGGTCAGGAGTTCAAGACCAGCCTGGCCAATATGGTGAAACCCTGTCTCTACTAAAAATGCAAAAAAAAAAAAAAAAAAAAAAAAATAGCTGGGCAAGGTGGCAGGCTACTCTGGTGGCTGAGGCAGGAGAATGGCTTGAACCCAGAAGGTGGAGGTTGCAGTGAGCTGAGATCACACCATTGGACTACAGCCTGGGTGACAGACCAAGACTCTATCTCAAAAACAAAAACAAAAATAAAAAACACAGAGGGTTCCTGTTGCTACTTCCAATTCCAAACCAGAATGACCTTCTCCTGTGCAGAGAATCCCAGATTTCAGGGCAAAGGAGGGGAAGGACAAAGTAGAAAGTCACACAACTGTGCCTGCTTGATCCAAAGCACACACGACAGTCTCACAGCCCAGTGCTAGTCCGCTACCCACAGTGCAATCACTGCAAACAGCTCCAGTTGTTTCCTCAAGTTCCTTTGGTTCTGGGATATAACCCACTAGGGCTATATGTAAGCTCCGAGGATTGGCTTTTAATATTCCTGGCAGCTGAGAAGAACAAGGTGCCGTGAAGAGCCACAGCCCCTCCAGAAACTGCACCTGGGCAGCGGGCCGTGTGGCCACAGCTGAGACCCTGAGGAGTGGGTCCCCAGGGGACTGGTCTCGGGGAGAGGGGCTGCCTCTTAAAACACGACGATGGACAGACAGATGGATACGTTCAACAGCAGCATGAACAAGTTCTACAACTAGAAATCATTATTTGTAAAGGAAAAACCCATTTACGAGTTGAATCAGAGGAGAGGCTCGTGTCTCTGAGTTCTGAATTCATGTGGGGAGGAACAAATAGAGGAATTACCTGAAACGTAAAGCAAAAATACTGCCTCGAGGAAGTTATGAGGGAAAAGAGATTTTGAGAACAGATCCAGTAGCCCCATATGCAAATAATAGGGAAATAAAATATAATAGAAGAAAGGCCGGGCGCGATGGCTCACGCCTGTAATCCCTACATTTTGGGAGGCTGAGGTGGGCAGATCACTTGAGGTCAGGAGTTCGAGACCAGCCTGGCTAACATGGAGAAACCCCATCTCTACTAAAAAATATAAAATACAAAAAATTAGCCGGGCATGGTGGCAGGCACCTGTAATCCCACCTACACTCGGGAGGCTGAGGCAGGAGAATCACTTGAAACCATGAGGCAGAGGTTGCAGTGAGCCGAGATTGTGCCACTGCACTCCAGCCTGGGCAACATAGTGAGACCCTGTCTCCAAAATAAATAAATAAATAAATAAAAGAAGACGGACTGATGTTTACAAAGCATTCAGAGGAAAGGGCTCTGCCCTGACACTCTATACCCCAGCATGGATAATAATAATAATCAGTGATATAATAATAGCCGATGCCCATGGACAGTTTTCCCTATCCAGGCACAGCTTCAGTGTTGTCTGAGCTTGTTTAATTTGTTTCCTCTCCTTAAGGAGAAACATATTAGAATTATCTCCATCTCACAAGCACAGACAGGTCAAGTGACTTATGCACCATCACACAACCAGGGTTAGAAACCAGAAAACCGGGCCAGGTGCGGTGGCTCACGCCTGTAATCCCAGCACGTTGGGAGGCCAAGGCGGGCTGATCACGAGGTCAGGAGATCAAGACCATCCTGGCTAACACAGTGAAACCCCGTCTCTACTAAAAAAAAATACAAAAAATTAGCCGGGCGTGGTGGCGGGCGCCTGTAGTCCCAGCTACTTGGGAGGCTGAGGCAGGAGAACAGTGTGAACCCAGGAGGCAGAGCTTGCAGTGAGGCGAGATGGCGCCACTGCCCTCCAGCCTGGGCGACAGAGCGAGACTCCGTCTCAAGAAAAAAAAAAAAAAAAAAAAAAAAAGGAAACCAGAAAACCTGGCTTTGGGATGGGTCTGTGTTCTCAGCCACTCTCTCACTGCCTCTGCAGATAGAATGCATGGGTCACAGAGAAAGAAAGACATGTCCAGGTTGGCAAGGATGAAGGGAAGATGACCTCCGGACCCTCCTCTGAGCAGACGAGCATGGACTTAGCACAGAGCCGGCAGGAGGAAGAGGAAGGAGGGCTACTCACCTCCGTGAGACATTCAAGGCGACGTGAGAGCCACCGGAAAGTGAGGTTTGAGTGTGGAATCAGGAGCATGCGATAGAGAGGCATCCCACGGCTGACCTCCTAGGCCTGGGGGTGTAAGTGGCCAGAAGCCCCCGGGGGCTCAGGCGCGGTGGGGAGAAGGTGCACCCAGTCCCTGGTGGAGGGTGGCGTTCCGGTTCCTGTCCTGCAGGACTGGGAATCTGATGTTGAGGATGCAAGGGAACAGCGCCGCCTGGTGGCATCGGAACACCGGGACCACGCGGGGACCCTGAGCAGGAGCGAGCCCTCGGTGGAAACCGGGAGAGAAGCCTGAGCCAGCTGCAAACCCAGGCAACTGCAAAAGAGCCACAGGAGGAAGAATGGGGAGGACCAGGAACCCGCAGAGCGGGAATCGGATGCGGGCTGCACTCCTCGTTAAAAGACCACCCGACTGGTCTGAAAACACGTTGCATGCGATTTAAAGAAGCGTGATTACGGGCCGGTGATAAGGCTTCGAATAAAGTGATGCCGGCTGGGCTCAGTGGCTCACACCTGTAATCCCAGCGCTCTGGGAGGCCAAGGTGGGCGGATCACGAGGTCAGGAGATTGAGACCAGCCTGGCCAACATGGTGAAACCACGTCTCTATTAAAAATACAAAAATTAGCTAGGCGTGGTGGCGGGCACCTGTAATCCCAGCTACTCGGGAGGCTGAGGCAGGAGAATCGCTTGAACCCGGGAGGCAGAGGTTGCAGCGAGCCGAGATCACGCCACTGCACTCCAGCCTGGCAGACAGAGCCAGATTCTGTCTAAAAAAAAAAAAAAATGATGGTGCCAAGCAGCCGCAGGTCGGACAGCAAGGCACGCTTTAGTACAGAGGCGGCGAGGTGAAGAGCAAAGCGTGAAGTGGGAAAGACATTGTGAACAAGTAGTAAGATAAAAAATAAATCTGTATTATACATGAATCAATTCAGCAGGTAACTCTATAAAAGCCAAGTTATTTAGAAATATAAGAACTTAATAAAAGCAGGATCCCAGATGGTCCCATGCTGGGTACCATCTTCAGAATCAGACCTCCCTCATCCTGATCATGCTACTTGGGTCCAGGGACCCTCTCCTGTCCCCTCTCTCACCATCGAGAAAGTCTGTCAGCCCCGGGATCTTCCAGGAAGGGGTCCCGTAGCCTGAGCAGAGAATGCAGCAGAGAAGGCACCTGAGCCGGCCAGGGCTGTGTCAAAAAGCAGCAGAGACCTGGCGCTTCAACAGCAGAAGTGTGTCCTCCCACAGTCCTGGGGGCTGACGTCAGAGCCATGTCCCCAGGGCGGGCTCCTTCTGGCACCACGCTCCCTGGCTCTTTGGCGGTCATCTTTCCCCCACTCTTCCCATCATCATCCCTCTATGTGTCTCTGTCCACATTTCCTCTTCTTGTATTGGGCTAGGGCCTAATATAAGACCCTAGCGACCCTCATTTTAATTTAGTTACCTTTACAAAGATGCTACCTCCAAATAAGATCACACTGAGGACCTGGGGCTAGGACTTCAGCAGATGAATTTTGTGGGAGGGACATGGTTCAGCCCCTAGGAGAGGGCAGCATCTCCCATACAGTGGCTCCTCACGTGCTCCTGGCTGTGCATCGGCCCCCCTGGTTTCCAGAGCTCCAGGCCTGGGCAGGTCCCTCCATGGAACTGGGCATCCACTCTGAGCAGTGCCTTGACCTCAACTGAATGACAGCATGGTCCCCACCAGCACCCTCAGCCTCGTTCCATTGCCTCCTGGCAGCTATGCCCTGAGGCGAAGGCCTCGGGGTTCCCAGCTGAAGCCCAGAGGAGCAGGCACACCCCCGGCGCTGGGTGGCGTGCTCTCGGGGGAAGGCATGGGGAGGGCTCAGGCAGCCTACAGCCCTCAAGTCTTACACTGGCACAACAGCGCTTGGTTTGCGGAGCAAGAATGATCTGGAGTGTTTGGGGAACATCTCACAGCCTCCTGAGCCCCTGCATCCTACATTCACCCATGCGCCTAGTGCCTTGAAGGTTTACATTTATTTGGCTCCACTGCATACAGGGCACCGTGCAGGGGTCCTCTGAAACCCCGGGAGGCCCGTGGAGCAGACCTCTGCTTCGTGCTTTGCTGAAGTGGGTGTGGAAACAGCAGGCGCAAGGTGCCCAGGACTCGGGGTGTGCAGGTGGCCGCTCAGTCTCAGTCCCCCCGTGGGGCACCTGCACGAGGCCTTCCCTGCACTTCATTCTGTCCCCACCCGTTCACGTTGTCTAGGGAAGAGCCTGCTGCAGTGGGTGTGTGGGGTGGAAGGACTCATTCCAGAGCCCAGTTCGTGTCAGGGGCCAAGGGCCAGGCCCCCGGCATAGAAACTGGGCCGAGGAGTGGGTCAGGGAGCCTTGGGGAAGGCTGTGCAGGGGGGCCGTGGCAAGAGTGGGGGCCGGGGAGGTGGAGACGAGGAGATAGCATTCTCTTCACACACCACCCCGGATCCAGCCAGCGGGGGGCCCTTCTGCACTTCCATGTCCTTTTTTGTTGGTTTGTTTTGAGACCGAGTCTCACTCTCTCGCCCAGGCTGGAGTGCAGTGGCGCGATCTCGGCTCACTGCAACCTCCACCTCCTGAGTTCAAGTGATTCTCCTGCCTCAGCCTCCCAAGTAGCTGGGATTACAGGTACCTGCCACCACACCCGGCTACTTTTTGTATTTTTTTTTTTTTTTTTTTTTTAGTAGAGATGGAATTTCAACATATTGGCTAGGCTGGTCTCAAACTCCTGACCTCAGGTGACCCACCCGCCTTGGCCTCCCAAAATGCTGGGATTACAGGAGTGAGCCACCACGCCCGGCCCCTTGTCATTTTGCTAGAACCTGCACAGTCCTTAGTGACGTCCTTGCCTCTGGCAGGATCCCCTGGCTGGGCCCTGCTGCCCCCCTCACTTTCCTCAGTCCCTGCTTTCCAGTGTGAAAGCTGTCAGAATCAAAATGGAGACACTTGTCTTAAACAAAACAAAACAAAACCCCAACCAATAGAGCTGGGAACAGCCCTGACGGTATTCCCCATAAAACCATCACAGAAGACAGCAAACACCACAATCGTGAGCAAAGTCCATCACAACCTCACACAAAAAACACTTCTGTGAGGACACCTGCCCAACCTCAGACTGTTACCACCCGTGTTCTCGATTCCTGTGGCAAGGATAAATATCCCAAAACAATTCTGTGATTCTCTTCACTTTGCCATTAAAGCCTCTGTGCTTTTACCTCCCTGAAAACGCACAGCGGACTCCAGCATACGTATTTGCACGCAATGCCCGACTCCTGAACGAACCTCGTTTTCATTTGGAGAGCCTCTCTGGCGGTGGTTCGGGTGGACGCTAGTGTGGACATGGCATTGGGAAAACGCTGCCTGTGCACCAGGGCTGCCTGTTGCTCCAGGGGTGCTCACTGCTTCCAGGCCCGTCCGTGGACAGAGCTAGATATCCAATTGTTTTTAAAGGGAAAACACAAGGCCAGGCGTGGTGGCTCACACCTGTAATCCCAGCATTTTGGGAGGCCGAGGCCGGTGGATCACCTGAGGTCAGGAGTTCAAGACCAGCCTGGCCAATATGGTGAAACCCTGTCTCTACTAAAAATGCAAAAAAAAAAAAAAAAAAAAAAAAATAGCTGGGCAAGGTGGCAGGCTACTCTGGTGGCTGAGGCAGGAGAATGGCTTGAACCCAGAAGGTGGAGGTTGCAGTGAGCTGAGATCACACCATTGGACTACAGCCTGGGTGACAGACCAAGACTCTATCTCAAAAACAAAAACAAAAATAAAAAACACAGAGGGTTCCTGTTGCTACTTCCAATTCCAAACCAGAATGACCTTCTCCTGTGCAGAGAATCCCAGATTTCAGGGCAAAGGAGGGGAAGGACAAAGTAGAAAGTCACACAACTGTGCCTGCTTGATCCAAAGCACACACGACAGTCTCACAGCCCAGTGCTAGTCCGCTACCCACAGTGCAATCACTGCAAACAGCTCCAGTTGTTTCCTCAAGTTCCTTTGGTTCTGGGATATAACCCACTAGGGCTATATGTAAGCTCCGAGGATTGGCTTTTAATATTCCTGGCAGCTGAGAAGAACAAGGTGCCGTGAAGAGCCACAGCCCCTCCAGAAACTGCACCTGGGCAGCGGGCCGTGTGGCCACAGCTGAGACCCTGAGGAGTGGGTCCCCAGGGGACTGGTCTCGGGGAGAGGGGCTGCCTCTTAAAACACGACGATGGACAGACAGATGGATACGTTCAACAGCAGCATGAACAAGTTCTACAACTAGAAATCATTATTTGTAAAGGAAAAACCCATTTACGAGTTGAATCAGAGGAGAGGCTCGTGTCTCTGAGTTCTGAATTCATGTGGGGAGGAACAAATAGAGGAATTACCTGAAACGTAAAGCAAAAATACTGCCTCGAGGAAGTTATGAGGGAAAAGAGATTTTGAGAACAGATCCAGTAGCCCCATATGCAAATAATAGGGAAATAAAATATAATAGAAGAAAGGCCGGGCGCGATGGCTCACGCCTGTAATCCCTACATTTTGGGAGGCTGAGGTGGGCAGATCACTTGAGGTCAGGAGTTCGAGACCAGCCTGGCTAACATGGAGAAACCCCATCTCTACTAAAAAATATAAAATACAAAAAATTAGCCGGGCATGGTGGCAGGCACCTGTAATCCCACCTACACTCGGGAGGCTGAGGCAGGAGAATCACTTGAAACCATGAGGCAGAGGTTGCAGTGAGCCGAGATTGTGCCACTGCACTCCAGCCTGGGCAACATAGTGAGACCCTGTCTCCAAAATAAATAAATAAATAAATAAAAGAAGACGGACTGATGTTTACAAAGCATTCAGAGGAAAGGGCTCTGCCCTGACACTCTATACCCCAGCATGGATAATAATAATAATCAGTGATATAATAATAGCCGATGCCCATGGACAGTTTTCCCTATCCAGGCACAGCTTCAGTGTTGTCTGAGCTTGTTTAATTTGTTTCCTCTCCTTAAGGAGAAACATATTAGAATTATCTCCATCTCACAAGCACAGACAGGTCAAGTGACTTATGCACCATCACACAACCAGGGTTAGAAACCAGAAAACCGGGCCAGGTGCGGTGGCTCACGCCTGTAATCCCAGCACGTTGGGAGGCCAAGGCGGGCTGATCACGAGGTCAGGAGATCAAGACCATCCTGGCTAACACAGTGAAACCCCGTCTCTACTAAAAAAAAATACAAAAAATTAGCCGGGCGTGGTGGCGGGCGCCTGTAGTCCCAGCTACTTGGGAGGCTGAGGCAGGAGAACAGTGTGAACCCAGGAGGCAGAGCTTGCAGTGAGGCGAGATGGCGCCACTGCCCTCCAGCCTGGGCGACAGAGCGAGACTCCGTCTCAAGAAAAAAAAAAAAAAAAAAAAGGAAACCAGAAAACCTGGCTTTGGGATGGGTCTGTGTTCTCAGCCACTCTCTCACTGCCTCTGCAGATAGAATGCATGGGTCACAGAGAAAGAAAGACATGTCCAGGTTGGCAAGGATGAAGGGAAGATGACCTCCGGACCCTCCTCTGAGCAGACGAGCATGGACTTAGCACAGAGCCGGCAGGAGGAAGAGGAAGGAGGGCTACTCACCTCCGTGAGACATTCAAGGCGACGTGAGAGCCACCGGAAAGTGAGGTTTGAGTGTGGAATCAGGAGCATGCGATAGAGAGGCATCCCACGGCTGACCTCCTAGGCCTGGGGGTGTAAGTGGCCAGAAGCCCCCGGGGGCTCAGGCGCGGTGGGGAGAAGGTGCACCCAGTCCCTGGTGGAGGGTGGCGTTCCGGTTCCTGTCCTGCAGGACTGGGAATCTGATGTTGAGGATGCAAGGGAACAGCGCCGCCTGGTGGCATCGGAACACCGGGACCACGCGGGGACCCTGAGCAGGAGCGAGCCCTCGGTGGAAACCGGGAGAGAAGCCTGAGCCAGCTGCAAACCCAGGCAACTGCAAAAGAGCCACAGGAGGAAGAATGGGGAGGACCAGGAACCCGCAGAGCGGGAATCGGATGCGGGCTGCACTCCTCGTTAAAAGACCACCCGACTGGTCTGAAAACACGTTGCATGCGATTTAAAGAAGCGTGATTACGGGCCGGTGATAAGGCTTCGAATAAAGTGATGCCGGCTGGGCTCAGTGGCTCACACCTGTAATCCCAGCGCTCTGGGAGGCCAAGGCGGGCGGATCACGAGGTCAGGAGATTGAGACCAGCCTGGCCAACATGGTGAAACCACGTCTCTATTAAAAATACAAAAATTAGCTAGGCGTGGTGGCGGGCACCTGTAATCCCAGCTACTCGGGAGGCTGAGGCAGGAGAATCGCTTGAACCCGGGAGGCAGAGGTTGCAGCGAGCCGAGATCACGCCACTGCACTCCAGCCTGGCAGACAGAGCCAGATTCTGTCTAAAAAAAAAAAAAAAATGATGGTGCCAAGCAGCCGCAGGTCGGACAGCAAGGCACGCTTTAGTACAGAGGCGGCGAGGTGAAGAGCAAAGCGTGAAGTGGGAAAGACATTGTGAACAAGTAGTAAGATAAAAAATAAATCTGTATTATACATGAATCAATTCAGCAGGTAACTCTATAAAAGCCAAGTTATTTAGAAATATAAGAACTTAATAAAAGCAGGATCCCAGATGGTCCCATGCTGGGTACCATCTTCAGAATCAGACCTCCCTCATCCTGATCATGCTACTTGGGTCCAGGGACCCTCTCCTGTCCCCTCTCTCACCATCGAGAAAGTCTGTCAGCCCCGGGATCTTCCAGGAAGGGGTCCCGTAGCCTGAGCAGAGAATGCAGCAGAGAAGGCACCTGAGCCGGCCAGGGCTGTGTCAAAAAGCAGCAGAGACCTGGCGCTTCAACAGCAGAAGTGTGTCCTCCCACAGTCCTGGGGGCTGACGTCAGAGCCATGTCCCCAGGGCGGGCTCCTTCTGGCACCACGCTCCCTGGCTCTTTGGCGGTCATCTTTCCCCCACTCTTCCCATCATCATCCCTCTATGTGTCTCTGTCCACATTTCCTCTTCTTGTATTGGGCTAGGGCCTAATATAAGACCCTAGCGACCCTCATTTTAATTTAGTTACCTTTACAAAGATGCTACCTCCAAATAAGATCACACTGAGGACCTGGGGCTAGGACTTCAGCAGATGAATTTTGTGGGAGGGACATGGTTCAGCCCCTAGGAGAGGGCAGCATCTCCCATACAGTGGCTCCTCACGTGCTCCTGGCTGTGCCATCGGCCCCCCTGGTTTCCAGAGCTCCAGGCCTGGGCAGGTCCCTCCATGGAACTGGGCATCCACTCTGAGCAGTGCCTTGACCTCAACTGAATGATAGCATGGTCCCCACCAGCACCCTCAGCCTCGTTCCATTGCCTCCTGGCAGCTATGCCCTGAGGCGAAGGCCTCGGGGTTCCCAGCTGAAGCCCAGAGGAGCAGGCACACCCCCGGCGCTGGGTGGCGTGCTCTCGGGGGAAGGCATGGGGAGGGCTCAGGCAGCCTACAGCCCTCAAGTCTTACACTGGCACAACAGCGCTTGGTTTGCGGAGCAAGAATGATCTGGAGTGTTTGGGGAACATCTCACAGCCTCCTGAGCCCCTGCATCCTACATTCACCCATGCGCCTAGTGCCTTGAAGGTTTACATTTATTTGGCTCCACTGCATACAGGGCACCGTGCAGGGGTCCTCTGAAACCCCGGGAGGCCCGTGGAGCAGACCTCTGCTTCGTGCTTTGCTGAAGTGGGTGTGGAAACAGCAGGCGCAAGGTGCCCAGGACTCGGGGTGTGCAGGTGGCCGCTCAGTCTCAGTCCCCCCGTGGGGCACCTGCACGAGGCCTTCCCTGCACTTCATTCTGTCCCCACCCGTTCACGTTGTCTAGGGAAGAGCCTGCTGCAGTGGGTGTGTGGGGTGGAAGGACTCATTCCAGAGCCCAGTTCGTGTCAGGGGCCAAGGGCCAGGCCCCCGGCATAGAAACTGGGCCGAGGAGTGGGTCAGGGAGCCTTGGGGAAGGCTGTGCAGGGGGGCCGTGGTAAGAGTGGGGGCCGGGGAGGTGGAGACGAGGAGATAGCATTCTCTTCACACACCACCCCGGATCCAGCCAGCGGGGGGCCCTTCTGCACTTCCATGTCCTTTTTTGTTGGTTTGTTTTGAGACCGAGTCTCACTCTCTCGCCCAGGCTGGAGTGCAGTGGCGCGATCTCGGCTCACTGCAACCTCCACCTCCTGAGTTCAAGTGATTCTCCTGCCTCAGCCTCCCAAGTAGCTGGGATTACAGGTACCTGCCACCACACCCGGCTACTTTTTGTATTTTTTTTTTTTTTTTTTAGTAGAGATGGAATTTCAACATATTGGCTAGGCTGGTCTCAAACTCCTGACCTCAGGTGACCCACCCGCCTTGGCCTCCCAAAATGCTGGGATTACAGGAGTGAGCCACCACGCCCGGCCCCTTGTCATTTTGCTAGAACCTGCACAGTCCTTAGTGACGTCCTTGCCTCTGGCAGGATCCCCTGGCTGGGCCCTGCTGCCCCCCTCACTTTCCTCAGTCCCTGCTTTCCAGTGTGAAAGCTGTCAGAATCAAAATGGAGACACTTGTCTTAAACAAAACAAAACAAAACCCCAACCAATAGAGCTGGGAACAGCCCTGACGGTATTCCCCATAAAACCATCACAGAAGACAGCAAACACCACAATCGTGAGCAAAGTCCATCACAACCTCACACAAAAAACACTTCTGTGAGGACACCTGCCCAACCTCAGACTGTTACCACCCGTGTTCTCGATTCCTGTGGCAAGGATAAATATCCCAAAACAATTCTGTGATTCTCTTCACTTTGCCATTAAAGCCTCTGTGCTTTTACCTCCCTGAAAACGCACAGCGGACTCCAGCATACGTATTTGCACGCAATGCCCGACTCCTGAACGAACCTCGTTTTCATTTGGAGAGCCTCTCTGGCGGTGGTTCGGGTGGACGCTAGTGTGGACATGGCATTGGGAAAACGCTGCCTGTGCACCAGGGCTGCCTGTTGCTCCAGGGGTGCTCACTGCTTCCAGGCCCGTCCGTGGACAGAGCTAGATATCCAATTGTTTTTAAAGGGAAAACACAAGGCCAGGCGTGGTGGCTCACACCTGTAATCCCAGCATTTTGGGAGGCCGAGGCCGGTGGATCACCTGAGGTCAGGAGTTCAAGACCAGCCTGGCCAATATGGTGAAACCCTGTCTCTACTAAAAATGCAAAAAAAAAAAAAAAAAAAAAAAAAAAAATAGCTGGGCAAGGTGGCAGGCTACTCTGGTGGCTGAGGCAGGAGAATGGCTTGAACCCAGAAGGTGGAGGTTGCAGTGAGCTGAGATCACACCATTGGACTACAGCCTGGGTGACAGACCAAGACTCTATCTCAAAAACAAAAACAAAAATAAAAAACACAGAGGGTTCCTGTTGCTACTTCCAATTCCAAACCAGAATGACCTTCTCCTGTGCAGAGAATCCCAGATTTCAGGGCAAAGGAGGGGAAGGACAAAGTAGAAAGTCACACAACTGTGCCTGCTTGATCCAAAGCACACACGACAGTCTCACAGCCCAGTGCTAGTCCGCTACCCACAGTGCAATCACTGCAAACAGCTCCAGTTGTTTCCTCAAGTTCCTTTGGTTCTGGGATATAACCCACTAGGGCTATATGTAAGCTCCGAGGATTGGCTTTTAATATTCCTGGCAGCTGAGAAGAACAAGGTGCCGTGAAGAGCCACAGCCCCTCCAGAAACTGCACCTGGGCAGCGGGCCGTGTGGCCACAGCTGAGACCCTGAGGAGTGGGTCCCCAGGGGACTGGTCTCGGGGAGAGGGGCTGCCTCTTAAAACACGACGATGGACAGACAGATGGATACGTTCAACAGCAGCATGAACAAGTTCTACAACTAGAAATCATTATTTGTAAAGGAAAAACCCATTTACGAGTTGAATCAGAGGAGAGGCTCGTGTCTCTGAGTTCTGAATTCATGTGGGGAGGAACAAATAGAGGAATTACCTGAAACGTAAAGCAAAAATACTGCCTCGAGGAAGTTATGAGGGAAAAGAGATTTTGAGAACAGATCCAGTAGCCCCATATGCAAATAATAGGGAAATAAAATATAATAGAAAAAAGGCCGGGCGCGATGGCTCACGCCTGTAATCCCTACATTTTGGGAGGCTGAGGTGGGCAGATCACTTGAGGTCAGGAGTTCGAGACCAGCCTGGCTAACATGGAGAAACCCCATCTCTACTAAAAAATATAAAATACAAAAAATTAGCCGGGCATGGTGGCAGGCACCTGTAATCCCACCTACACTCGGGAGGCTGAGGCAGGAGAATCACTTGAAACCATGAGGCAGAGGTTGCAGTGAGCCGAGATTGTGCCACTGCACTCCAGCCTGGGCAACATAGTGAGACCCTGTCTCCAAAATAAATAAATAAATAAATAAATAAAAGAAGACGGACTGATGTTTACAAAGCATTCAGAGGAAAGGGCTCTGCCCTGACACTCTATACCCCAGCATGGATAATAATAATAATCAGTGATATAATAATAGCCGATGCCCATGGACAGTTTTCCCTATCCAGGCACAGCTTCAGTGTTGTCTGAGCTTGTTTAATTTGTTTCCTCTCCTTAAGGAGAAACATATTAGAATTATCTCCATCTCACAAGCACAGACAGGTCAAGTGACTTATGCACCATCACACAACCAGGGTTAGAAACCAGAAAACCGGGCCAGGTGCGGTGGCTCACGCCTGTAATCCCAGCACTTTGGGAGGCCGAGGCGGGCTGATCACGAGGTCAGGAGATCAAGACCATCCTGGCTAACACAGTGAAACCCCGTCTCTACTAAAAAAAAATACAAAAAATCAGCCGGGCGTGGTGGCGGGCGCCTGTAGTCCCAGCTACTTGGGAGGCTGAGGCAGGAGAACAGTGTGAACCCAGGAGGCAGAGCTTGCAGTGAGGCGAGATGGCGCCACTGCCCTCCAGCCTGGGCGACAGAGCGAGACTCCGTCTCAAGAAAAAAAAAAAAAAAAAAAAAAAAAAAAGGAAACCAGAAAACCTGGCTTTGGGATGGGTCTGTGTTCTCAGCCACTCTCTCACTGCCTCTGCAGATAGAATGCATGGGTCACAGAGAAAGAAAGACATGTCCAGGTTGGCAAGGATGAAGGGAAGATAACCTCCGGACCCTCCTCTGAGCAGACGAGCATGGACTTAGCACAGAGCCGGCAGGAGGAAGAGGAAGGAGGGCTACTCACCTCCGTGAGACATTCAAGGCGACGTGAGAGCCACCGGAAAGTGAGGTTTGAGTGTGGAATCAGGAGCATGCGATAGAGAGGCATCCCACGGCTGACCTCCTAGGCCTGGGGGTGTAAGTGGCCAGAAGCCCCCGGGGGCTCAGGCGCGGTGGGGAGAAGGTGCACCCAGTCCCTGGTGGAGGGTGGCGTTCCGGTTCCTGTCCTGCAGGACTGGGAATCTGATGTTGAGGATGCAAGGGAACAGCGCCGCCTGGTGGCATCGGAACACCGGGACCACGCGGGGACCCTGAGCAGGAGCGAGCCCTCGGTGGAAACCGGGAGAGAAGCCTGAGCCAGCTGCAAACCCAGGCAACTGCAAAAGAGCCACAGGAGGAAGAATGGGGAGGACCAGGAACCCGCAGAGCGGGAATCGGATGCGGGCTGCACTCCTCGTTAAAAGACCACCCGACTGGTCTGAAAACACGTTGCATGCGATTTAAAGAAGCGTGATTACGGGCCGGTGATAAGGCTTCGAATAAAGTGATGCCGGCTGGGCTCAGTGGCTCACACCTGTAATCCCAGCGCTCTGGGAGGCCAAGGCGGGCGGATCACGAGGTCAGGAGATTGAGACCAGCCTGGCCAACATGGTGAAACCACGTCTCTATTAAAAATACAAAAATTAGCTAGGCGTGGTGGCGGGCACCTGTAATCCCAGCTACTCGGGAGGCTGAGGCAGGAGAATCGCTTGAACCCAGGAGGCAGAGGTTGCAGCGAGCCGAGATCACGCCACTGCACTCCAGCCTGGCAGACAGAGCCAGATTCTGTCTAAAAAAAAAAACAAAAAAAAAAACGGTGGTGCCAAGCAGCCGCAGTTTGGACAGCAAGGCACGCTTTAGTACAGAGGCGGCGAGGTGAAGAGCAAAGCGTGAAGTGGGAAAGACATTGTGAACAAGTAGTAAGATAAAAAATAAATCTGTATTATACATGAATCAATTCAGCAGGTAACTCTATAAAAGCCAAGTTATTTAGAAATATAAGAACTTAATAAAAGCAGGATCCCAGGTGGTCCCATGCTGGGTACCATCTTCAGAATCAGACTAATTTAGTAGATGACAAATAAATAAATTAGATTTTAGAGAATTGAGCCACGTAATCAGCAAACTCGATTTAATAGTTGTGTAAAACATCCCCTACTTCACATAGAGACAGTTTTTCAAAGTCCCATTGAGCATTTATAAACATTGATGATGTTTATAGTTGCAAAGAAAACCTTAAGAAAATTGAAAAGGTAGATTTTTTTTCTAGCTGTATTCTAGAAAAATTAGAAATAATAAATTTTTGCTCCTCTACCCCCAGAAACCCTCACTACATGGAAAGTAAGCAATATACTCTTAAACAGCACTTTTTATGTTACAGAATAGGTTTAGCTGCATGGCTGAGAACAACCAGAAGAGTGGATCACCATGATGGAAATAAAAATAACTTTTTTGTTATTTCTAACACAAAAGTCTGGGCTGTGTGGTGGGCGGGGAGCTGGGTGCTCTCTGAGCACCTAGGCTTCACCATGCTGCTGGTCCACTGTCTCATGGGGTGTCCTCCTCCACACAGTCCCAGCTTGCTCACCACCACACCTGTACCCCAGCAGAAAGACACGGAGGGTGCCATCACTTCTGCTCATACCCCATTGGCCAGACATAGTCACATGGCCATGCCTGACTCAGGGGATGCTGGGAGATGCAGCTTTTATCCTGGGTGGAAGTGGACCCAGTAAACACCAAGGCTGCTGTTACTACAGGGAAAGGGGAGAGGAGATTTGGGAAGAGAATCACTCTGTATGACATTCTTGGAATTAGAATGAAAGCTGGAATTAGAAACTAATCTGACAGCCACAAAAAGGGAAGCTCCTCAGTAAGAAACAAGAAAGCCTTAAATACTTTCAGTATTGAAGAAGAAAGACTACAAGAAAGGAATCGATGTATCACTTTAAGAAAGTATTAGAGGCTGGGCGCCACCCCCAGTGGCTCACGCCTGTAATCCCAGCACTTTGGGAGGCTGAGGTGGCTGGATCACTTGAGGTCAGGAGTTTGAGACCAGCCTGGCCAACATGGTGAAACCCCATCTCTACCAAAAATACAAAAATTAGCTGGGCGTGATGGTGGGTGCCTATAATCCCAGCTACTTGGGAGGCTGAGACACGAGAATCTCTTGAACCTGGGGAGGCGGAGGTTGCGGTGAGCCAAGATCATGCCACTGCACTCCAGCCTGGGCTATAGAGTGAGACTCAATCTCAAAAAAAAGAAAGTATTAGAAAAAGAGATGAAAGTGACAGAGATAAAAGATGAAATTAAACAAATAGAAAGCAAACGAAAACAGGAGAAAGTACTCAGAAGTCCCCGAGTTGGTTCTTTGAAGACACCACAAAGTAGACACATCTGTCATAAACCTGATTAAGAAATAAAGCAAGCAAAAAAGACACAATGAAAAACAAGAAAAGAGTTGGGACTAAAAAATGGGAAGAGGTTTAAAATATTTTTTTAAAAAAACTTCATAGAACTCTTTATATAACTCTTCAATAAAGTTGAACCCCAAGAAAAAAAGAGATGACTTCCTAGAAAAATATGAATTAAATATATAACATATACTAAAATATAAATATAAGTGGGTAAAATTGACCTAAGACAAAGTAGATGACGTGAGCATCTCGTTACCATAGAAGAGATGAGAACGTGGTCGCCAGGGCTGGGGGTGTGTGTGACTGTGATGGGCACGGAGTTTTTTGGGGGATGATGAAAAAGCTCTGCAGTTAGAGAGTGGTGATGGTTGTACAAATGTGAAATACAAAAACCCAAAGAACAGCACTTCAAAATTGTTAAAATGGTGAATACTATGTTATGCGAATTTTATCTCAATTTATAAAAAGGAGTCACGGAGAAGGCTCTGTGGAAGAGACCAGGAAGGAGTCTTCAGGGAGGAGGAAGTGAAACCAGGCGACAGTGTTGACAGGGGCATCGAGGGTGAGGGGATTTGCAGAGAGCATACGTGTGGGGTCTGGTGCACACCCAGGGCTTCCCATCGTCCTGGTCACCGGGTGCTCAGCTTGGCTCACAGAGTGTTCTTGCCCTGTCTGGGGTCCCTGCTGACCTGTGAGCCTGTGTGAGAGGGAGCAGTGAGCTGTGTCCGTCTGACACCCTCTGCATCCCAGGTCCGAGCAGAGAGCTGGCCACCCTGATGCTCACCGGGCAGAGAAGAGAGGATGAATGAAATGAATGAATGAATGAACAAGAAATAGGAGGAAAACTGGAAAATAGCCGTCGATGTTGGTGGTGTGGATGTCACAGAGACTTGTCAAAGGCGTCTCTGGGGTGTGGTGGAGGGTGGACTGAGCCATCTGTGAGGGGAACAGGGTACCAGGCCTCACTGGGGTGTGGAGGGAGGCCAAGGGAGGGTGCTTATCCTCTGGAAGGGGGATCAAAACGATTCTAAATCATACATGTCTGGAGCCCCCAGTCTGAGTTGGGAAAGGGAGGTAGGGGGTGGGTAAGGGGGAGGGGAGAGGTGGGCCTCGGCCCCTGCAGGGGCTCTGGGCCTGGGGGGCTGGAGCAGCAGGAAGGAAGGTGAAATGGGTGTGGTGGCTGGAGGCTGGGAAGTGGAGACCCTGGCTGCCTCCTGGCCTCTGTTTTCTCTGAGCAGTGAGAAAATAGCTGTTCTCGGAGAGTGAGGGGCAGTGGGAGAGTGATGGTCAGGGGAGCCACCCCTGGAAATGGGCAGGAGCTGAACAAGACGTGGGGGCCTTGCAGGGCCAGAGGCTTCCCTGAGCCCCGTCCTGGGCCCCTCCAGCTCACTCGCGGTATGGGCTTGGCACTCTTGAGACACCTGGACTTTTGATTTTGAAGCCATCTTGAAGGGCACCTAGAGACACCTGCACCCAGCCCAATGTCCTCTCCAGCGTCTCGGGCAGGGGGGCCTCTCAACCACCTTTGCCAGCCACCTTTACCTAGACACACCTGCACCCAGCCCGATGCCCTCTCCGGAGTCCCTGGGGCCCCTGTCACCACCCTTCCCAGCTACCTTCACCTAGACACACCTGCACCCAGCTTGATGTCCTCTCCAGCATCCCTGGGGACCACGCTAACCACCTTTGCTGGCTGCCTTCACCTAGACACACCTGCACCCCACCCAATGTCCTCTCACCACCCTTGCCGGCTGCCTTCTGGGATGGGGTGAAATGGGGTGATCAGCCCCTTGGGAAGCTGTTGCTCCTGGATTTTTCTCGTCGTGAAAAAGCACTTCCTTACATGGATCCCATTTCTTCTTTGAACCGTCCACCGAATGTGGCCCTCGGCAGCTGCACTGGCCATGTCCTCTCTCTTCCCTGTGACAATGTTTTGACCGCTGGGCAGATCCTGTGGCCTTGCAACTTTTCTCTCTGCTAAGTGCCGTGTTCTCTTCTCCCAGGTGGACAGGGCACAGGCAGCGGAGAGAAGCCGTGTAGGGCCGGGTCCCGTGTTCCACCAAGCATGACACCATAAAACACTGGCGAACGATCAGGGCCAGGCCCCGTGTTCCACCAGGCATGACACCACAAAGCACTTGCAAGTGATTTTATGAGAGTCATTTTTTCTCTTCCATTTTCGTATACAAATCTAATCTTTGGAGAACCCTCTCCCTTCTAACTCACATATTATGGGCTTTCATCAATAATAATATACGATCAATTACTCAAATGTAATTGATTAGTCGAGAGAACCGTATTTCCCCTCTTAGTTTGTGTCTGACTGGTTATAAAGCACAGCCATTGCTGTGGGTGGTGGCCCTGCCCTTTGGCCGTGGGCTATCTTTACCTTTTAGCTGAGATTCAATTTATATGCAATTTGCTAACGTTAGCTTAAGAAAAATCCAAAAGGGCACTTTGCGGCCCAGCCCCGCAGAGGACACCAGCCCGGCTTTGCTAAGTGGCCTGCGAGGCGGGCCTGCGGCTGAAATGGCCTTTTGCGCTGGCTCTCAGCTTTGTTCATCTTTATTTGGCCACACAGATAATTTTTTGTCATCAGAAAGTTGAGTTCCACAAATCCAATATCCCCCAATTCAATAAAGAGAATCAGAGCCTGTTTTGACCAGTCTGCATCTCTCTCGGCTGAAACAAACCCGTGGTGTTTTACCAACATGGCAGCGATGCCCAGACAGCGCCCAGCACAACAGCACAGGGAACCGCAGGCCCCGGCCCAGGACACCATGGCCTCCCATGTGCAGGGGAGAGCGGAGGCTCCTAGCACCCGGGCTTGTGCCTCTCACAACCGCTGACCTGTCTGCCTGTCTCCACGTTCCCGCCTGGTGATGTGGTTGGCTCAGGGCGGGCAGGATCCTGGGAGTGCAGGGCCTGTGCCAGAAGGCTGGAGCGCAGCCTGTGCGGTGACGCTAACTGCGCCTCTCTGGCTTCCTGGGAGAAAGGTGGGCGGCAGGCCCCGACACTGGGGGCTTAGGAGGTGTCTGCAGGTTGGCCATGTCTACAGCCAGGTTGAGACTCCTGAAGAAACAGAGTAGAAAGAGGGGCTCCTTTGAAGCCCCATGTCCCTCAAGGCCCCATGCAGATGCTCCCCGTCCACGTCAGCTTCACCATCGCCCTGGCAAGGATTAATTTCTCCTTCCCACCAGTCCCACAGAATGGAGCTGATACCTCTCTTTAAGTCCTATCAGACAGGAAGAGAAGAACACGAGGAAGAAGGGAAAATAGCGAAACCTGCACCCATCACCTCACAAAGCACATCAGGGTCATTGTCTTCAAGGACCCTGGGAGGCCAGTGGTGCCGTCTCTCTGGCGTCGCCTCTCCTCTGTCCTCGTCACACTCAAAGGCCGGGAAAGGATGGCTTTGGTGAGAAGATAATTCCTCGCTGATGATCCACTTTCTCACTTCCCATGTGTCCCTCTCTGGGCTTTGACCTCAGGACAAGCCAACAAGTGCCTGTTCCGGTTTCACAGCTGCTGGCAGGAGACATGAAGCTCCCGGGTCAGAGACAAAGAATGCCACCACTCCCAGCTCAGCAAGCACAGGAGTGTCACTGCCCCGTCCATTTCCTGGTCCCTGAGTCCCACAAGAGTGATTCAGAGGGTGACACTACACACGCAGCCGGTTTGCTGCGGAGGAACACGGGGCTGGGGCGTCTGCTGCTTTTAGAGCAGGCCTGCCCTTTGTCCAGGAGGGAGGTATCGCTGTATCCTCCAAGGTTGCTGCTACAAACCAACTCTGAGAGATGGTCTGGGGACAGGGTGGTCAGGGTCTTGCCTTCCGGGCACCCCAGCATGAATGTGCAGGACCGCCAGAGCCACAGTGGAGTGCCTCACCCAAGCCCTTTGGCCCCCAGGCCCTGCAATCTGGCTTCTCCGACACCCTAAGGCTTCTTACCAAGTCACTCCACTCCTGGTCCTTATCCTACTGGGTCTTGAGTGTTGATGCTGCTGGCCACGCCTCCCTGCTTGGACTGGGGTCCTCTGTTGGTCTTGGGTCATCATCCACCTGACCCCTGCCCAGCTGTCTCGCTGCTTTTTCTTAGTCCCCTTCATGTTCAAGTCTTATGTGCTGGGGGCACAGGGTACCCCGCAACACTGGCCTGCTATTCTCCTCTCTCCCTGGAGGGGAACATCCACTTATAGGGCTACAACCACCGTCGAGTTCTCCTGCCTGCTGGAAAGGCTTCTTCACCCTCATGCCGCTGTCAGCTGGAGCCGCAGCCTCTCAGGCCATTGCTGTGGGTGTGCTACCTTCTCCTGGGCCACCCACATTTTCCTTCTTGTCTGTCACCCACCCCTGCCCGCCCAGACCAGGAGCTCTCTGAAAGCCTTTCTGGAACAAAGAGAGAAATAATATACACCCATGTGTGTGCACTTGTACACACACACACACACACGCACACTCCAAGCTCCCTGAGGAAGGACCTGCGTCTTGTTGTCCCCAAGGCACCCTCAGCATTTAGCACTGGGCACTCAGTGGCCCAGTCATTTCCAAATTACTGAATCAACTCTTGAGTACTTACCGCAGCCAGTTGCCGCAAGATTAGATAAGATAACCCATGTGAAGTGCTTAGCAGGAGGGCTGGCTCTGTGGAGCCCCCCACCCAGTAACCACCGTTTCTAAAAGTGTTCTCAGGAGGTGAGAAGTGCAGGTGCCCCTCCTCCATAAGCCTTCTCTCCGAGGGCTTCCTGCAAAGTCCCCTCCAAGGAGCTGGTTCCCCAGCATTCCCTGGAGACAGAATCAGAAGAACCACACCTACGTTGCAAAGCACACTTCTAAGCACTTGCCTCAAAAAAGCCCCCCTCAACCCTGTAAAGAGAAAGAGGATGAATGGTGAGCTCCTGTTTGCAGACGCTGAGATGGTGTCACAGCTTTCACATTGCTTCAGCTAGAGGCAGAGGTATGCCCAGGGTGAGGGCCCCACCTGGGCTGCAGATGCCTCCATGGCCCTCTGCAGTCTCTGGTGTGATGGACTTAACATGTGTATCTCCCCTAAGCCCCCGTGTGATGGTGTCTGGAGACCAGGCCTCCGCAGGGTGAGCAGGTATAGATGAGGTCGTGAGGGTGAGGTCCTCCTGACAGAATCCCTGCCTGTCCAGAAGACATAAGCGTGTGCTCTCTCTCTCTCTCTCTCTTTCTCTCTCTGTCTACCCACAGGTACCAAGAAAGGCCACCCAAGGCCTTAGGGAGAAGGCAGCTATCTGTGCTCCAGAAGGAGGCCTCACCAGGAATGGAACGTGGCTGAACCTTGAGGTTAGACTTTGCAGTTTCCAGAACTGAGAGGAATAACTGTTTGTCGCTTAACCTCCCAGTCTGTGGCATTTTGTGATGGCAGCCCTGAGCTAAGAGACCTGGATTCCTGAGGGTGACAGAGTAAGGGGACCCCCGGGGGGTGGCCTCGCACCGCTGGCTACATGGAAGGTATCTGGCACTGGAGTTCTCTGCTCTGAACCTGGCCTGTAAGGCACAGGCAGGGCAGAGGGCATCTGATGTCCCTCTGCAAGTGCCACCTGGACGGGCGGTGGTAAATCCCAGCCTGACCGAGTGTTGACCCCGGTGAATGGCAGCAGCGTCCACCCTGGCTCTGTAGGGGCGGCCTCTGTGCAGCTGAAGGCGTCCGTCCTGAGGGGCCGCCTGACCCCTGGCCTCACCCCCCAACAGGGCGGCGGCCAACTTGTGAACAGGAGCGTTTCGGCCCCGGCTCCTGAAGCCTGCCGTGGAAGCCCTGCGCCATGCCCGGCCCTCGTTCCTCAGGGCCTCAGGCTGGAGTGGCGGGGAGGGTGGGCGAGGCTCCTGCCTGGCTGCATGCTGGCACTGTCAGAATCGTGGAGTTTTCCAAGCTGGAAAACGGAGACTTAGTGACTTGCAAAGGGGCTTTCCAAGCCTCAGGCCTGCATCGGATTCCTGTGGCTGCTGTCACAAAAGCCCTGCTCACCAGGGCCTAAAACAGCAGAGACGGCTCCATCCCAGGCCAGGGAGCGGCAGCGCCACATCAAGCAGGGCCAGGCTCCCTCCCATGGCTCTGGGGAGGCTCCTGGTGGCTCCCTGGCCTCCTCCTCCTGAGTCAGTCTGTGTGTCCCCATCTCCTCTTGCAGTTCCACTGGATCAGGGCCCACCTTGCTCCAGCAGGACCTGCTCTTAACTGATGACACCTGCAATGACCCTACTTCCAAAGAAGGCCACATTCCCCAGGCGCTGTGGGTTAGGACTTTAACATCTTTTGCAGGGGACGTAAGTCAAAAGCCTCCCTGGGGCAGCACCCCCGGAGGCCCCGGAACAGGCGCTCCTGGGCCTCTCCCCTTGTGGCTGCTTTTGTCCCCAGGGTTACTGGCATTTCCTCCTAGTTCTCCCTGGGACATAGCAGAGGAAAAAGTCCCCAGCAGGGAATGGAGCAGGTGATGGCTTTCCACCCGCACCGTGATCCATGCTGACCCTGCACCAAGGGGTAGGCGCACCTTGTCAGCTGCCTGAATCCCAAGAAGGGGGTGGGTTTCTGAGGATCCTGGCACACTGGAGCGGGGGCTCCCAGAGAAGCAGCCGTGTGCATCATGGGCAAGGCCGCGTGCAATGCCAGCGTGGCGCCGTGGCTCACTGAGTTCTGTTGAGTGGGAGATTAGAGGACAGAAGAGGAGGAGGCTCCGGGCCTCGGGCTCCCAGGATCCCCTCACACTCTGGGGTGTGAACCCAGCTCCACTGCTTCCTGGCTGCCAGCCCTGGGGCAGGTACTCAAATACTCTGCCTCTGTGTACTCATCCAGAACGTGGGACGATGATACGACCATCCTTACGGGCTGCTACGGTGACTGAGAGGGAAGGCTGGTGCAGCCCCCATGTCTTCAGCCATGGTGGGGAGAATGAGGGGCAGCTCCCCTCTGCGTGTGTGGGTGTGGGGACATGGGGACAACCTGCCCCTGTGTAGCATGAATCACCATCAACAGGACACCTCTGGATATCCCGGTGCTGGAGGGAGGCAGAGGTGAGTGCCTTCACCGTACTGGGATGGGGGCTGCCCGGGTGGAGGTGGTGGGAGGCCTTGGAGATCCCTGGTCCTTCCTGCCCCTCATATCACAGGAGGGGAGTCTGAGGCCTGGGCTTGGAGACTCACCGCAGTAGCACAGCCTGTTGGTGACTGGTTGGGTACTGTGCCCCAAGCATCTTCTGGGGTCAACACCAGGCTCCAGGTAGGCCCCTGAGACCGTGGCTCCCGCTGTGATGTGGCGTGTTGGGGAGGAGCGTGGTGTGGCTGGCAGGGTGGTGCTGTGTGCCCGGGGCAGCTCCTGGGCCGCAGTGTCCCCCTTCCACACTGGTGACAGCCACCCTCCAGCAGGGTGCCAGCGAGAGCTATTTGACGCAGATGTCGGAGTGGAATTTTGCAGTACGAACCCTGACTCTGCCTGGCCACGCGGTGTGGCCAGTGCTTCTGTACACAGCAGCACCTTGTCTGCAGGGAAGGAGGCAAAATTGCACGTCCCCTCCTGGCGAAGGCCACTTGAGGCAGGGCCGGCGCTCACTGAGCCTCAGAAAAGGCAGTCCCCGTTGTTGATGAGGATGGTTGGACCCTGCTGTGGCTTGGGTTGTGGTGTCCTCAAAAATACTGAAGTCCAGCCCCAGGTACTGTGACCTTATTTGGAACGAGGGGCCACTGTAGATGTAATGAAGTTAAATGAGGTCACCTGGGATTTAGGGTGGGCCCTAACCAGTGACTGGTGTCATTATGGGAAGAGGAGAGGAGACGCACAGACGCCAGGAGGTGACAGCTGAGGCCGAGGCTGGAGGGAAAGGCCACAAGCCGAGGGAGGTGAAGGCTGACCGGCGACGCTGGGATCTGTGAGATGCCGGGAAGGACCCGGAGCGTGGTCCTGCCAGCACCTTGATTTCGGACTCTGGCCTCCAGGACCGTGTGAAAATAAATGTCTGCCATTGAGGGCACCCCATTGGTGGGGCTTCCTCCAGCAGCTGTGAGAGACACTCACAGACCCTACCAGGAGACGGCTGCGCCTCTGTGCGTTTTTGCCAAGGTGGCCGTTTGAGGAGAGATGAACTTGGGAGTGGTTCCTCAGGAGCTACACGGCATTCTGTTTCTCCCCCCTGGGGGTTGGTCATTTTATGAGAGAATTGGAGGAAAAAAAATCCCTTCCGACGCTCTAAGCCCGGGCCAGAGTGCCTGGAGCTCAATGGAGCGGGCATAATTTGTTTGCTTTGCAATTCTCTCCCCTCAGTGGAGACAAATTGATTTCTACGTGGAAATGGGCCGTGGCTGGGAGGCGGCGGGCTTGTGAGAGGGCAAGGTTTGCCGGGTTTCAGGAAGGGCTGGTCCGGGCCGGCAGGCCACGGCCCACCCACTGCTGGTGAGAATGTGCCCAGGTGAGCCCCTCCGGGACCCAGAACCCTAAAACTGCTCAGAGAGTTTGCTGTGGAGCCGCGCTGTGCCGAGCCTCTCCCGGTGCTGTCCCAAGCCTCTCCCCACGAGTCTGTGGGTGCAGCTGCTGGCCATGTGTTTACGGAACATCTCCCTCAAACAGAGGGACCCTGGTGGCGCCAACAGAGGCAGGGAAAACATGGGAACGGCGGGCCTGCCCTGGGCTGTGGCCTCCTGAGACATCAGACGCTGAGGGAAGTGTTGAAAGGCTGTATGATGACAGCCGCCATACAGGAAGGCCAGGGCATTGTTTAGCAAATAACAATTAAAAATTTATACTATTACTATTATGATGTCACCCAGAGTGCAGTGCACTGGCGCGATCTCCGCTCACTGCAACCTCCACCTCCCAGGCTCAACCAGTTCTCCCGCCTCAGCCTCCCGAGTAGCTGGGACCATAGGTGCACGCTGCCACACCCGACTTTTTACAATTTTTGTAGAGATGGGGTCTCCCTAGGTTGCCCAGGCTGGTCTCGAACTTCGGGGCTCAGGTGATCCTCTCACCTTGGCTTCCCAAATTGCCATAATTATAGGTGGAGCCACTGTGCCCAGCCTAAATAATTATTTTTTTTAAAAAGCCCAACTACTTAATATTCCACAAGAGGAGACAACAATCCCAGCTGCTATACCGAAGAATGAAGCTGATGTCTGGGAAATTCTCGCGTCCACCAGGCGGGGGGGTCTTCCTGGGTCTCATCTGGCCTCACCTCTGCACCATCCCCAATTGGTGAGTCCCAGTCACTCCCCGCAAGGGGGCCTCTAGGATGCCATGAGATGCAGCCGTGAGCAGGTGTGCATGGGAAGAAGGTTCGTGCTGGAGAAGTGCCTTTTCATGGGATCTGTGGCAGCAAAGTGCAGTGCCAATGACTCACGGCAAACACCCGCCAGGAGAGGTGCTCAGGAGAGCCACCCTAGAGGGCTGCTGGCACGAGGCGCTCAGGAGAGCCACCCTAGAGGGCTGCTGGCACGAGGCGCTCAGGAGAGCCACCCCAGAGGGCTGCTGGCACTTGTCCCTGGGCTGTCATGACATGGGCAGTGTTCATTTCGTTTCTCTAAATGTTTAGTCTTTTTCAAATTTTCTGTGGTGAGCATTGGTTATAGTTTGAATCTGGAGAAAGATGGTTGAGTGGACTCAGCATTGATTTGGAGAAAGTCATCTTATTTCTGAGTGGGGAACCTGAGCTGGGGACCCTCAGGGGGTCTTGAGGGAGCTGCCTGTCCTCAGCTGGCCCAGGTGTCCCACATGGAAAAGTCAGAACTTGGCTGGACGTCGGCAGTCTATGGTTCAGATGTGGGCAAGACCTGACTTATCCAGGGAGTTCACAACCCCACCCCTCCCCTCCTTTTTGGGCAACTCAGAGAAGGAGCTTGATTTCTCTGAACCTCAGTGTCTTCATCTACGAAATCAGCATTGCATCCAGTTCATGGGGAGAATCCACACCAATGCTAGGCAGGTTCCGCCATAAGCAGAAGGCACCGTGACGCAGTGAGACGCACCGCTGAGCTGAGGAGGAGCAGCAGGCCACCCTCTAGAGGCCCTGGCTTAAATTCATTTTTCATTTAATTCAAGTTTACAATTGAGATCTGCTTGCCCATGGAGAGTTTATACATGGGCTTTTGAAAGTATCTGATCCCATAACACAAAAGGTCCTACACAGCTTATAGAGACACTGCAATAAGGCAGGATGTAATTAATAAGTGATGGAATTCAGGCAAAGAGAAAACATGAAGGGAAAAATAAGAGAAAGTCGGAGGTAAGAACCAGGTAGAGGCCACAGCCCTACACAGGCATGTGGGCTTCAGACCAAAGGTGGAGAAAGGATCCTTGTATGAGTCCCAGAGTCCCCCATCTGCAGCTTCAGTTATGCACAGGAAAGATGGCATCCTCATTCTGGCCGAGTGCAACTGGTAAGACAGAGTGGGTGATGACCGAATGCATTAGGCAGATGTGGATGGGGGACCTTCCTAGGTGTCCTGTGCTGGGGATTCAGGGATGAGCAGTCTGTGGGGCCTGCGGGGGATCCATGTTCCCTGTGCCGCTCACCTGTGCACTGTCCTCAACCTGACCACAGCCCACGTGGCAGGCATCGCCAGTGTCACCTTACTGGTAAGAAATCCGATCGGATTCTCTGATCCTGCCCTGTTCAAGACTAAAATGTGAGTGGAGGAACGCGTGGATTTCAAAGCCTGTGATCCACCCAGCCTCTTTGCACAGAATTTCTTACCAGTAAGCTCCTTGCGCCAGGCCCAGCCTGGAGCAGGCGGCCTTGAATACACGATGAGAACAGGCAGGAAGGTGGGAAGGATGGAGCTGCTGGTTACAGCCTCGCGTCGGGCTTAGCCCATGAGGCTGTCCCGAATGACTGACGGCAGAGAAGTTTGAACAGAAAGAGCAGTGGCCCCATCGGCCCAGAATCTGGGGTCAGGCGGTCTCCGGGCCAAGCCCATGATGCCAGAATTAATATGTAAGATAAACAGACCCCTGGAGGCGCTGATCGCATTCTCCAGGCCCAGGTCAGAGGTCTGCTCTTTAGGTGTGAGAAAAGGTTTAGGGAGTACCAGGGTCAAATATTTGCAGCCCAGACAGGCTGACAATGGGCTGGGTACTGGCCTCCCCCAGGCCAGCGGGGCTCCCTGGCTGTGCTTGGGGGAAGGGGAGCGGTCAGAGTGGACTCATTACTCGGAAAGCCCGAGAAAGTTGTCTGCAGCTGCTCTCGGCTGCCAGAGCACATCAGCATCAGCCTCTGCCCGGGGCCCCCGGGGCCGGGGGCCCCGCTGCCCGCCTGCCCCACAGTTCCAGCCCCCCACCTGCCGCAGTTCCAGGGAGGGGAGGGCTGATCGCCGAGGGCTGGGGCCGTGGGGTGGAGGACTCAGTCCACGGCGCCTCACCCTGCACACGCGGCCCTCAGCTCCAGGACGAGGAGCTCACTGCTTCCCAGGGAACTTGGGAGAATCTGACCATCGGTGACAATGCTGAGGTTTTACCAACTTTCATCAGGCTTTCCTGAATGTGGCCAGAGTGTCAGGCCCCTGCTGTGACCGGGGAGCAGGCCCGGGTGGGGTGTCTCTCCCTGTTTTACGGTTGAGGGCCTTGGTCAAGCCCTGCAGCCTTGAGGTTCCGTTCCTCATCCAGGAAGCCCGCGAGGCACGCTGCAGGCAGGTCCACCGGCCCGCGCATCCCGGGAGGTGGAGGGAAGGGTCTGGCTTTGCTATTTGGTCAATGGCTCCAGCTGGGATTGCAAGGCCTCTTCTCTTAACCCTCGATTGGTATAAAAATCTCATCAGGCATTTCCTCTTCATGTCCTAGCCTTAGGTACAATAGCAGCTGCTGATAATATTCACTGCTGCCGCCGGGCTTGGCTCAAACCACTCTTTGTACATTTCAGAGTCTCTTTCTCAAGAGAGCGAGACAGAAGCCACCCCTCCACCTGTGTGCCCACCGTTAAGTTGGGACTGATTTAAACTAGAAGTGAGCAAGACAAGGCAAGTGTTTGAAATCATACATTCATTCTGATATTTTTACAAGGAAATGTACAACCAGGTCTCATGCCAATAAAACCCATGAGCTGGGGGACATCTGAGCCACAGTCATCACTAAACACTCTCCCCACTGTGGGAATGTCCTCCTTCCCCCAGATGTCCGTCTGTCCTTCCACTCCTGTGCTCATTCGTCAAACTCACCCGCTGAGCACTCAGAGTGGTCCCAGGGACCACCCTGGCAACTAAGGACACAGTGACAACTAAGCTGGGGGTTAGGGCAGTCACGGGCAGGAGAGGATGAAGAGCATCGTGGTGGACGGGGTCAAATGCAGTCACTGGACAGCAGGGGAGTGAGCTCCTCTGCCTCGGGTGGAGTGCAGCATTCAAGGAGGGCTTCTGGGAAGAGAAGGCACAGAGTGGACCTTGAAGGCACATTTGGAGCTCCCCAGGGCACTAGCAGGGGAGAGCATTAATGGACAAGGTGCCTGGGGGTACCTCGTTCCGCCTTTCCTGGATCTGCTCTTTCCTCGCAGGCCAGGAGAAAAAGGCAGAGGAAGGAGAGTGTCTTGAAGATGGACCCGGCTCAACTGGCCTGAGGGGTCTGGGCTGTATCCCTTTTTAAAAATATTTATTTTTTGAAACAGGGTCTTGCTCTGTTGCCCAGGCTGGAGTACAGTGGTGATCATAGCTCACTGCAGCCTCAAATTCCTGGGCTCAACTGATCCTCCTGTCTCAGCCTCCCAAGTAGCTTGGGACCACAGGTACATGCCACCACGCCTGGCTAGTTTTTTTTTTTTTACTTTTCTATAGAGATGGAGGGTCTCAGTATGTTGCCCAGGCCGGTCTTGAACTCCTGACCTCAAGCGATCCTTCTGCCTTGGCCTTTCAAAGTTCTGTGGTTACAGGCGTGAGCTGCCACACCTGGCTGGCTTTATCTCTTCACCCAGAAAGGAGTGCTATGGAGGAGCAGACCTTTGAGATGCCCCACAGAACAAAGAGGGCCCCTTGGTCAAGTAAGTTTTCCGGGATTATCTTGGAGGTTCCCATGGTGGTAAAGCCTCTGAGAAGTCCTGCAGGAAGGAAACAAGCTCACTCTAATCCAGGGCCCCTCAATTTGTTTGACCATGAACGCCTTTTTGCACCTAGGGAACCCCTGGTAGATGGACATAGTGGGGTGCATGGGCGCTGGTGACCAGCCTTGATGGTACAATCTGTGCATGGTTGTCACTCACAACAGCACCTGCGGCCATCCAGCACCTCCAGCGCTCCTCCCCTACGAGAGGAGGCTGGGGCGGGAGCAGAGATGACGTCCACCCAGGCCTGCCCCGGTGAGGGTTTGAATGCTTCAGGGACACCTGCTTCTCTGAGCTTCTTGACCACTGGAGAGTTGGGAGAGGAGGGAGGGGACGGGAGGAGCTTGCAGGGAATGAGCCTGTGTGAGCCAGCCCTCAGGCTCAGCTAGGCCCGCTCAGGCCGGGGAGAAGCCCGTGGTCTAGCCCAGGGCAAGAGGCTGGTGGGGCCAGGGAGGAGAGTATTTTGTGGCCAGGACGTCCACTCTGATGCCCGTGCTGGGAGTCAGGACTGCAGTTCCCCTACCCTGACGGCCACCTTCTCACCCAGGCAGTCCGTCAGAGTCCTCTGCCTGGCCGGCCTTGAGGGCCTTGAGGGCCTTGAGGGACGAGCGTAGATTCCTCCTGGCCCCTGAGCAGAATGCCCCCTGCCCAACCCAGCTCTGGTGCGGCCAAAATAGGAAGCAGATCCTTCTGCATCCCTAGATCCAGCGATTCAAACCCAAGTGGGCCGTCCTCCGAGAAAGAGAGGGACAGAAACCCCAGCTCCCAGGAAGATGTGGGTAAGGATGCCTGATTCGCCCAGCGGGAAGGACAGGTGTTTGGGGTGGAAGCCCCAGGTCGGGGGTGGCCAGCATGGCCAGTGGCTTCCCAGGGGCTTGAGGGCTAGAACCTGGGGCACCAGCTTTGCACAGAGCCTGCGGGCCGGCAGCCAAAGCGGGCTGCTCCCAGCTTCTGCCAGCCTTGGTGTCCTCGTCGCGAAGGTGACCGTGGGCCTGGGTCCCCAGGCAGGGTTGACTGAGCACCTCCTCAGCTGGTCCTGGGATGAGAAGGCCAAAAGAGGAAAGCACCTCTACCCCAAGCCAGACCGCCTGGCTCAGGCAGTAGAGCTGTAGAGCAGGCTGGCTAACAGTCACAGCCGCCGAGCTGGCTGTCATGAGGATGAGTTCCTCTCCTGGAGGGACTTTGCCACCCCTGCTGCCTCCACCCCTTGGCCTGGCTCCCTTCTGCTCCCTCAGACCCGGCCCAGAACACCATGTCCCCACAGCAGAGCAAGATCTCAGCAGATGCACGAAGAGCTCCCGTCAAGGGGGAAGTGGAGGCTGGGCTTCCTTCATCTCAGGCTCGCTGCAGGATGCACCATGCGGAAGTCTCAGGTTAAGCTGGAATGAGGAGTGTGACCCCAGCTGGGAAGAGCCTGATGTCTGCCTGTGTCATCAACAAGCCCATGGCAGGCTCTGGTCATGGTTGCTGCTCGCCGGCCCACCCTGGCCCTCTCCCTCCTCCGATCCTTCCCTCCCTCCCTCCTGCCCTTCTCATTCCCTTACCACTCTCCCTCTACCTCTCTCTCTCCTCTCTCCTTCCCTCTCTCCTTTCCTCCCATCATTCCCCTCTCTTTCCCTCTATTTTTCCCTCTCTCACTCTCTCCCTCCCTCCCTCCTTCCTACCCACTTTTCTCTATTCCTTCAACAAGTATTAACTGATCACCACCGGGTGCCATCACTGTCCAAGACTTCAGCGACACAGCAGTGAACACCTGATGTGGAGACAGACCATGCTGTACCAGGTAAGGAAAGGCCGGGAGGAAGCCCACCACCGGAGTTGGGGCATCACAGAGGAGCGTCCTGTGGCCATGGGAACTCAGCACCCAGGCCCGCAGGTCGATGTTTCCATTTAAGGTTATGTGCAGGCAGCTGACCACAGGCGCTTGAGAGCGAGCCCGGTGCTTTTCTCATGCAACCAGGCAGGTGCCCAGGCTGGGGTGGGGCTCCCTCCTGCAGCAGGGGTGGAGTTTCTGCTCCCCGCCACCTCATTGCGGGATCATGTGGCCCTGTTCACGATGGTGTCTGTGCCTCCAGCCACTGGGGTCTGGGCAGGTGGTGGGGGGTGTGACGGGGGAGAACTGTTGATTTCCTAAGAGCCATCATGACAAAGTACTCCAGCCTGGGGGGCTTAAACAGTGGAAGTGTGTCATCTCACGTTCTGGAGGCCGGAAGTCTGAAATCAGGGTGTGGGCGGGGCTGGCTTCTCCTGAGGCCCTGTGGGAGAATGGGTCCCATTCTCTCGCCAGTTCCTGGTGGCCGCAGCCCTGGGCGTTCCTTGGTTCGGGGAAGCGCCGCCCTGACCTCTGCCTTCATCTTCACCAGGCACTGTGCTTGTGCGTGTCTCTGTGTCTAAATTTTCCCTTTCTACAAGGGCACCATTCATGTTGGATTAGGGCCCAACCTGATGACCTCATTTTATTAAGTTTAATTTTAAGTTCTGGGATACATGTGTGGGACGTGCAGTTTTGTTACATAGTTAGACATGTGCCATGGTGGTTTGGTGCCCCTATCAACCCATCACCTAGGCATTGAGCCCCGCATGCATTACCTATTTATCCTGGTGCCCTCCCTCACCACATCCCCCAACAGGCCCTGGTGTGTATTGTTCCCCTCCCTGTGTCCATGCGTTCTCATTGTTCAGCTCCCACTTATAAGTGAGAACGTATGGTGTTTGGTTTTCTGTTCTTGTGTTGGTTTGCTGAGGATAATGACTTCCAGCTTCATCCATGTCCCTGCAGAGGACACAATCTTGTTCCTTTTTGTGGCTGTATAGTATTCCATGGTGTACATGTACCACATTTTCTTTATCCAGTCTATCATTGATGGGCATTTGGGTGGATTCCATGTCTTTGCTATCGTGAATAGTGCTGCGATGAACATACACATGCATGTATCTTTGTAATAGAATGATTTATATTCCTTTGGGTAGTATATTAGTTCGTTTTCAAGGTGCTGATAAATACATGCCCAAGACTGGGAAGAAAAAGAGGTTTAATGAACTCACAGTTCCATGTGGCTGGGGAGGCCTCACAATCATGGCGGAAGGTGAAAGCACTTCTTACACGGCAAGCAGCAAGAGAGAGTGAGACAGAAGTGAGAGAGGAAACCCCTTATAAAACCGTCAGATCTCGTGAGACTTATTCACTGTCACAAGAACAGTATGGGGGAAACCGCCCCCGTGACTCAATTATCTCCCGCTGGGTCCCTCCCACAAAACGTGGGAATTATGGGAGAATAATTCAAGATGAGATTTGGGTGGGGACACAGCCAAACCATATCAGGTATATGCCCAGTCATGGGATTGCTGGATCAATCGGTGGTTCTAGGTCTTTGAGGAATCGCCACGCTATCTTCCACAGTGGTTGAACTAATTTACATTCCCACCAACAGTGTAAATGTTCCTATTCCCCCACAGCCTCACCAGCATCTGTTGTTTCTTGACTTTTTAATAATTGCCATTCTGACTGGCATGAGGTGGCATCTCACTGTGGTTCTGATTTGCATTCCCCTAATGATCAGTGATGGTGAACTTTTTTGCATGTTTGTTGGCTACGTGAGTGTCTTCTTTTGAGGAGTGGATGACCTCATTTTAACTTCTCTGTAGAGGGGCTGCCTCCAAATAAGATCGCATTCTGGGATACTGGGGGTTAGGAATTTGGGGGGACGTAATTCTGTCCATAACAAGGAAGAAGAGAAAAAAGTCTGTCTAGATCACTAGGTCTTCCCCAAGTATCAGGAAAGGGAGGCGCTGCTGTGGCCCCACTCTACGTCCAGCGGGCAGGACCCTGCCGTGCTCCTCCCTAGCTGCAAGGTCTTGTGTGGGGGTGTGGAGTTTGTTTCCTCTCAGCTGAGCATGTTTCCACCCTGACCAGGATGGGGCTCCCATCGGGTTAAAGGAAGAGAGGATGATGGGCATGGCGTGCCCGAGGTTGGAGGGTCATGGTTCTTCGAGCTGACTTCCAGGGATGGGTGGGAAAGGTAGAGGAGACACCAGGCGAGTCGTCCTGGAGAAGCGGCAGAGAGATCACCGGCCTCTGCACAGGGAAGCAGGAGGAACCCTCGTCCCTGGGCCCTGCTGGTGCCGGCCCCCGTGGGCTCTCTGCCTCCATGAGCTCCCGATAACCTGGGCCAGAGGCTGGTGATACAGCAAATGCAGGGGAGATAACTTGCTCTTTTTTGTTTCAAGTGATAAATTCTTCAAGACCCTTATCCATGAGGACAGAGCGGGGTGCCTAGGCAGACTCCCTTCTTACCTGGGTCAGGGCAAGTCCGGGAAGGGACCAGGGCTGGATTTGCCCAGAATGCCCCTTCTGGGGCCCCGGGCTGGCAGAGCCCTAGGGACGGGTGAACCAATTGTAATAGGGCAGTGGCCTCTGCAGAGGAGTGACCGCACCCCAGCCCCTGCCCGACTCTGATCTGTCTCCTCACTTCCCCAGGACGGGCCTGCTGCTTGTGGAGTGTTAAATGAAGCCCGACCAAGACGATCGATGGAAGGACGCGCCCCTCCAGGTGGAGACTCCCTGAGCGAACCTGTCTTGTAATGAGTAATGAGCATTTATGGAGGAGAGATTGATGGGAGCTTGGGAAAGCTTTATCAATGCACCAGCGATCAGGACAGACTGGAGTCCAACAAGAAATGGCAGCCAGCGCTGGGGCTGCCAGGAGTCCTGCAGGGGACACGGGGGTGGGAGCAGGGGACAGTGAGCTGAGAGGCAGAGCCTGCAGGTCAGGGCGGTGGAGCCAGCAGGCCTGGCCGAGGGGCCCAGGTGGATGGGGCCAGGGTTCCTGGCCTCCTCGCAGAACCAGATGTGTCTGCAGGGCCTGCCTCTCTCTCTACATGAAGAAGTTGGTTCAGAAGTTCCCGGAGGTCTCCGCGAGGCTACGATTCTAAGGTGAGGACAAGTCCCTTCCGAAAGAGGCTGGGGTGTCTGCTGTGGAGATGTGTACATGTGTGGGGTCAGGGGAGGACAGGGGCCCTGCACGCATTACCATCTATATGTTGTCTTGGCCCAGGCTTTAAATTGAAACGCTCCAGATTCAAATCCACCCCCGGCCTCAGACACCACTCCTGACACACAGGTAGAAATCACAGTGGGAATCTCGGGGCTCGAGGCTTTTCGGGGGAAGCCTGTGAGTTCCTCATGGAGCGGGGAGTCTTCCCTGCTGGGCCCTGTTCAGGCTCCAAAGGTGGCCTGGCCAGCTGCAGGGAGCCCCAGGCAGGAGCAGGGGCTGGGTGAGCCCGAGAGGAGGAAACTGAGGCACAGAGTCATGCGGTCTCCCCATGGCCCTGCCACGGTCGAGGCAGCACCCAGGTCTGTGGGATCTCAGAGTCTATGCTGTCTGCTGCACGTGCACGTCTCCTTCATTGCCAAAAATAACCTGCATTCAGGCTTGTGTGGGTGGCTCTCACCGAGGCAGCACCCTCCTTCCCCACAGCAGCTGGGCTTCCCGAGCTTGGGCACCCTACCTCCACTGCAGCAGAAACCAGAGACCATAATCATCTTTACGCTGCGGTTTTCTACAGAAGGAGGCCTGGCCAGAGGGTCCCAGCTGGGAGGGGGTGAGGGAGAGGAGAAGAGAGCCTCAGGGCCCTCTCACCTTACCCCATGCTGAGGCGAGGTTTTCTGGCTAATTATTGCTCCCCGAGGCCTCCTTAGCCACGTGGTCCCTGAAGGCATGTGTTCTGGGGGCTCTCTCTGCCTGGGAGTTCATTAGGGGGATGTTTGAAGGGGGAGGCTCATTCGACCCCAAGGCCCCCAGCCTTGCCACCCACAGTATGGACTGGAGAGAACGCAGGAGCACGGGGGAGGCCTGTGGCCCTGTCCCCAGGTTGTGTCTCGGCACTCATTCTCAAGGGCCATTCCAAATGACCACGGCAGTTGGCATAAGCCCCCTGATCTCCGGTGTCCCCCTTGCTCCCAGCCTAAAGCCTAACCTGCTGTTCAGGCACTGCTGGGGGGCACTGGCGGCTGCTTCTCCTCCTCAGCCTGAGGCTGCTCCCTACTCACTGACTTCAGCCTGCACCACACAGCCGTCCCTGCTGGCCCTTGCTCTCCCAGGCCTCAGTCAGTGGAGACAGTGCAGGTACCGGGGCACCTCCTGCCCCTCTCCCTCCCTCCTTCCTCCAGCTCCTCGCCCCAGTGCGCCTCCTCTGAGTTGAGGCTGGAGGAGGCCAGCTTGAGGGCATAACAACCAGAACTCAGATCCCAGTTTCTCCATTTACCCACCGGCCCTGTTCATTCATTTATTCATGCATTCATGCAACAAATATTTACCCAGAGTCTGCTGCAGAACCAGACACTGCACACTTCCTTGTGCCTGGTGAACACACCCACCATGGACCTGGCCTCTGGAGCAGGCTGTGGTCTGTTTGCCTAATTCTTCACCAATAGGACTCATTCCCCAAAAGTGGACATACAACTCACATACCACAAAATTCACCCATTTAAAGTGTGTAATTCTGTGGCTCTTAGTATGCTCACAGAGGAATCCAACCATCACCACAATCAATTTTAGAACGTTTTAATCACCCCAACAAGAAACACCATATAGTCATTCCCCGTTAGTCCTCCCTCAAGCCTCCTGGCAACCCTAATCTACTTTCTGACTCTATGAATTCGCCTATCCTGGGTGTTTCCTATGAGTGGAACCACATAATATGTGGTCACTTAGCACAAGGTTTTCAAGACGTATCCATCCTGTATCCTGTGTTCATGCTCCATTCCTTTTTGTGGTCAAAGAGTACTCCATTGTCTGGATAGGCCACATTCTGTGTATCTGTTCATCAGCAGATGGACAACTGGGCTGTGTCCACTCTTTGCCTATTGTAAACAGAGCTGCTTTGAAGATCTGTGTGCGCGTTTGTGTGTGGCTGTGGATTTACCGTTCTCTGAGGTAGATGCCTGGGAGTGAGACGGCTGAAGCAGGGTTTGATTTGCTGGAATTTTATAAGTCATGCTGATATCTGAAAGGACAATCCCCCACAATGTTGTTTTTCAGGAGTGTCTGGGTAATTCTTGAGTCTTTGCTTTCCCATAAATGTTTTAGCATGAGATTATTAAGTTACACACACAGACACACACACACATATTGCTATAGTTGGAATTATATTGAGTCTATAGATTGGGTTTAGGAGTACTGACATCCTTAAATTCATGGGTCCCTGTCTTCAGGAATATGGTCTATTTCTGCATTTATTTAGGTCTTCTAAAATTTCTGGCAGCAACATTTAATAGCTTTCTCCACAGAGCTCTTTCTGATCCTATTTTACATTTATTGCCAGGTGTTTGATATTTCTTGCTGCTATTATAAAAATTTGATTTTCTGTTTGTTGCTGGCTTTTAAAGTAATGCATTAAAAAATATTGATCTAGTATTTAGAAACCTTTCTAATCTCTTGGCCCGGCATGGTGGCTCACACCTGTAATAACAGCACTTTGGGAGGCCCAGGCAGTGGGATCACTTGAGCTCAGGAGTTCAAGACCAGCCTGAGCAACATGGCAAAACCCTTTCTCTACAAAAAATACAAAAATTAGCTGGGCATGGTGGTGTGTACAAGTGGTCCCAGCTACTTGGGAGGGTGAGGTGGGAGGATTGCTGGATCCCAGGAAGTTGAGGCTGCAGTGAGCCATGATCATGCCACTGCACTCCAGCCTGGGTGACAGAGCAAGACCCTGTCTCTAAAAGAAAAAGAAAAACCTTGCTGAACTCTTATTAATCCTAATAGTTTATAGATTATTTCAGGTTTCTACAGAGAACAATCATGTCATATGAAAATAATGACAAATTAGATTCTTCTGCCCTAATCATTCATTGTCTTTTCCCTTCCCTTCCCTTCCCTTCCCTTCCCTTCCCTTCCCTTCCCTTCCCTTCCCTTCCCTTCCCTTCTCTTTCTCTCTTTCTCACTTGTTTGTTTTCTGAGATGGAGCCTCATTCTGTTGCCCAGTCTGGAGAGCAGTGGCATGATCTTGGCTCATTGCAGCCTCTGCCTCCAGGGTTCAAGTGATTCTCCTGCCTCAGCCTCCTGAGTAGCTGGGATTCAGGTGCCTGCCACTATACCTGGCTAACTTTCTTTTTTTTTTTTTTTTTTTTGAGACGGAGTCTCCCTCTTTCCCCCAGGCTGGAGTGCAGTGGTGCCATCTCGGCTCACTGCAAGCTCCGCCTCCCAGGTTCACGCTATTCTCCTGCCTCAGCCTCCCGAGTAGCTGGGACTACAGGCGCCCATCACCACGCCCGGCTAATTTTTTGTATTTTTCGTAGAGACGGGATTTCACCGTGGTCTCGATCTCCTGACCTCATGATCCGCCCGCCTCGGCCTCCCAAAGTGCTGGGATTACAGGCGTGAGCCACCGCACCCGGCCTAATTTTCATATTTTTAGTAGAGACGGGGTTTCGCCATGTTGGCCAGGCTGGTCTTGAACTCCTGGCCTCAAGTGATCCACCCATCTTGGCCTCCCAAAGTGCTGGGATTACAGGCATGAGCCACCAAATCTGACCTGTCTCCTTCATTTTTTTTCTTGTCTTGCCGAGCTGGCTGGGACCTCCAAGTCATGTAAACTTGAGATAAATACCCTTGTCTTGTTTCTAATTTTAAAAAGAGTTTTATTTATTTATTTATTTTGAGACAGGGTTTTGCTCTCTCACCCAGGCTGGAGTGCAGTGGTGCAATCTCAGCTCACTGCAACCTCCACCTCCTGGACTTAGATGATCCTCCCACCTCAGCCTCCCAAGCAGCTGGGACTACAGGCGTGCACCACCACGCCCGGCTAATTTTTGTATTTTTTGTAGAGATAGGGTTTCACTATGTTGCCCAGGCTGGTCTCGAACTCCTGGGCTCAAGAGACTTGCCTGCGTCGGCTTCCCAAAGTGCTGGGATTACAGGCATGAGCTGCTGCACCTGGCAAAATAATGTTTTTGATAGCTCACCTTCAAGCACATTATTTGCACAGATTTGGTAAATATTTAAATTCTCTTCTAGCCTTATGATATGGTTTGGTTCTGTGTCCCCACCCCAATCTCATGTTGAATTGGAGGAGATTGGATCATGGGGCGGATTTCCCTCTAGGGAGTGAGTCTTCAGGAGATCTGATGCTTTAAAAGTATGTGGGACTTCCCCCTTCGCCCTCTCTCTCTTCTGCTTTGCCCTGGTAAGATGCGCCTGCTTCCCCCTCCCTTCCACCGTGATTGTAAGTTTCCTGATGCCTCCCAGCCATGTTTCCTGTTAAGCCTGCGGAACTGTGAGTCAATTAACCTCTTTTCTTCATAAGTTACCCAGTCTCAGGTAGTTCTTCATAGCAGTGTGAAAGCAGACTGCTACACCTTCGTTTGCTAAGTTGTTTTTTAAATGTTGAAAGAATACTTGCAATGTTTGTGCACACTACTTTATTGTTTCACAGTAACCCATGAAATGGGTGCAATTATCCTCACTTTATAGAAGAGGCATAGAGAGGTCACACCCCAGGGGTGGCAGAGCCTGGGGTATTAACCACTGCACTGTGCTGTCTCTCTACAGCAGGAATAAAACAAACACAAAAGTAGCAGAAATGGCAACAAAATTCAAAATCTAGATCTCTGAAAATATTAATTAAAGAAAGAAGCTTTCACCAAGGCTTCTTTTGTTTTGAGATAGAGTCTCACTCTTGTCACCCAGGCTGGAGTGCAGTGGCGCGATCTCAGTTCACTGCAACCTCCACCTCCCGGTTCAAGCGATTCTCCTGCCTCAGCCTCCTGAGTAGCTGGGATTACAGATGCCCACCACTACGCCCAGCTAATTTTTGTATTTTTAGTAGAGACGGGGTTTCACCATGTTGGTCAGGCTGGTCTTGAACTCCTGACCTCAGGTGATACGCCTGCCTTGGCCTCCCAAAGTGCTGGGATTACAGACGTGAGCCACCAAGCCCGGCCTCACCAAGGCTTGTTAAGCAAAAACCAAAGGGACACCAAGAAGTTATGCTGGAAGGGAGGAGGGCAAGTCCAGAAATACAATTGAGGTGGTGGCATTGTGAGAAGCTATTATGTTCCTACTAGTGAAAGAGAAATTTAATAAAAAAAATTAAGAAAGAGAGTATAGTAGAGGAGAAAGAAAGAAGAAATATAAAAAAAGAAACTGCTATGAACAACTTCATATGACTGTTCCTGGAAAATCAGAAGAAATAGATTTTTAAAGGCAAAATATGTTTTCAAAGTTTTATGTAAGGAGAAGTGGAATATCTACAACCATAAAAAAATAGCACAAGGCATTTTAAAGGTGAGTTTTAATGCATCTTTAAGTAGCAGAAAATCTCCACCTCACTTAAACTTTCAGAGGATAGAAAACAAAGCTGCTGACTCATCTGAGGAGGCCTATATACCCTGACATCAAACCTGCGTTTTGTGGAAGAACAGACAAATTAGGATCAGATCCACACACACATATATCAATTCTTAAGTGAAGAATCAGCAAATTAAATCCAGCAGAATATACGAAAATACATTATGTAAAAGCAAGATTTACCCTAGGAATATAAAGTCATTTTAGCGGCCGGGCACAGTGGCTCACTCCTGTAATCCCAGCACTTTGAGAGGCTGAGGCAGGCAGATCACGAGGTCAGGAGATCGAGACCATCCTGGCTAACACGGTGAAACCCTGTCTCTACTAAAAATACAAAAATTAGCCAGGCGTGGTGGCAAGCACCTGTAGTCCCAGTTACTAGGGAGGCTGAGGCAGGAGAATGGCGTGAACCCAGGAGGCGGAGCTTGCAGTGAGCTGAGATCGTTTCACTGCACTCCAGCCTGGGCAACAGAGTGAGACTCCGTCTCAAAAACAGGTTGATTTAGCAAAAATTACATCTACGCTGTACATGAAACTCCTAGATGGATTGAAAAAAATTTTTTTAATGTGGAAAACAAAATGATTAGAAGAAAATATATGAAGCCTGGTCTGGAACCTCAGGGTAGGAAAATTCTGAGTTGGGGTACAAACAGAATAACTCATACGAGAGAGTGATGGATTCAATTACACCAAGCTCTAATTCGTGGAACAAAAGACACAATTGAAGATAAACATCAAGCCACAGACAGAAGAAGACATTTATAGCATATAGAACAGACAGAAGATTAATGTCCAGAACACAGCTTATAAATTACTGCTACAGCTCAATGAGGAAAAGAGGCCAATGACCCAGGAGGAAACAGACAGAGGGTCCAGAGAGAAGAGTCCGAAGAGCCAGTGGACCTATAAATGCACAGAAAGATGTTCAGGCATCTTTTACATTGGCTCAGCCGCCCTGGAGGGCAATGTGGCCATCCCCAGTGACACGGCAGGGTGCAGCGTCCCAGCTCTTCCCTCCTAGGGATCCACGCAGAAGGACCAGGGGACTTGTGCCAGCTCTGCTTATTGTGGTAAAACACCGGGGCTGGGCGCAGGGGCTCCGTTTGCCATAACATAACTCCTTGGGAGGTCCAGGAGTGTGCATTGCTTGAGCTCAGGAGTTCAGACCAGCCTGGGCAACATGGTGAAACCTCATCTCTACCCAAACTACCAAAAATTAGCTGGGCGTGGTGGTGTGCACCTGTGATCCCAGCTACTTGGGAGGCTGAGGTGGGAGGATCGTTCGAGCCTGAGAGGCAGAGGTTGCAGTGAGCTGAGATTGCACCACTGCACTCCAGCTTGGGCAACAGAGTGAGATCTCATCTAAAAAAATTTATTTTGAAACAAAAATATTTCTTTAAAAAAATAATAAAACCATTGGGAATAGCCCATGTGCCTATCAGATGGAATGGATAAATTAAAGGGAGTTGTCTCTACAGGAAGAAATGCTACAGTGAAGTTAAAATAAAATGTTCATTTTACATAAATTTTTAGACCTACAATGCAATACTGTTGATTATTTACAAATGCCTACATACGTAGACTAGAAAAGCAAACTGCAATGAGAAAGAGCATTTAGAATACACAGCAGTGGCCTTGGGGGTGGACAGAGGAGAATGGGCAAAGGCCATTTTAACTTTACCTGTGACTTTTATTGCCTTCATTTCAAAACGTGAAAATATGGCCAGGTGCAGTGGCTCTCTCCTGTAATCCCAGCATTTTGGGAGGATGAAGTGGGAGGATCATTTGAACTCAGCAGTTTGAAACCAGCCTGGGCAACATAGCGAGACCCCATCTCTACAAAAAATAAACAAAAATTAGCTGGGTGTTGTGGTATGTGCCTGTAGTTCCAGCTACTCAGGAGGCTGAGGTTGGAGGATCGCTTGAGGCCAGGAGGTAGAGTCTGCAGTGAGTCATGACCGTGCCACTGCACTGCAGCCTGGGTGACAGAGTGAGACCTTGTCTCGAAGAAGAAGAAAAAAACCCAAACAAACAAAAACTCATGAAAATAAAAATGACAAAATGTGAACATTTGTTGATCCTGGAAGTTGGGAACCTGGGTGGAATTTTTTCTCTGTACTCTTTTGTGTTTTTAAAATTAAAAATATATATACTGAAAGAAAAAGGGCAGCAGGGATGAGAACAGAGGTGGGGAGGAGAGGAGGGGGAGAGGGGCCGGCCTTCGAGGGCACCTGGGCTTCCCGCGCCCTCCTGGGGCCGTGACTCACCAGGCCGCCCAGCTGGTGGCTCCACGCGGTTCTCGGGTATTGATCGGAGATTTCACTCTCTGGCCACAAGCTCCCTGGTTGATATCTGCAGCAGTAGCTCGGATCATGAGAATTGCCACAGCCTAGTGTAAGCCAGGCAGGCTGTGCAGAGAGCAAAGCAGAAAAGAAGTTGGACTGGGAGCTGCAAGCCTGCTCCCGGGCCCAGCTGCACCTCAGACTTTCTCTGTGGCTTTTGTCACAGACCCTTTGTCACCCACGTACTGGCAAGGAGGGTCTGGCTGACTCTAAGGACGATTCTGAGGCCCCTTCATCACTGCATGCATCATTAGGAAGCTGAAGAAGACCTCCTGGGAAGGGCGCATCCACTTGGGGTATTTAGGGATGCGTAGGAGTTTGCAAGACAAAGCAAAGAAGGTCACTCCAATCTGAGGGAAAAGCATAGACAAGGAACTTAAGGCAAGAAAGGCCCAGCAAGCTCAGGTGGCTGCGAACACCCCTCTTTGGCTACCCTATCCCCGTGGATGCTCACTACCTCCCACCTGTGATGCTGGCATCTGTTACCTCTAGAGAGAACCAGCTTGGTAACTGTCAGGAAACCTCACCTGAGACACCATCTACAACCTCTATTTTTAACCATCTCCCCAGCCCCAAAGAGGTGGGGGGCATTTGGGATGGTGCAGCCCCTTCTGAATCCTGCATGGTTTTCACTCTGGGCTCCAGTATGAGAGAATAACAAAGATATCCACTTCCCAGAGATATACGGCTGCTGCCAATGACAGCAAAACCAATGCTGCCTCCTCCATTATCATTCTGGGCCAAATCAATATCAAAACAACCGAAGTCTAGACGCATAAATGTCAAACTATTTAACAAGAAGCAGTTAGTGCAGAAAAAACACTTAAATAGCAATTGAGGGGGTCTGATGAGCCTTAAAGTAACTTAGGAGGATTTATGGAAGATAAAAACCGTTTAACTAAGCCTGGAGCCGAGCCCCTGGTGGCCTAGCATGGGAGGCCATGCTGTATCCTCTCTGCTAGGCTGCCGAACCGGCTGCTTGGTCAGAGAAAAGGGGCCCTTGTTCTTCTGGTCATTTCTGCCCCAGTCTGTGCTTCAGGTTGTGTTTTTATTAATGATAGTATAACGTGATGTGTGGACCACACAGTGCCAGGCTGCAGAGAGGGAACCACAGCTCTGCGTTTCAGTTACTGAGCACCCTCCCATCCATTCTGTTTAAATATAGCAATAGCTGTGATGTATTGAGGGGCCACCATGTTCCAGGCACACACATGACCGCATGTGATCTTCCCTGCCTGCCACGAGTTGGGGTTTTCATCTCTGAGTTGATGGAGAGGAAGTGGGTGCCCCGAGTTGTTGCTGAAGGTCACTGCTGGGTTCACATCCAGATCCCTCTGCCCCAGAGCCTCTGCTCTGCCTGCCTGGCTGTGCCTCTGTATCCAGATGAAGCCCGGTGCTGACCTGCTCCTTCGGCTCCGCTGATCCAGTCGGTCCCCAGGGATGGGGGGGCTTTGACTGTCCCCAGGGAGGGAGGGAGGTGGGCTCCCATGGGGACCCATCTCAAGTGCCCTAAACTGCCCCCTTGCTATTTATGGGATCAATGGTGGCTTCTTAATTGTTGGTAATGACTTCAGGCCCATCCAATTATTACTGCACTTAACAAGAGTCTGTAAATCACCTTCAGTCTAATAAGATTGGAATTTGAAAGTGACTCAGGTTTCCATGGACTGCACGCCACCCCTCCTCCCACCTGCTCCCATGGTGAATCAATGCTATCCTTCAGAAAGACCTCCTGCAAGCAATGCCACAATCTTCAGGATGCATAGCTGACTTCCACAGTCACGACCGAAGTCCTCTCTAACGGAGCTAAGGCCAAGCGTGGCAGCTCCCCATGCAGTTCCTCCTACCGCGACCTGCTTGCTGCATCTTTTTTGGAGCGACCACAACCTCTGGTCCCTTCTGCCTGCTGCCAAAGCCTCGGACTGAAATCCAGGCTGCAGCCTCCATGGCTTGTGGCCACCCCGTGATTGGGCTGTGGCTCTGCCTGCTCACCACTGGACTGGGGAGCCCTCTTGGGGTAGGCACAACACCCCGTATACGGTAGGTGCTCAATGAATACATTCTGATGAATAAAGGGATTTTTGTTTCTTTGAAGTTAAAGGACCTCCTTCTGGCAATGTAACAATCTAGATGTCTGGAGAAAATAGCCCATTTCAGAACAATTCAAAAAGTTGGATGAAATAAATTTGCATTATACACATATTTTATATGTTTCATGTAAAATTTTTAAGATACGCATCTGACTAGCAGAAAAGAAAGAGAAACCCTCGGTGGTCAAAAATGATGAGAAATGTAATTCTGAGAACTGGACAAACACAGAAGATGGGGTTCATGGGGAGCTCTCTCCCGCCTCTGGGGACCTAGAGCAGGGCTTCAAGGGGCCCATGCAATTGGGGGACAGGAAACAGACTCAGGGCGAAGCAACTCGTAGGTTGGGACAGAAACCCCTACATAAGCCAAGACTTCTGAAGTGGCATGAGGAAGACATCCACCCCGCAGAGGGAGACAGTGAGCCCTGAGGAGAACAGAAAAAACCCTCCACTGGGAATTCCTCCCCACCCGGGTCCACCCCCGTGAGGACCCCAAATCACACTGCTCATGTGCCCATTCCTCAGCCCCCTCCACTCCAAAAAAAAGGAAAGGTGAAAGGCTGAAAGTGGTCCTAGGATACTGGTGGCTCCAGGTGAAGTAAAAGCACATCTTTCCAGGAGACATGTATACAGAGTCTCACTCTGTCTTCAGGCTGGAGTGCAGTGGTGTGATCTCGGCTCACTGCAGCCTCCGCCTCCCAGGTTTGAGCAATTCCCCTCCCTCAGCATCCCGAGTAGGTGGGACTACAGGCATGCACCATCATGCCTGGCTAATTTTTGTATTTTTCTTTTTCTTTTTTTTTTTTTTTGGAGACAGAGTCTCGCTCTGTCACCCAGGCTGGAGTGCAGTGGCACAATCTCAGCTCGCTGCAATCTCTTCTTCCCAAGTTCAAGCAATTCTTCTGCCTCAGCCTCCTGAGTAGCTGGGATTACAGGTACCTGCCACCATGCCCAACTGCTTTTTGTATTTTTAATAGAGATGGGGTTTCACCATGTTGGACAGGCTGGTCTTGAACTCCTGACCTCAAGTGATCCACCAGCCTCGGTCTTCCAAAGTGCTGGGATTACAGGTTTGAGCCACCGTGCCCGGCTTAATTTTTGTATTTTTAATAGAGATGGGGTTTCACCATGTTGGCCAGGCTGGTCTCGAACTCCTGGCCTCAGGCGATCCACCCACGTTGACCTCCCAAAGTGCTGGGATTACAGGTTTGAGCTACTGCGCCTGGCTGGGAGAAACATTTAAACCCAGGCCTTAAATAATTTCTGCAGAGTAACTTACAATTAAGATAAAATTACAATTAAAAATTAACATCTGTGGAGAAGTCACAAAATTTAAAATCTGTAGAATTAGGTCCATGAAGACTGTGACAATAGAATTAGCAGATAAAGAATAAATATGTTTTATATATTTAAACAGTTAAAAGGTGATGTTGACAGTTTAGCCAAGGAGAAGAGCTATCAAAGTTGACTAATCTTACTATCATACTGGTCTTTAAGAAAAGAAGAAAAAAAAGGTTGACTACACTGATTTATTATTTTTTGGAGACACGGTTTCACTTGGTTGCCAAGGCTGGTGTGCAGTGGTGTAATCATGGCTCACTGCAACGTCAAACTCCTGAGTTCAAGCAATCCTCACACCTCAGCCTCCTGAGTAGCTAGAACTCCAGGGAACATCACTATGCCTGGCTACTTGTTTTAAGAGATGGAGTCTCACTATGTTGTCCAGGCGGGTCTCAAACTCTTGGACTCAAGCCATTCTTCTGCCTTAGCCTCCTAAAGTGCTGGGATTACATGCGCAAACTACCATGCTCAGTTATCTAATCTGATTTGAAAGAACAAATATGAAATTCTAGCAGTAAAAAATATAAAAATTGAACTTAGACAATTAACCAACAGAGTTGATACGGCTAAAGAAAAAGTTAGTGAAAGGCAAAAGAGACATGTAGAAATCATCCAGGCTGTGACACAGAAGACAGTGACATAGAAAATATGAAAGAGAAGTCAAAAGCACAGAGAAAAGTGTGAGAGGCTCTATAAACATCAGAGCTTGGAGCCTCAAAAGAAGAGAATGGAGGGAGTGGAGAAGAGAACATCATTGAAATAATCAGACAAAGGTAAAATGCCCAATTAAAAGATAAAGATCAGATGGGATAAAAAATCTGTGTTAATGAAAGACACATTTACAACATAAGGACAGAGAAGACTGAAAGAAACATGATGAAAAAAGTCCCTAAGGAGATATTAGTTTTAAAAAAAACCCTGGAATATCTATAATAATATCAACTGAATAGACTTAAAGTAAAAGCATGGCTACAGATAGAATTATTGAATTTACATAAATGTTTCAATTTGACTGTAATTCTAAACTTGTTTACACTTAATAACTTCAAAATATATAAAGCAAACTTTGTCAAGCTACAAGAAGAACTGCAAAACAATTGAACAAATCCTGTCATAGAGGGATATTTTAAAACACGTTTTGTAGTGACTGAAGTAAGGAGACAAAAAGTTATCATGATGGTGTAGAGTAGCTTTACAACACAATTAAGCTTCATATAATAAGCGTGTAGTGAAAGCTGCGCCCGGCAACGGGAGGGTTCACATACTTCTCAAATGCCCATGAAAACATATTAAAAAATAATACTAGGTCATAAATCAAGCAAGCAACAACGGATTTCAAAGAATGGTTATCAAAGAGACCACATTCTCTGCCCACAATGCAAGTAAATTAACATCAATAAAACATCATACATGGTGAAACTTTAAAGCACACTTATAATTACCTCATAAGCCAAAAAAGAGATTATGAAAACTGAGCATATTAGAAAAGAATGACAGCAAAAATAATAAACATCAAAATTTGTAGGGAGCATCTATAAGCAGTACTTAGGAAAAAATGTATAACCTGAAGCTCTTATGTTAGAAAAAAATGTTTAAAATTAATTATCTAAGTAAACCCAAAGAAAAGAAGTCACGAAGATAAGAATAAAAATAATAAAAGAATAGAATGAGCAAATTTATAGCACAAAATAAGAAAATGTAGATGAGATGCCCAGATTTTTAGAAAAATATAAGTGCCAAACCTGAGTTAAGAAGAAATAGGACAATGAAATGATCTCATAAGCATTAAGGAAATTGAATCAACAATTTAAAATCTTTCCAGAAAGAAAACATAAGTCCCAGTGTTTACAGGTAAGTATAATCTAACATTCAAAGAACAAATAACCCCCATCTTTCACAAATTCTTTGAGATAATAGAAAAATAAACATATTCCAGCTCATTTTTGACCTAAAAATTAGATCCAGTAAGGCAACCTCACTCTTGAACATAGATGTAAAAATCCAACAAAAAATACAAGCAAACCAAGTTATGTAGTACATAAAAGATAAGAAGTCATGATTACTTGGTGTTTATTCCAAGAAAGTAATATTCTTGATTTTTTAAAAATGTTGAGACAGAGTCTTACTCTGTCATCCAGGTTGGAGTGCAGTGGTGCAATCTTGGCCCACTGCAACCTCTGCCTCCTGGGTTCAAGTGATTCTCACGCCTCAGCCACCTGAGTAGCTGGAATTACATGGCGCACACCACCATGCCCAGCTAATTTTTTTGTATGGGTTAGTAGACATGGGGTTTTGCCATATTGGCCAGGCTGATCTCAATCTTGTGGCCTCAGGTGATCCACCCACCTTGGCTTCCCAAAGTTCAGGTGTGAGCCACTGCACCCAACCAACAATATTCTTCCATGAGAAATGTTGTTAACATAATTCATTACCTAGATAAAAAGAGAAAAAGTATATGGTCGTCTCAATAGATAGGGAAAAAAATCCATAAAAATTTACGATGAAAATCCATTAAGAAAACTTGCTATATTAGTAACTAGGGTTAGAATGAAACTTCTATAACCTGATAAAGAGTATCTACACAACAAAAACAAAGAAATTCTACTTCAAACATTATACTTAATGATGAAATGATAAATCCCTTTAAAATCAGATTCAAAACAGATTCCCAAGTGCTATTCACCTTGTACTGCAACTATTAACCAATGCAATAAGACAAAGAAATAAGCAGTATAACAATTTCAAAGGAAGAAGTAGAACTGTCATTATTTTCCTGATTTTTTTTTACACAGAAAAACCTAAAACAATCTAAGAGAATCTTCCAGAATTGATGACAGAATCTAGCTGTTTCTAGATTTAATATCAATAAACTAAAGCCAACCGCATTTATATTTCAATAGTAGTTAGAATATGTAATTAAGATATTATTTATAATAGCAATGAAAACAAAGTGTACAGGAATACATCTAACAAAAAATGTATGGACTCATCAGGTGCAAAATCATAGAAATAAATACTACTGGAAAATAGCTATGAAGACCTAATGGAGAGCTGGATCATGTGTGTGGATGAGAAGCTTCAATATCACAAAGAGGTCAATTATTACCCAATTAATCTATAGCTTAAACACAACTCCAAATTCCTGACAGATTTTTAAAAAATAAAACCTCGTAAGCTCATTCTAAAATTTAAATGGAATAGCAAAAGGCCACAATTACTCAAGACACTGATATGGTTTTGCTGTGTCCCCACCCAAATCTCATCTTGAATTCCCATGTGTTGTGGGAGGGATCCAGTGGGAGGTAATTGAATCATGGAGGCAGGTCTTTCTTGTGCTGTTCTCGTGATAGTGAATAAGTCTCATAAGATCTGATGGTTTTAAAAAGGAGAGTTTTCCTTCACAAGCCCTCTTCTCTTGTCTGCCACCATGTGAGACATGCCTTTTACCTTCTGCCATGATTGTGAGGCCCCCACAGCCAGGTGGAACTGTAAATCCATTAAACCTCTTTCTTTGGTAAATTGCCTAGTCTTGAGTATGTCTTTATCAGCAGTATGAAAATGGACTAATACAGACACTTATGAAGAAGAAGGTGAGGGTGGAAGGAATTCGCCCTACTAGATATCAAGAACTATGAAAAATCTAGACTAATAATGGTGGTGTGATATTTGCACATAGGTAGATGATAGTTAAATGCAGTGTTAAGATACAGACCTCCCTGTGTGTGATAACAACTTATGATACTGTACTGGTGGGATGTAAATGGATAGAACTACTTCTCAGCCTACCCCAGATCTATGGACTCAGAAATTCCAGAAGTGGAGCCCAGCAGCCTGTGGCTGCCCTTTCCAGAGCAGTCTCTGGGGTAATGGTAAAGCCAGGAGACCAGGGAGGAGGCTTTGGAATGATCTCGCTGAGCGACTGTGGTGGATCAGCTGGGGAAGAGCAGAGGAGAAGGTGGGAGGGGAAGGCTTTTGAAGGCTGAGCTCCAGGACTTATTGGCAGCTTGGATGTGGGATGGGAGGACAAGATAGACTTCGTGGTGACTCTGGGATTTATGTTCTGTACATCGGGAAGGATGGCAGAGGGCTGCAGGTTTAACAGGACTAGGGAGGCTGGGAGCTCAGTTTCGGACCCACGGGTGATAATGTCTGTTGGGCACGTGGACAGCTGCCCTGTGGATTGGGAATCTTTGGCTAAAAATCAGTGAGACCACCCAGAAATGCTCCTCCAGATAGGACCAAGGACAGAGCTCAGGAGAAGAGGCAGAGCCAGCAAGGACCTGAGGCAGGAGGACTAGAGAGCTGGAACCCTGCACCAGGGCAGACGAGAGGCCACATCACATGGACACGGTGGAGGCTTGTCCAGGGCAGTTCCTGGGAGTGGCTGGAGGGAGCCCACCTGGGCAGGAGAGAAATCAGAGGCAGGGACCTCAGGTGTCACTGTAGAGAGAAGCGGAGAAATGAAGTCGGAGCTGAGGGCAGCAGGTGGGAGGAGGGGCTGTCCAGTGGGGAGAGGGGATAAAGGGAGGATGGTGCCAAGATGCTGTGCTCTTTGATGCTGGGGACCAGGCTGGGTCTCAGCATTCGCCAACAACTCCCAGCAACATTCCCAGCAGCTAGGGATGGGAGTGGGGGGAGTGGGGGAGGGTGAAAGGGGTGGGCACCACCAGGTAAGGGGATCTAGGGAGCAGCTCAGTGGGGTCTCTGAAGTTGCAGAGCCAGGATCACCCAGGCACTTGTTGAAAATGCAAATTCCCAAGTTTGGCCCCAGACCTGCTGCCTTGGAAACTCCTGAGTTGGGACCCAGCAGTTGATGCTTTATGCACCTTTGCAGTGAGGCTCCCCAGGTTTGAGAAGCTCTGCACTGCAGGATTGATTGCCCAGGACCCCCTGTCACACCTCAGCCTCGGTCACTTCACAGGTGGGTGTCGGAGGCCAGGGAGTCTCAGGCAGCCCTTCACGCTGCTCACCTGCCAGAAGCTGCCTGCTCTGCTGGCTCCTAGCCCAGGTGCGTTAGTGTCCTCGGCCGCTGTAACAGGGGACTACACTCTGGGGGCTTAAGTCCAGATAGATTCTCTCACGGTTCTAGAGGCCTGAAGTCCAAAGTCAGGGTGTCGGCAGGACCTTGCCCCCTCCAAAGGCTCTGGGGGAGGCTCCTTCCTGCCTCTTCCAGCTTCTGGTGGCCCCGGATGTTCTCTGGCCTGTGGCCACATTGCTCCAGCCTCCTCTTCTGTGCATCTTATCTCTGTGCATCTGTGTCTCTTCTCCTCCTCTTCTGAGGACACCAGTCATTAGATTTAGGGTCCACCTGCTTAGTCCAGGATGATCTCATCCCTTGACTCTGACCTTAATTATATCTGCAAAGACGCTATTTGCAAATAAGGTCACATTCTGAGGCTCTGGGGGACATGAATTTGGGGGCCACTATTCAATCCACCACCCCAGTTCTCCTCTTACCACGGTATTGATTTCATGAAAATATGTCAGAAGCATTCCCTCCCACTGTGCCGTGAGACCTTGGAGGCAGGGGTGGCCTCAGACTCCTGACTGCATCCCTGGCGCTGTGAGGGGCTTTTTCCCGCCCCCTGGGGTGGGTTACCTGGTAAGCACTTGCTAAACAGGGAACAGGAGGGCCGGGCACAGTGGCTCACACCTGTAGTCCCAGCATTTTGGGAGGCTGAGGCAGGCAGATTGCCTGAGGTCAGGAGTTTGAGACTAGCCTGGCTAACACAGTGAAACCCCCTCTCCACTAAAAATACAAAAAAATTAGCCAGGCATGGTGGCATGTGCCTGTAATCCCAGCTACTTGGGAGGCTGAGGCAGGGGAATTGCTTGAACCAGGGAGGTGGAGGTTGCAGTGAGTCGAGATCGCACCACTGCACTCCAGACTGGGAAACAGAGCGAGACTCCATCTCAACAACAACTACAACAACAACAAAAAAAAAAAAAAAAAAAGAGGGAGCAGAAGAAGCACAGGCTTTGTAGTCAAAGGGGCCTGGGTCTCACCCCAGCTCTGCCATGTACAGCTGTGCCCCGGGGAAGCTGTGTCCCCCTCTGGGCCTCCGTTGGCCCATCTCTAAACCAGCAACAGCATTTTAGGGTTTGTCTTGAATGTGAAGACAGAGCCAGCCCCTCGTATCTGCGGGTTTTGCTTTGCGGATTCAACCAACTGTGGATCCAAAATACCTGACAAAATAATTAAGAATTATAATACAATACAATATATAAATAAAACTCCAACAGCTGTTTACATAACATTTACGTTATATTAGGTAGTATAAGTCATCCAGAGATGATTTCAAGGATGTGGGAAGACTTGTATGTTCCATGCAAATACTATGCCATTTTACGTCAGGGATTTGAGCATCCTTGGATTTGAGTGTCCTTGGAAGTCCTGGAGTCCACGACCAGGCATTCAATGCATACCCCATAAATGCCAACTGTCCCTCAAATCACTCATGTTTCTTGATTGATCCCAGCAGAGAAATGCGGTATCTTGGAGCTTGGGAGGCTACAGCTGGAAGGGACATCAGACACCACAGTGTCCATACCCTGATGGGTGGGTGGGCACCGAGGTCTTCCCATCAAATCCCTGTGATGAGCGGAGATGCTTCTTGCATGGAGAGGGGGCAGAGGCAGGAAGCAAGCTTGTTTCAAAGCACACTTTGCCCACCCATTCCAGGAACAACCTGTCAGAGATTGATTGTGGGGATGACGCTGAGGAACCGGCTGCTCCCGGTCCTGCTCAGCTGCTACCTGGGCCACCCGTCCCGCCCCTGCTCTGAGCTATTCTGGTCACCAGCATCACCTTTCTCGTCAGAAAGAAAAGACGCTTGCCTACATTTAGAAGCTTTTCTGGGAAGAGAAGGCACAGGGTGACAGTCAGGGGAGGATGACGGGAACATCCCCAGACCCACCACCTCCCCGGCCACACCGCAGACACTCACACAGCTCATGCTGGAGAGATGGGAGGGCGGAGGCACAGTCTCCTCTGCCAGCTTCTTCTGGGAAAGGGGCGAGAACCCGTGGGGTGGGGCCCTGTGGGGGTGAAGCAGTGAGCCCAGCCTGAAGGAGGCCAGCACAGGCCCCCAGATAAGATGAAGTGGGTGTGTTTATGCTCCTTCTGTAACTGAATATCCCCAGCTCAGAGAGGGTGGGGACGCACCTACAGTCACACAGCGGATGCGAGGAGGAACCTGGATGGCAACCGGGTCCCTGCTTAAGCCTCTGTTTCCAGCCCCTCTTCTCTCTGCAAAACAGGGAGGTTATTTCTCCTGTTGACTGCCTCAGGGTGCACGGCCAAGGTCTCTGCTCTACAGCCAGCTTGGGGTCCTGTCTCTACCTCTGGCGGTGGATGTTCAGAGGAAGAGAGGGGAGAAACCTGCCAGGCCACAGCTGGGGAGAGCCTCAGCTTCCAGATTCACCAAAGGAGCTTCCAGATTTGCCAAGGGAGCTTTGGCTGCAACAGGCATGATGGAGCTGTCTTTGGGTCAGGTATAAAGCTGAGCCCCTGTCCCTGTCCCCGTGTTCTTCTCACAGTGCAGGAGCTCTTGCCAGGGGTTGGGTCTGGTCCTGCAGTCCCTATGCAGTTACCTCCTCAGTCAGATGACCTCAAGGTCCCTCTCTGCACTGCTGTTTTCAGATTCATCAAATGCCTCCCATTCGATTTCCCTCCCAATGAGGGGGTCAGAACTTACTGCCTGAACCCCATATCCTCTGAGAAAAGAGAATGGCACTGTCTGATGAATCCTGGGACCGCCAGAGTAGATCAGGACACAGCAAGAACCAGGAAGGATCTTCCCCTCTCTGGTGAGGGCTGTTGAGGGCACCGGGCTGGAGAGGGGCGCTGCGGGGCTGAAGTCACTGGGAGCTGTCCCCGGTGCTGACCTCAGTCTGCTTCTCAGCCAACCAGGCACCACCGGCCCAAAGGCTGACCCAGTCTGACCTAACCAGGCACCGCCCACACCTAAGGCTGACCTAATCTCTGTCCTAACCAGACACCGCCAGCCCAAAGGCTGACCCAGTCTCCATCCTAACCAGACACCGCTCACCCCTAAGGCTGACCCAGTCTCTGTCCTAACCAGACACCGCTTGCCCCTAAGGCTGAGCCAGTCTCTGTCCTAAGCAGTCTTCCGGGCTTTCCCATGTCTCTCGCCAGATCTGATTCCCATTTATAACTTTTCACTTCCCTTGTCCAACATCATTCACCAACAGGCACTGTCATCAGCCACAGCATTAGCTTGCATAAAACATAGAGAAATTGGATTTGGCCCTGCCCTCAGAGAGCTCACAGTCAGCAGGGGAGACAGAGAGGTGGGGGAATTGCTCTCCTGGGCTGCCAAGGGTTTGGAGCTTTGAGGGAGATAGGAGGAGTAACTTACGCAGGCGCCCTGGCCCTGGCCGCTCAACAGTAGTTGCTGCGTACTTGCTGCACCAGGCTTGGTCCATCTGTGGAAGCTGCTCAGGAGCTGTAGGCTGGCTTTACTCAATGCTACTTACGAATTTTTAAAAATTTGAATTTCAATGTTTGGTCTGAGGCCAAAGGTCCGTTTCCACCCCCAGAGGTGCAGCCGATCTTGGGCCTACTCCCCAAGCCTTGGCCTCCTTCTCTGTGGAACAACAGACCCCGATCTGTCTACTTTGGAGTACTGTAGGAAGATCAAATATGATCATACACAAGAAGCACTTGGAAAATAGTGAAGTCCTGTGTAAGGGTTAATATTAGTTTTTAGTCAAGAAGTAAAACCTTGTGTACCAAATAATTCCAACAAAATATATTCAACATGTGTGTAGCACACCAGTTCTTCCACTCCTTCATCCAGGTTCTCAGATCTGGTCCCATCAATGACCTCTCTGCCAATCATGTCCCTCATAAGCCTTAGACTCCCATCTCTGGCCCTGGGAAAATAGCATATTACCCGCAGAGGCGCTGGAGGGATACATGGTAGAAATCATTGTCTGTTCCTGGGAACCCCTGCCTCACCTCTTCAGTGATTCCCACAGCCTCTGAACTCATCCCCTGGCCTTTATCCTCCCTCCCCTACAACCTATTCTGCACAGAATGGTCAAGGATGCCTCCTCCAACATAAGTCAGACCCCAACATTGAGCATCTAGCAGCTCCCGCGGGACTCAGGGCAGGATTCGAAGTCCTCACCGCACCCGCCTGCCAGGCCCTTGAGCTCCGCAGTGCCTCTTTCCTGACCGCGCCGCCTCTCATTCTCCTCCCCTCTGAGGGCGCTGCACACACAGTCAAACCTGTGGGCAAGGAAGGTGTCATGGGCGTGAAGGCCACATCAGAAAGACTCAGGCCCCACCCCACACCCACAAGGATGGCTGTGATAAAAAACAGTCACAACAATAAATGTTGGCAAGGATGTGGAGAAACTGGAACCCCTGTGCACTGCTGGTGGGAAGGTCAACGGTGTGGCTGCTGCAGAAGACAGACTGGCAGTTCCTCAAAAAATTAAAAATAAATCAACATATGATCTAGCAATTCTACTTCTGTGTATACACTCAAAAGAATGGAAAGCGGGGACTCAAATAAATATATGTACATTTGTGTTCATAGCAGCATTATTCCGAGTGGCCAAAAAGTAAAAACAACCCAACATTCATTCATGGATGAATGGATAAACCAAGTGTGATCCATCTATACCTTGGAATATTATTCAGTCATAAAAAGGAAAGAAGTCCTGACCCAGGCTACAACTTGGATGAACCTTGAAGATGTCGTAGTAAATGAATAACACACAAGGGCACAAATGTAGTCAGATTCCATTTGTAGGAGGTCCCAAGAGTATTCAGATTCATAGAGACAGAAGATGGGTCTCAGGGGCTGGGGATGGGTAAATGGGGAGGGAGTGTTTAATGGGGACAGAGTCTCAGTTTGGGAAGGTGAGAACATTCTAGAGACAGATGATGGCTGCACAACAATGTAAATGTGCATAATGCTACTGTACTGTACACTTAAAAATGGTTACAAGGGCCACACGCGGTAGCTCACACCTGTAATCCCAACACTTTGGGAGGCCGAGGTGGGTGGATCACGAGGTCAGGAGATCGAGACCATCCTGGCTAACACAGTGAAACCCTGTCTCTACTAAAAAATACAAAAAATTAGCCGGGCATGGTGGCAGGCACCTGTAGTCCCAGCTACTCAGGAGGCTGAGGCAGGAGAATGGCGTGAACCCTTGAGGCGGAGCTTGCCGTGAGCCGAGATCATGCCACTGCACTCCAGACTGGCAGAGAGAGTGAGACTCTGTCTCAAAAAAAAAAAAAAAAAGAAAAAAAAATGGTTACAAAGATAAATTTCATGTCATGTGTATTTTATGACACACAAAAAAAGATATTGGAGAAAAAGAAAAAGACTCAGAAGCCAATATGATGAGGCCCCTACTGGCCAAAGGTGGAGAATTTGACTTCCCTAAGGATAACACAGGTAATGACTGCCATCCGCTGAGATGCACTGGAGATGGTCACGTTCACGAGTCTGTAAAGATTAAAACAGAAATCTAACTGACCACATCTGAGGGACATTGCTGTGAGCATTTATGTGGACATATAATTTCATTTCTCATATGTCGACAAACAGGAGTGGAGAGTCAGTGGCAAGGACCTGTTTAACTGTATAAGAAACTGCTGAATTGGTCTCCAGAGAGGCCAGCCTCCCTGCAAAGCCTCCAGCAGTACATAAGCATTCCTGTTGGTCCACACCTTTGACAACACTTGGCATTATCAGTCTTTTTAACTTTACCCATTCTCAAGGGAGTGCAGTGGTGTCCCACTGTGGTTTTAATTTCCACTTTCCTAAAGCCTGATGGTGTTGAGCTTATTTTCAGGCACTCAACAGCTATTAATAATCTTCTTTAGGTAAGTATCTGTTCAAATCTCCTGCCCATTTATTATTTGCTAACGTTTTTAAATTTTTAATGTATTACTATTATTATTTGAGACAGGTCTTGCTCTGTCACCCAGGCTGGAGTGTAACGGCACAATCATAGCTCACTGCAGCTTCCATCTTTGGGCTCAAGTGATCCTCCCATCTTAGCCTCCTGAGTAGCTGGGACCACAGGTGTGCGCCACCACCACAAGCTAATTTTTGTATTTTTTGTAGAGATATGGTCTCACTATGTTGCCCAGGCTGGTCTAAAACTCCTGGGCTCAAAAGATCCTCCCACTTCGGCCTCCCAAAGTGCTGGGATTACAGGTGTGAGCCGCTGTGACCTGCCTGCCCCCATTTTTAAATTTGGTTATCTTATTATTGACTTGTCAGAAATGTTTTAAAAAATGTATATTCTGGACAATTTTGTTTTTTTACCAGGTACGCATTTTTACAAATACTTTCTCCCAGGCTGTGGTTTGTCTTTTCATTTTCTTTAAATGCTTCTTTTGCAAAGCAAAGCTTTTCATTTTGGTAGAGTCCAAGTGATCAATTCTTTTCTCTTGCGGTTTGTGCTTGTGCTTTTGTGTCCTGTGGAGAATTTGCCTATCCCAAGTTTATTTCCACTTTCTCCATTGTTCCTTCTAGAGGGTTTATGGTCTTGGCTCTGTCATTTAGCTTTATGGTCCACTATGAGTGATTGATGGGTCCCAGGCTGAGAAGGGCCTGTGTGGTTCCCATGAGCTCCTAATGGCATTTGGGGAGATTAGAAAGAGCCAGCATTCCAGGTCGGCCATGGACAATCATGAATCATGATGTCACTAATTCTCCCTTGCAGGATTTTACCATCCAGAAATCATTTTCTCATCTGACCTGCACAACATCCTGACACGGAAAGAAGATTGGACCGGACTTCTCCATTCTGTTGTGCAGGGCAAAGAGGCTAAAACACAGAGACATTCAGACACCTGCCCAAGGCCACACAGCTGAGCTAGGATTTCTGTCCTGGTCTCTGCCTTTCTGCCCCAGGGCAGACCCCTCACCCCTCACTCACCACAGGTTTCTCACCTGCTTGGAGATTACTTGGTACCTGGGTCAGGCCTTCTCTCTCAGCCTGCTGGGTAACCTGGCAAAGCTTGGAAATTGCCCCACTTTTGTGTCCCTGTATTTGTTCACGTGACAAACACTGGGATCAGTGTACTGGCTGTTGGGGGATGGGTGCAGACCACCTGGCTGAGTCGGGCTCACAGCAGGTCCTCACCAAGGCCTGGTGAGCCTGCGTCTTACGTGGTAATTGGTTTCCGTCAGGGTAGCAAGCTGAGCCAGGACCCTGTTGTTGGCTATGCCAGGGCTTCCTGCTTCTCCCGCTAACATGGCATTATCAAGGGACTTCCGGTTGTCAAGACACCAACAGGATCAGATGGCACACTTAACACAGGGTGGCAAGAGGAGGGTCTAGTCTGGATGGTGTGGTGTAAGGGGCACAAGGAAGGGTCTAGTGCCTGGGTTTGCTGCAGCTGAGCTCTTACCACCTCTAGTCCTTATGGGACAAGGTAGGCAGGTGATTATGGCAGAGAGAGAGAGAAACAGAGAGAGAGACAGAGGAGAGAGGCAGATGGCGAGACAGAGACAGAGAGACAAAGAGAAAGAGGAAGGAGGGAGAGAGAAGGAGGGAGGGAGAGACAGAGAGACACAGTGATAGGAGAGAGAGAGAGAGAGAGAGAGACAGCAGAGGGAGGGACGCTCAGCTGGAGGACACTCCAGCTCCCGGCAACCTCGTGGGGAAGAGCCAGGGCACTGAGGACCTGATCTTGCTCTTCTCCCTCCTGCTACTCTCCACTGGGTTCCCTTCTGGACAAACCTGGCTGGAAGGCACAGGTTGCAGAAGTCCAGAGATACACCCATGCAGGTCAGCACAGTGGAGCAAGGGGCAGCAGAGGGAGGACGTGGAGAAACAGAAGTGGAAGTGGAGAACTCAAGCTACCCTTGGGTTAATGCGCTATGAGTCACCCCATGATCACTAGACCTATAAGTAAGCATATAGAGGAATCCCCCATTTCCTCCCCAAAAGGAGGGGAATATAAGTAAATTCCCACTTTGAGTGTGTGTGTGTTGGGAGGTAGAATAGGAGGATTTCTGCACTGCAAAGCAGCCTGCCTCCAGAGGCTTGCAGGCAGAAGCTAGAGGGAACTTTGGAGTCAGAAGAGACTGGACGCAAGGTGTGGGCCTTCCAGGGAGGCTGCATAGGATGGTGGAAGATGCCCAGCTTTGGACCAGAGAGATCAGGGTTGAAACAACAGCTCCCCAGCTGTGGGATCCAGAGGCCAAAGATGCCCCCGCTTTGAGGCTTCTCCGCCACATCTACAAAAGGGTAAAGCCGCCTGTTTTCAGGGGTAATTGGAGAGATCATGCTAAGTTGAATGAATGAAGTGCCTGAGAGTTGCTAGTCAGTGCTGTCAACCTGCAGATTCCTGAGAGGCATCAGAGAGCAGGAAGCCCCAGGAGAGGCATGTGGCTGGAGCTGCCCAGGACTGGAGAGGCGACAGAGCCCCCAGCCTTGGTGGGGAGGCATTCTTCAGCAACAGAGTTTTGGGGGCCCAGACATTTGAAAAACATTTCAAGACATCTAAAGAGCTATGAAGACACGTGGCTTTGCTTAGGCCCTGACTGGAGCCGCCTTTCTTGTGGGATTCGGCCCCGTTCGCTCTCCGGGCCCAAGGAGCCAAGAGGGGAAAATGAAAAACAAAGTTTTAAGGAGTTATCGCAGCTTCGTTCCTTCCTTGCTGCCTCTCCTTCCCTTTCAAGTTGACAGAAGAGAGCTTCTCCCCCTCCCAGCTTTTGTGCAAATGTGAAATGGAGCATTTTCGCCGTCTCGGGCACCACATTTGATTCCGATTTGCACCTGGAGTGTGATGACAAGCACCCTTGGCCGGTAATGGACGAGGCCAGGCTCTAGGCAGGGGAAGCCCCAGGCACCGGTGTTATTAGTCTTGCTGCTGTAGCTATCACCAAGCGGGCCAGCGAGTACTAGCAGAGTCCCAGCGCCATGGGGGGTGGGGAAGCAGGAAGCCACATGGCCACTCCACCCTAGAGGGTCAGGGGTCACTGTGGGGGAGCAAGTGACCATGCCAGGCCAGGTATGGACAACCCTGTGCGTGGACTCTGTGGGCAATTAGATGGACCAACAAGGGGGAGGTAATGCAGCTGCTGGAGTGTCTCTAGCCAAGGTAGTTTGGACAGTGGTGGGGCTGGGGAGTCTGGTGATGGTTAATGCATTTGCCTCTGTCCTAGGGGACAAAGTTACCCCATTATGTTGTAGACCCTGAATCCAATGCCATTCTCCTCCCCAGGTCTTTGCCCTGTAACCTGGAGGTGTCTTTCCACTCTGGCTCTGCTCAGCCTGTGACTTTCTTTTGCCAATAGAATGAGGCAGACATGAACGATGTCAGTTTCGAGTCCTGACCTCTTGGAGCCTTGTGTGTTCCTTTGAGCTCTCCGGTTCCTCCACTCCCCACATGAGCCTGTGCCCAAGCCAGTGGGCTGGAGGAAGTGATCCCCACAGCACAGAGCCACATCCTCCCATTGTCTCAGCTAAGGCTTGCCAAATCTGCAGAGCCCCCATGGTCCCTGGTCGGTCCCCCAGCTGACCATAGACACCTGAGCCATGAATGGTCACCATCATACCCCACTGAGTGTGGGCTGGTTTTGTTAAGCAGCAAAAGCTACCCGATGCAGAGGCCTGCTGCAGGTGAGTATCCTGGCGATCACCTGCTACTCCTTTGTTACCTGTTCACCTTCTCCATCGGGCTGAGGATGCTGATTACCTCCAGGGCCCTTCTACCCCAGGGCACCCAGACTTTCCTCACCCCGACTTGAGCCCACCCCCAACCACAACAGGACAAGAAGCCACATTGAGAAGCAGCAGCACCAGGGACCTGAAAGCATGCTGCCTTTGGAGGTCCGTGTCCCAGCTCTGCCACATGCCAGCCATGGGACTTGGGCAAGGGACTTAGGCTCCTGATGGATGACCTGTGCTGTTAACTAGCACCTGGTAGCCAAAGTTTCTATGCAGGCTACACTTGCCACATATAAAGTGCTGGACATACACTTTATGTTGGCACTCAGCAAGTGAGGGCCCCTGGCAGCAGCCCATTCAAGAGTCAGGAACAGCAGCAGGACCTCAGGCCGGGCTCTCATCCAGCCTCTCTGTGCAGTGTGCTACCTGGCTGGGCTGGATCTTTCTTCCCTCTGGGAGAGTGAGCAGGAGAGACGTTGCCAAGTGCAAATTTGATAACCAGACACCGCGCTGGGGCTTGCGGACAGCCCAGCCTGCCTTTGATCCCAGGCTGTCTGGGCTGGCTGCTCTCTAGCCGCCAAGGGTCTGTTTTCCATTTTGAGTTCAGCTGGGCCCGCCCGTACGGAAGATCGGTTTTCAGGCCCCAGCAGACAAAGTCATGGGCAGGAAGGAAAGGCACACCCTTTTCCCTTTCTCTGTGGTGGTTCCCTCAGCTCCCCTGGCCCCCAGGAGCAAGAGGAGGGCTGCTGGAAAATTTTCCCATGGGATGGAAATTTTCCCAGATGCTGGAAAATTTGCCGTGGGTTGGAAACAAGGATGCTCCCAGATGGGAGGAGCTCCCAGAGTGGCTCTGCAGGGCCTCAGCACAGTTGAGGTCACCAGCTGCATGGTAATGTGCAGAGCCTGGGTGCCAGGTCTCCATTAGGTTTCTGAGAGGTTTGGCAAAGCAGCAAATGAGGATTCTGAGGGTGGGAATTAAGTTGGTGAAGGAATAGGAGGGTCTTGACCTTGGCGGTTGCTCAGAGCATACTTGTTGAATAAATCCATGGATGGGTGGAAAAATAGGTAGATGGGTGGATAGCTGAGTGGGTGGGTGGATGGATGGATGGGTAGGTGGATGGATTGGTTAATGGGTGGATAGATAAGTGAGCGGGTAGATAGATGAAAGAGTGGATGGGTTAAGGGATGGATGAGTGTGTGGATGGATAAGCGGATGGATGGATGGGTGAGTGGGTGGATGGGTGGATGGATGCATGAATAGGTGGATGGATGGATGGATGGATAAATGGGTGGGTGGATAGATGGATGGATGGATAGATCGATGCGTGGGTGGATAGATGAGTGGATGGATGGGTGAGCCGGTAGATGGATGGATGGATGGATGAATGGGCAGATAGATGGATGGATGGGTGCATAGATAAGTGGGTGGGTGGATAGATGGATGAGTAGATGGGTTAATGAATGAATGGGTGAATGGATGGATGAGTGGGTGGATGGATGAGTGGATGGATGGGTGGATGGATGCATGAATGGGTGGGTGGATGAATGGATGGATGGATAGATAAATGAATGGGTGGACAGATGGATGGATGGATGGGTGGGTGAATGGGTGGGTGGGTGAGTGAGTGGATGGATGCATGGTTGGGTGGATGGATATGTAGGTGGATAGTTGAATAGATAGATGCTAGATGGATGAATTTCACCCTGCTTTGGCTCTAAAGAAGAAAGGATCATGATGTTCTCATTGACAGAAGGATAGTCATAAGCCTTGGCCTGCTCTCCTCTTGGGGTAAAACAAGGTAATGGTTTGAGAGTCATGTGGGATGACAATGTGTGTCATAAGAAGAAACAGAAACTTGGAATCAGACTTGGAATCTTGGCCAAACTACTTTCTCTCACTGTAGACTTGGGCAAGTCCCCAGATATCAGGTTGGAGAATGAGGGGCCTTGTCTCTTTGCTTGCCTTTGTCCATGCATCACTGCCACAGAATTAATTGTGTCCTCCTCCCTCACCACCCCAATTCATATGTCAATGCTCTAACCTCCCATGTGACTATATTTGGAGGTAGGGCTTTGGGGAGATAACTGAGTTTAGATGAGGTCCTGAGGGTGAGGTCCTTGTGGTGGGCTTAATGCCCTTATGGGAAGAAAAGAGACATCAGAGCATGCACTCTCTCTGCCATGTGCAGACACGGTGAGAAGGTGGCTGTCTACACGCCAGAAAGACTCCTCACTAGGAACTGAATTGGCACCTAGACCTCAAACTCCCAGCCTCCAGTACTGTGAGGACATACATGTCTGTTGTTTGTCTATGCTGTCCAGTCTGTGGAATTTTCTTAGGGCAGCCTGAGCTGACTCATCTGGCACACAGTAGCAATGAAACACGCATTTACCACCCAGCACAATCACTCTGAACCTCCGTTTGTTCAAGTGAAAAATGGGGACAGTAGTAGCCACCCCCCTCCTGGAGGGTGTTGTGAAGTCAGCCACCGTGAGTGGAGCTGTAATGGCTGCACACGGTGACACTCTTTCATTTCATTTTATTTTTTCATTAAAAAAAATTTAGAGATAAGTTCTCACTATGTTGCCCACACTGGTCTCAAACTCCCGGTGTCAAGCAACCCTTCCACCTTGGCCTCCCAAAGTGCTGAGATTACAGGCATGAGCCAAAGCGCCCAGCCAAGATGACACTATTTTAACAGGTTATCCTATCCTAATCATTAAATAAAGGACCTTAAGCGGCGTGGAATCAGTAACGACATGCCTGTCTCATAATGGGCGGTACATTTCAAGACAGGTCTTGCTTCCTTCACAGGATGACTGCAGGTTAGCCAGGTGGGTGGTCTCAGGGGGGGCTAGTCCACTCCATGCTGCATGGGGACCTAGTCTCTGATCCTAAGTGCAGCCACCATGTCTCTCCTCGTGGTTCCACGATGGCTACCCCTACTCCACCGATCTTGTCACACCACAGCGACCAAACAGGAAGCAAGGGGGACTGCTGCTCTGGCCAAGGGAACTCTCCCTTTCACTGATGAGGAGAGAAAACGTTCCCAGATGTCCCACGTCTCATTGTCCTGACTTGAATCACAAGCCCTTCTGGAAGGGATTGAATTGCCATGACCTTACATCAAGGATCGGTGAACTATTTCTGTGAAGGGCCTGATGGTGAATAGTTTTGGCTTTGGGAGCCATATGATCTCTGACTCAACCATGAGATTGTAGCACAAAAGCAGCCACATGCCGGGCACACTCGTGCCCACCTGTAGCCCCAGCTACTCCAGAGGCTGAAGTGGGAGGATTACTTGAACCCAAGAGTTCAAGATCAGCCTGGGCAACATAGCAAGACCCTGTCTCTTAAAAAAAAAAAAAACCAGCCACAGATGATGCAAAAATAAATGGATGTGGCTGTGTTTCAATAAAACTTGATTTACAAAAATAAGCAATGAGTAAGATTTGTTCCACAGGCCAAATATAGTTTGCTGATCTCTGCCTTAGACCAAATGATACTCACCCCTTGGGGCTGGCCAAATTGCAACCAGTGAATCTGCCAGAAGCGTTTAAGCCGGCCCTGCATCTCCTGGGTTGGGAGGAGCAGTGGCCAGTGCTGCCTGACCTTCCAGCAGAGGACTTCCCATGCCTCCATTCTGGGAAGCAGAGAGGGACCAGCAGCTGAGTGTGGCCTGGATGGGACACAGAGGTGGGGGGGCATTGCTGAGGCCGAGCCTGTTGCACATATTGGGAACAGCAGAAGGGACATGTAGGGCATAGCTATGGAGACCCAGGGGCACAGCGTGACTGTTAGAATCACCCCGACTCTTGCCAGTGGAGGGATGTCCCTGTCCCTCCTCTGGGGGCTGATGCCTGGGCCCGCTGTGCATCTGGGATCTGCATTCTCACATGCTGCCTCAGTGGCTCTGAAAATCAAGTAAATCTGGAAACCCTGGTATGCTCTCCTTTTATTCTCCAAGGAATTCTTTGGGACAGGTGACAGTCTCTCTCTTAAAGTTGGGGAAATGGAGGCACAGGGTTGTGAAGGTGCATTCAATCTGAGAATTCACCCCATGTGAGTCTGCAGATGGCAGCGTCTGCTACCAACCTGGGTGCAGAGTCGGCAGCCCAGAGAGTCAACCAGAACCCTTCTAGAGCGCAGTATGGTGTGGTTTTGAGCACTCAGGCATGTTTCAAAGTTCTGGCCCTTAGACCTAGTAATTCTCTTCCAAAGAGCCGTTCAGGAAACAGGGATGTAGAGCCAGAAACATCTACATGTTGTTCATGTTTTTATCATGATGTATTTACCATGATTGTACAATCCTTTTTATTTTGAGATAATTGTTGATTCACATGCAGTGGTAACAAATGATTCAGAGAGATCTTATGTACCCTTCACCCAGCTCTCCCTATGGTAACATCTTGCATAGCTAGGAGGAGGCCAACCAGGAAATCAACATGCTAGGAGACAGTCCATCACCCTATTCCAATTCTCGGTTTTGCATGGCAGTGTGTGTGCGTGTGTGTGTGGTGTGTGTGTGTGTGGTGTGTGTGTGGAGGGTATGTGTGTATGTGGTGTGTGTAGTGTGTGGTGTGTGTGTGGTGTGTGTAGTGTGTGTGGTGTGTGTAGTGTGTGTGTGGTATGTGTGTGGTGTGTGTAGTGTGTGTGTGGTATGTGTGTGGTGTGTATAGTGTGTGTGGTGTGTGTGTGGTGTGTGGTGTGTGTGTGTGGGGTATGTGTGTGGTGTGTGTAGTGTGTGGTGTGTGTGTGGTGTGTGTGTGGTATGTGTAGCGTGTGTGTGGTATGTGTGTGGTGTGTGTAGTGTGTGTGTGTGGTGTGTGTGTGTGGTGTGTGTGTGGTGTGTGTGGGTGTGTGTGTATATTGTGTGTGGTGGGTGTAGTGTGTGTGGTGTGTGTGTGTAGTGTGTGTGGTTTGTATGTGGTGTGTGTGGGTGTGTGGGTAGTGTGTGTGTGGTGTGTGTGGTGTGTGTGGGGATGTGTGTGTGTAGTGTGTGTGGTGTGTGTGGTTTGGTGTGTGTGGTGTGTCTGCTTAATCTTGTGCAATTTTTTTCACATGTGTAGCTTCAAATGGCCACTGCCACAGTCAAGATACAGGGCACTGATTTTGAAAACAACCATTTGCAATAATTTGAGTATTTGTCACAAGAGAAATTGATATAAAAGATTCTGGTGCTTGCTGGGCGTGGTGGCTCACACCTGTAATCTCAGCATTTTGAGAAGCTGAGGCGGGTGGATCACCTGAGGTCACGAGCTCGAGACCAGCCTGACCAATATGGTGAAATCCCATCTCTACTAAAAATACAAAAATTAGCCAGGCATGGTTGGGGGCACCTGTAGTTCCAGCTACTCGGGAGGCTGAGACAGGAGAATTGCTTGAACCCAGGAGGCGGAGGTTGCAGTGAGCCAAGATCGTGCCACTGCACTCCAGCCTGGACGACAGAGCGAGACTCTGTCTCAAAAAACAAAAGATTCTGGTGCAGTAATTCAATTATGCCCACGTCCCGCTTCTTCTGTGGCTCCCGACGTAGCAGAGATTCTTGCACCCATTTTACTGAGGAAACAGGATCAGAGAGGTGATGCTGGGGGCCCAGGGCCACATCCGCTTTTGACTGGGGTGGGGGAAACGACAGAGTCCACCTCCTCCCACTGTGCTGTCTTTCCTGGGATGTGTGGGGCAGGGAGGATGACCCGCCAGCAGTGTGGGGAGACACAGGCCATCTCCAGCCGTCCCGCCCACCAGTGCGCTGTGTCTCTCCCGCCTCTGGATTGTAGAGTGTCTCTCTGCACAACACACTCACACGGAGGCACGGGGAAGGGCAGCAGCGAGAAAGAATTGCAGAGGAAGAGGCAGGGGTTTCTGCGGGAGCTGTTCTGGGCGTCGCTCCTGTATCGCCCAGGTCCTCCCGGACACTGCTGTCAATGGGTATTTGGTTCTTTCCCGTCCCTTCCCCGGAGGCCTGGCCTGCAGCTCCCCGCAAGGCCACTGCGTGGCGCCCTGTACCCCAGGCGGGACGGCCGGCGCCGAGCCCAGGATTCGTCCACGCCTCGCGCAGTGGAGCTTACGGGAGATGCGCGACCGTCATCCTTCCCTTCTGGTGACATCTTCCCAGGCCCTACTTTCAACACATTCTATAATTTCTCTAATTAAAAAAAAGATTAACAATGGAAAATCCCCTTAGGAAGAGATTATTAATGAAGAAATTGTGTTCACTTTCCCATTCCAACGATTGCATGAATGTTCGTGTGCTGTGTGGCCTCACGGGGAGGGTGCTGTTTATCTTTGAGGCACTGGGCCGGGGGCGGAACCCAGGGTCCATTCCTGCTCCCTTTACCACCAGCTGGGTGGCGCCGGGCAAGTCCCTCTCCCAGCTGTGCCCCTGGAGTGCACAGGCCCGTGCTCTGGTTCTCTGTGGAGACTCCCGGAAGGCAGTCTGAGACTAGGTGGAGGGTGCAGGCACCCGGCTCATCCCCAGAACAATGGCAAGACCAAACCCAACCAGTGACATTGGTAAGGAGAGAGCTCCTGTTGCTTTCTTCCAAGGAAGAGCTCGCAATCAAAGGCGGGGCTTGCTGTGCACGTGTGTGCAGAGAATGGAGGAGGCAGCAGAGGGCTGGATTCATTGAGCTCATGAGTCGTTGAAAGAAATTTAATTTTAAAAGACTAGTTCATTCCAAAACATTCGCTGAGGACCCGCTATGTGCTGGGCCAGGGGCCAGCGCTGGAGGCAGGATGACGAGACAGGCTCCTGCTCCCAAGGAGGTGTTCGTCACCTGTAGGGGACAGACAGAGGAATCTGGCGTGGCACCCCTGCTGGCAACCCCGAGGTGGAGGAAAGCATGGAGGGGTATGAGAGGCCCCGACCCATCCTCAGCAGGCCAGGGAGGCATCCTGGAGAGATCCGAATCTTAAAGGATGGCTGAGGGTAGAGAACCGAGTAGACAGGGAAGGAAGAAAGAGCATCGGCGAAGGCCGGACAGAGGCTTGCCAGGTGCAGGGAGCAAGTGCGTGCATTTGGGGTGGAGGGAGGGCCTGGCTGGAGAGGTGGGGGCTGACCGTGGGATGCCCTGTGCACCCTCAGCTCATGGGCTCTGGATCCATCTTGAACAGCTGTGCAACCACAGATTTAACCCTTAAACACTGTGAGCCTCAGTTTCCTTCTCTGTAAAATGGAGATGATAATCTCTCCCTATAGGGCTGGCATCTGGAGGGAATGTAAACTATGGAGTGCTGGGCATGGGGTCCGAGGAGGCACCAGCAGGGATGAGCCGCCTCCTGCTCTCTCCCTGCCCCAAATAATTGTCTGATCTCACCTGAATGGGGAGCAAGATGGTACTCTTCCTCTGACAGGCATGGCCCAGCCCACTTTCTCTCTGCCTGGCAGCTGTAGCTTGCTTTATGAATCAGACCTTCCATAGGGGTCATTCTCCTGACCCCTATCCTGCCCACCTGTGATCTTCCTGAGTCACCAGCAAAGGCCTCATAGCCACACAGGACCCTGGGGCCCACAGTCTCTGTCCCCGTTTGGAACACTGGAGCACGCGTGCCTGACCCGTCCCTTTGCACTGAGGGCACCAGTGCTCTCCTGCCCCGGGCCTGCTGGCTGCACAGGTGGAGTCTGGGGGTACGATGGGTCACAGAACCAGAAGGCAGGACACCTGGGGACACCAGGCAAACAGGTTCCCTTCTTGAATTGGGTGGGCCGGGGTGCCCACATCTGCAAAATTAAGTGGTTGGAAGAGGCCAAGTCTGCAACTCCGTGTTCTAGGTGTCAGTGTTTGTGTTCAGGGTCAGGTGACACAGACAGAGAGACAGACATTGAGAGAGAGAGGGAGAATGAGCCTAGATGTCAATGTTCTCAGGCCTGATTGAAAAAAAGAGTAGGAAGCAGGAAGACTTTGGGGTCAATACGCACTGTGAGGGGAGGGGCTGCTGGCCCCCGTGTCTGGAGCTCAACAGCTCCCAGTGCTCTTTCTGGTCTCGCCTTCCATGCATTCAGTAAGCGCTGTTGCACCCCTGCTGGGCGCTGAGCGTGTGCCGGGCACAAGGACGCTCTCGAGAACAGGGCAGTAGGTTCTGCCTGCGTGGAGCTTGCCTCCTATCACAGGACAAGGGATTTATGAAAACTGCAGCCGCTGTAGATATGACAGGAAGGGAGGGGATGATGGCAGGAGCCCAGCAGAGGAGTTGGGAGCTTGTGGGCCAGGCTGCAGGGCTGAAGGAGCAGGCAGGGTGCAAGCTGAGCAAGGACTTCTGGTCGCCCAGGGAGCCACCTGGGACCACGTGTTGCAGGCAGAAGCAGCAAAGGCCCTGGGGTGGGTGGTGCTGCATGTTCTGGGACATGCCACGGCCGTGTGGCTGCAGGTGCTCTTGGGGGGTTGAAGTTGGGTCGCAGGAAACTGGGGTTGGATCAGGCAGGGCTTTGGGCCAACATGTGACTTTTGGGTCTTTCTCCAAACTCAGGCATGGCAGGACCTTGAAGAGCAGGGATGTACTCACCTGGCATTTAGTGACCGTGTGACTGTATTGACACGGGAGGCTTCCGATGCCCTGCTGCAGGGCCTGGAGCTCACAGCTCTGCCACAGCATCTGGCCCAGGCAGGGAGGATGGCCCTGGAACTCAGGGCTGTCAGCAGAAAAGGACCAGGTGGGGGTCCGTTTTGGAACAAGCCCTGCCTTGGTGTAGAGGACAGATTGGAAGCTTTAGGAAAGCTCCATGTGCCCCTGAGGAACACGAGGTCTGCAATGGGTGCAGCACTGCGCCCGCATCCATGTGAAGAGCACGAGGTCTGCGATGGGTGCAGCACTGCTCCCGCATCCATGTGAAGAGCACGAGGTCTGCGATGGGTGCAGCACTGCTCCCGCATCCATGTGAAGATCACGAGGTCTGCGATGGGTGCAGCACTGCTCCCGCATCCACGTGAAGATCACCAGGTCTGCGATGGGTGCAGCACTGCGCCCGCATCCATGTGAAGATCACGAGGTCTGCGATGGGTGCAGCACTGCGCCCGCATCAGTAGGGTCGGGTTTATGAAGCAGCTGCTCAGCCCCTTCCTGTCCTGGTAAAGTGTCCTCTGCTCATTGCATCGGATTTTGACAGAGCTGTGCCCAGACACCCCCTACGGTTGAGGCTGGGCTGTGGCTCCTCTCAGTTCTGTGAATTCTTGCTCTTTATGTTTTGAAGCCGCACTGTGAAGTGCACAAATCGCCCTGTATCCTGGGTGGAGCGGCCTGGCAATCGCTGTGCACTGAGGTATGCTACCAAACCTTAAAGCCCCAAAGGTATCTGTCTGATACTAGTATAACCGCGCCAGCTTTAGGGGCTAGTGTTTGTGTGATGTATCTTTTTCTATACTCTAACGTTTTCTGGATCCTTATATTTAAAGTGAGGCAGGAGAATAGGGAATTGGGGTAGCCAAGGGCTGGGGCATAAGGAAAGGAATAGCAGGTGCAGCTGGTTCACGTAAGCCAGAGAATTGTAGGGGCAGCCGGTTCTAGACAGGACTAGGCGGCACCCAGGCCACATCCTCACTCCTGCAATAACAAGACAGAAGTTGCCAGCAGTCTCTGATGGACCACAGGCCAAGTCTCCACTTCAACCTCTGATTGGTAACAAGCCAGTCCTTCATAGGGTATAACCAGTTCGAAGCCTCTAAGGGGCACCTAGGGGTGTTGCCAAATTCTTTTGGCTTTATAAAAACCCTGGGGACCATCGCAGTAGAAGAGGCCCTTGAGCCACTTGCTCGAGCCCGTTTCCACTCTGTGAATTGTACTTTCACTTCTTCAGTAAATCTGCGCTTTCATTACTCTTTCTTTTGTTGCTTTGTCTTTTGTTGCTTTGTTCTCTTGTTGCTTTATTTGTGCGTTTTATTCAATTCTTTGTTCAACACACCGAGAACCTGGACAACTCATAGTCCAGAACTTCCATCTGGTAACAAAAGCGTGTCTTTTTTTCTTTTTTTTTTTTTTTTTTTTGAGACAGAGTCTCGCTCTATTACCCAGGCTGGAGTGCAATGGCATGATCTCAGCTCATTGCAATCTTCGCCTCCTGGGTTCAAGCAATTCTCCTGCCTCAGTCCCCTAAGTAGCTGGGATTACAGGCATGCCACCACGCCCGGCTAATTTTTGTGTTTTTAGTAGAGACGAGGTTTCACCATGTTGGCCAGGCTGGTCTTGAACTCCTGACCTCATGATCCGCCTGCCTTGGCCTCCCAAAGTGCTGGGATTACAGGTGTGAGCCACCAAACCCAGCCCAAAAGTGTGTCTCTTCAGGCGGTGTCTGTGTTTGAATATGGTCTGCTGATCCCTGTCTTTTGAGTATTAATCAATTCACATTTAATGTAATTATTGAGCTACTTATGTCTACCACCTTCACATTTGTTTTCTAACTGTCCAACCTGTTTTGTTCCTTTCCCCCCAACTTGTTTATTGCCTTCTTCTAGAGTCATTACTTTAGGTCAATTTCCCCGCCTCCCACGTATTAGTTATTTAACTCACTGGTTATCTTATGATTGGTATCGTTCTTGGTTTATCAAAGTCAAATACAAACAAGTGCTTTCACCCATTCCCAGTATGCTAGGATTTCAGAATGTGCCAACTCCATTTAACCTTTTCCAGCCTTTTGTGTTATTGTTATTCATCTGAATTTGGCATGTATTTTAAAAGTAACCATTGTCTGTGCAATCCATGTTGACTTAGATCCACCTGCACATTTGCCCTCTCTGTTGCTTTCACTCAATGCTTTTTTTTCTTTGTTTCTAACTGACGTTATCTCCCTTCTGTCTGAAGCCTCTCTTTATTGTTTTTTGTTTGTTCGTTTGTTTTTTCTTTTTTGTTTTTTCTGCAGGTCAACTCACAGCTGAGTCTCTCCAACCTGGTTCACTAGGAAATGTCTTCATGTTGCTTCATTTGTGAAGATCTTTTGCTGGGTATAGAATTCTGAGCTCACAAGGGGCTTTTTCTTCATCACTTTAAAGAAGACCTTGTTTTTGTTGAAGTCAACTGCCGTCTTTTGGTGGCCCCTTTTGTTGCCCGTGTGATATGCCTTCTGTTTGTTTGCTTGTTTGCTTGTTTGTTGGTTTGTTTGAGACGAGTCTCGCTCTGTCGCCCAGGCTGGAGTACAATGGCATGATCTTGGCTCATGGCAACTTGCACCTCCTGGGTTCAAGCAATTCTCCTGCCTTAGCCTCCCAAGTAGCTGGGATTGTAGGCACATGCCACCACGCCTGGCTAAACTTTGTATTTTTAGTAGAGACTGGGTTTTACCATGTTGGCCAGGCTGGTCTTGAACTCCTGACCTCATGATCCGCCCGCCTTGGCCTCCCAAAGTGCTAGGACTATAGGCGTGACATCACGACCGGCTGATATGCCTTCCTTCTGGAATGGAATGTGTCTGCATTTAACGTTTTCTCTGTCTTTTGTTATCAGCAGCTCCACTGCTAATGTGTGGCTTTCTTCGTGTCCTTCTTAAGGTTTTTTATGGTTCTTGAATTGGTAGCTTGATATGTTTTCTTCCATTTTGGGAAATTCCCCGCCATGATTTCTTCAAATCCTGTTTCTGTCCCCTCTTCTCTTCTGAGACCACAGTCCGTGTATGTTTCGCCCTCACATCCTGCCCCATGCTTTTATTATTTTTTTCTCTGCTCTGTGTTTTCCATTCTTTTTGCTCTCCTCATTTTAGCCTCACTATTTTCTTTTATTCTTAGTCCATTTATGTTGTTATTGCCTCAATATTTTCTACCCCCAGCGCCCACTCCATTATCATTTCCTGCTCTGCCCCACTGTGAGAACTGGTGAGTCCATTGATCAAGTCCTTCATTTCTGTTTTCAGACTTTTCAGTTCTGCCAATGCTGTTGACTGGTCTTTCTAGATTCTTCTTATCCCCCATCTTGTAGTGGGGACAGGAGCTACTGAAGGAGAAGTAGGACCCGGGGCCCAGATGGGAGTGTCAGGTGCCCTCGGGGGATGTGGAAGGGGACACGCGGGGCTGGTGACACCATGCAGGAAGTTTGGAGTGCCGGCAAAGGGGTGAGGCAGGCTGTCTCAGCCTCGATGAATTTGAGGGGCCAGTGGGACTCCCGGGTGGAAGAGCCCTGGAGGCAGCTGGAGCTGGCAGAATTCAGGAGGGAGGTGAAGTCTGGAGAGAAGGTGAGTTGGCCCCAGGTGAGCAGGAAGAGTGGGAGGAGCAGGGAGAGCAGGTGGAGGAAGGGAGAGTGAGGAGGAGCAGCCGGGGAGTGGGGGACCAGGACAAGGTGGTGCTTTGGGAAAGGGAGGGAGGAGAGCGTTTCCCAGCAGAAGTAGGAACTGACAGCGTGAACTGCCACAGAGGGCTCCCCTGAGATGAGGGCTCCCCTCCCCAGGACACGGAACAGGGTGGGCCAGGCCAGGAGCCAGGTTTGAAGTTGGCAGTGTTGTCACATGAAAAGGGAGTGGCCAGGGGATGGGGATGCCCCGTAAACAAGAGAGCAGACCTGGGCTGCCCGTGGGGACCCTGAGCCAAGGCTACCCGGACAAGGACCCGAGCATAGCCGGCAACATCACAGAGCACTTGCCAACAGCTCCTATGGATGCCGGTCCTCCAGGGCCCCTCCTGGCCCGGGAATCTGCCCTCTGAGCTGCAGGAACAGCCCCAGGACCCTGGAAGGGAGAGGGCAGTGGAGGCGGGTCACACCTGGTCAGGTTTCAAGGGCCAACTGCAAAAGGGCCCTGAGGCTGGGTGGAGGAGCCACAGCCCAGGAAGGCTGCAGGCAGGAAAGGGGTGAGAAGCCCCTTCCTGAGAGTGGCATTGGCCTCTGGTTGTGAAGTGGTCCAGGGCCAAGGGAAGGTTTTCCCTGGGTGGGGGCAGCACAGGCATCTGTGGTCCCATGGCTCCCCCCGGCCTTTCACCTGCCTCCGTGGGACACCGGGAAGGTGATTTGCTCCTGCCTGGCTGTGGTTTCTCTTCTCCAAAAATTGGTGAAGGCAAATAACATCCACTTAGTCTGCCTCGTGAGATGCCAAATGCAGGAGTCTCCACCTCTGCTAAGGGCTGTGCTCACGTGTGAAGAGTTGCTGCCGCCTGTGTGCAAAGAGTACAAGAGTTACGGAGACATCAAGGACGGCCACTCCCAGAGGAAGGAGGGTGCATGTGTTCAGCTTTCTTCCCCTCCACACACCACACACCACGTGTACAGGCATGTGTGTATGCACATAGCACAGACCATGCACACATTCACTTATACACTCATACGCACAGGTACACACATACATTTGCACACAGACCTATACCTGTGCACATGCACACATTGACACATACATACACCCGCACCTGCACACTCAGGAAAGTCTCCTTTCTTTGCAGACACCCTGGCCCTGTCGCTGGTCCCTGGCAGCCCGGGCCTCTTACCCAGTCCTCTTCTCCACTCTTAATGCAAACACTTTCAAAATGAAGGAAAGGAGATATTTTTTTCTAAACACTTAAAATCCAATTTTAAAAAATCAATGGTCCACTTAATCAGCTGCAGCCCTGGGGCGGGCAGGGCAGGCGGGGGAGCACTTGTGTTTCGTCCTGTGCATCTCAGGCTCTGTGGCTTCCTCCTAAGGCAGAACCACAAGCTTGGGTTCCTCCTGACACTGCCCTCCAATGGAGGTAGCAGGGGTTAACTGGCCTCCCCGAAGTCACAGGCCTTCTCCCTATTCCCTCTTATCGGGTGGATGACTCCAACATCCCCAGATCTGCTTCCCCAGGGAGCCCAGGTCAAGTACCTCCTCCACCAGGAAGTCCTCTTGGACTGTTCCAGGCAAGTCCCCTCCCTTGCACTCCTGGCCAAGTGCTCCTTCCTGTCCCAGGATGACCACACATCCCCATGCTCTCAGGGCAGGACTGGTGGCCTGCAGCTGCCCCAGCCTATGTGTTAACAGCGTCCCCATTAGGATGACAGATCCAATGGACACTCTGCTTCCCCACACTGCCACTTCCTCCTTCACTCTCCCAGGATGTGGTCACCATCGGTGCTGGGCCAGGCTCTGTGCTGGTCTCTGGGCCATGGGGAGGAACAAGACAGTTGTAGGAGACACTCAGGTCTGTGGACGATGGCTCTCACTGGCTGGAGCATCTGCAGCAGCCGCAGGTCCTGGGCCTGGAGTGGGAGGCTTTGCAGGAGGCCACCAGGAGGGACCCCGGTCTGCCCTTCCATGAGGCCTGCCCACCCCTCAGCCCATGCACCTCCCTGGCCCAGAAGCTCGCTCCCCAACCAGCCCCATGTCCTTGGCATTGAGCAGGAGTTTGGCTCTGCCCCTTCCCAGCTGTGGGGCTTTCAGCAAGTCACTGTCACCTCTCTGGGCCTCAGCCTCTCCAGCTGGAAAGTGGAACGGATAGCAGTGTCCTCTTTGAAGTACACAAGTCAATGGCTTTAGTATACAGCAGTCCCCCTTACCCACAGTTTTGCTTTCTGAGGTTTCACTTACCCGTGGTCAACCTTAGTCCTAAAATATTAAATGGAAAATTCCCAAAATAAACAATTCACGTGTCTTAAGTTGCATGCCATTCCGTGCCATGTGATGAAACCCCATTCTGTTCTGCCCAGGACATCCTCCCTTTGTCCAGCATCTCCATGCTGTACATGCTACTTTGCCCAGCCATCATCTAGTAGCCACCTCAGTTACCAGATTGAAATCACAGTGTACGTAGGCTTCAGTGCCATTCAAAGCTTCCACTGGGGGTCTTGGAATGCATCCCCCATGAATAAGGATAACACCACTATATTCACAAATACCCGCCACCATCACTGCAGTCCATTTTAGAACATTTTCATCACCTCGAAAGGAACCCCCCACCCCTGAGCTATCACCTCCCCACCCTCCCCTGCCCCAGTCTGAAGCAACCGCTCATCTACTTTCTGTCCTGCAGACCCCCTGTTCTGTTCCTATCATATACATGGACCCATATAGCATGTGGTCTTTTGTGACGGCCCCTTTCCCTTTCCATGATGTCGTGAGCTGCGCCCGTGCTGGAGCAGGCATCAGTGCTGCCCTCCTCTTGGGGTCAAATAGTCTTCCTGTCTGCACAGACAACAATTTATGTATCCATTCACTGGATGATGGACATTTGGGACATTTCACTTCTTGGCTATTATGGATGTTGTTATGAACATTCAAGTACAAGTTTTGGTATGGAAGTTGTTTTAACTTTGCTTGGGTGCATGCTCAGAGCGGAATTGCTGGGTCATAGGGCAACTTTATGCTTTCCTAAGTGGCAGCACCTGTTCTCTTGTACAAAAACAAAAGTTTTGCAAGTAAGAAAGCAGTGCTCTTAGGAGAATCGCTTGAACCTAGGAGGCAGAGGATGCAGTGAGCTGAGATCACATGCCATGGCACTCTAGCCTGGGCAACAGGAACAAAACTCCATCTCAAAAAAAGAAAAAAGAAAGAGAAAAGGAAAAGAAAGCAGTGCTCGAGGACCTTGGCCTTGTACACAGCGGGTAGGAGAGGTTGGCAATTTGTTCCAGTCCTTCCTGCTTCTCCTGCTCCTGGGTCCCCACCACTGCCCTGGCCTCTGTGAGGCACTTGCCACGGAGCAGGACCAGCTGCTCCCCACCCCACCTCTCCACTCTCAGGCCCGACTGCCTTCAAGGTACCTCCATCCCATGGCTGGAAGGGCCTTAGAGATGCACTGGACACTGCTCTGGGGACCCAGGGAGATGAAGTGGCTTGTCCAGGGCCATGCAGCAAGTTAGTGACAGGCCCGGGACACGGAGCCACATCCCTGTGCGTGTCTGGATCCTTCCCGGGTCCATCTGTCCACACTGGCCTCTCTGCACCCCACAGACTGGCTCCTCCTCAGACAGCCTCTGCTCCAGAGGGTGGAGATGGCGTTTCCTGCCCCTGTCTCCCCTTTGGGGCCAGTTTGGAGTCAGGCCCCTGGATATTCCATACTTGCTGGTCTTCTGGAAGCAGAAACAAGCCTGCAGGGACCCTTCTGTCTCTTCCAGCCTGAAAGCATTGCTGGGTGCGAGAAGGGCACCCACATTGGTCTCCTCAGACTAGTGCCTGGGGAGCATCTCAGACGCCTCTTCTTAGATGCCCCGACTGGCCATGTACCAGGCAGCGCTCAGGGACAGCGTGTGCGGGATCGGGGTGAGGGAGAGGCTGGGCTGAGGCGCATGTCGGGGGGCAGGATGGTGGAAAGACCAGGAGGCAGAGGAGGGCAGGGGAGCGCGGCCTTGGCTGCAGGCCTGCTGAGGCGGATGGGGGATCAGTGGCCCTGGACTCAGTTTCCACTCTGGTCAGGAGGGTTGTGGCCATTGGTTAATCCTCCTCTGTCACTCTCCACATTCCCCCTTCTTCCGGTGCCCCTGCCTGTCCCTCCTGGCTCAGGGCTACTGCCCTGCTCTGAGGACGCAGATCTGACCGCCACCCTCCAGCCACACCAGCAGCTCCCCTGCCAGGGGGGACTGGAAACGCCATTCACACCCCATGTGGGTCCCCGGTTCTCAGACACGTGGAAAGAGGCTGAGGTGGCCTGCATGCCTGCCCCCTGGGGTCCTTGCACCCAGCCTGCATCCCCACCCCGTGCTCCATAGGGGTCTGGTTTCAAGGCGGATCCAAGCTCACCTCAGGGCCTTGGCACATGCTCTGGGCTGCCCATAGCATACTCCCACACTGGTGTCTGGCTCCCCCTGAACCCACTTCCCCTTGGCAGGCTTTGTGACCCCCAGCCCTGGATCAGAGCCCAGGAATGTTCATTTCTCAGCCGCCCCCTTCTAGATCAGGCCCAGCAGGGCCCCTTCCTGCTGACCCCCAGTGAGGGCACCTTTTCATCCGTGAGGCCAGAGGTGGGTCTGCCCTAGCACCAGGATCCCTGGGGCCTGGCACAGAGTCCAGGCAGAGTGTCTAGCACAGAGTGGGCACTCAGAAGAGGGCTGCTGGATGAATAGACGGAGAAAGAAGAGGAGGGAAGAGTGTCAGAGGTGCAGATGGCTTGGAAATTCATTGAGCTGCCCAAAGGGGAGGTCTCCCTCCAGGCAGTTGTGCGGCAAGATAAAGGCAGCAAAGCTCTGGCCTGAGGAGCCCCCAGCCCAGCAGAGGATTCTATGACTCAGGAGGCCCCAACACAGCCTGGGACCAGGGCACTGACCCTCGAAGAACCAGCAGATGTCTCTCAGGCAAGGAAGGTCCAGGCACGGGGAACAGCAGGTACGAAGGCCCGGCACCACTGTGTGTGGGCATCAGTGCAGACCAGCCGGCACGAGCTGAGTGGGTCCCCCTCACGCAGGGATGGCCTCACGCGGGCAGCTGAGCCTCGGCCCTGAGGAGAGGGTTTACACCAGACAGTGGCAAGCGATACATGTCCAGGGTTCTCGTGTCCCCGGGTGTAGCTTCACCAGTGTGCTGCTGCCCAGAAATGGAAGGGAGGGCCGGCCAAAGGCAGGGCAGGGGGCTGCAAAGGGCGCCACTTCAGGGGTCTGTGAACCTGCCAGAGAGGTTTTTAGGCTGGGTGCGCGCTCTGTCATCGTAAGGGGTGGGGTCAGTTTCCATCAGATTCTCAGAGGCATCCTGACCCAGGGAAGGCACAGGCGTCACCCACTGCCAGGCAGCCAACCCCTCGCTGAGCAGCAGCGACCCACAGACCTGCCGCTGGGACCCCGTCTCCCTCCCTCCTCACTGTTTGAAGCTGCCGGGCCTAAGCCCCTCTTTGGCTTTTCTCCATCCTGAGTCTGGTTGGCATTCCCAGCCTTCCCACCCTGAGAACCCTCACAGCTGAACTTTGCTAGAGCTGAACTCAAAGTCACTTCAAGGTAGTTTTGATTTTTTTTTTTATTAAAAAAAAAAAAGGAAAAAACCAAGGGTGGGTTATTGGGGGGAAGAACCCGAGCGGGCACTTTGCAATTATCCTTTGAAATTAGAATATTCAGCAGATGTTTCTATTTTCACCCAGTCCTGCTCTCTTTCCAACCCAGCGAAATTAGTTCCAAAGTCATTATTCACCTAATCACAGTAATAGTTTAACATCCGATCTGCCCTCTGTCCAGCCGGGGAGGAGAAGCGGCCAAAGCTCTATTTTGGCACTTCCTTCCCACTGATCCCTTAATTAACTGGCATCTGTTCTAATACAAGTTAAATATTGCAGTTGACTTTATTTTCTCTCTCCCGGTCCTCCAGGTCCCGGGACAGGGTAGATAAAGTGAAACACATTTGCTTCCCCGGGCGGGAGGAAGGGACATGGAGCTGCCTCTCTGGAAATGCGGCCCATCAATCATAAACTGATTACAAATTCGTCACCTTGAATCAATTTCTGTTCACAAGTTCAAAAGGCACCCTGAGCTCGGGGCTATCTGGAACATTCTACATGTGGAGAGGATTAACATTTGGTCGAATGCCTCCTTCTGAGAAGGAGCCCAGTTCGGCGCTCGGGAGGGGGAGGCAGGTTCGAGACACGGATCGCATTAACCCCACAAAGCCGGCGTTCACTGCGGCTCCTACCCAGCCACCCCCTCCCTGGTGGGGGCATTGGCGCTGCCGGGAGGGGTCCTGGCACCTCTTTGTGGACCTAACTGGGGGTGGGGAGGAGAGGAAGAGGCAGAAATTATCTTGTCCGATGGCGTCAAAGCACATTGCAGCATAAATTCTTCTATACGGAATTTTCCTTAAAATGATTATCCTGAAAGAGGCAACTCGTGTGAGTGTGTGTGTGTGTGTGTGTGTGTGAGACAGAGAGAGACAGGGAGAGAGAGAGAACGAGAAAGAGCGAGAAAGCGTTGCCACATGAGCATTAGGGAAGGGCCACTTCCCTGCCGACTTCCAAGTTTGCCCCCGAGTCCCTAAGAGATGCCCTCAGACTTCCTGCCCCCACTCCAGAACCTCAAGAGGAGGCATGTTTTGGGGGAACGTCTTGAGGTTTGGTCAGAGAAGTTCGCTTGTGAAGCAGCCGGGCCTCTGGACCGCCTCCCTCGACTTTGAGGGGATGGGGTGGAGATGAAGTGAGGTGGCGAGGGAGGGGGAGACACCCCACTTTAGCAGCCCCCCTCTTGACTTCAGGTCAGACACGGCTTTAAAGAACATCACCACACTCTTCTTAGAAACAAAAGTCCCCTCCCTCCTCCCTCTCTCCTCACCCAAGTGGGGTCCCAGGCATGGGGAGCACCCAGCACCTGCCCCTTCTGCGCATGGGGGTCCAGTGACTCTGGCAGCTCCATTCAGGTCTGGGGAGGGAAAACAGGAGGAGCTGGGTGCAGACGCCCTTCAGAGGTGGGGGCCAGGTGCAGCCCCCCAGCTCTCCCACCCCCTGCAGGTGTGGCCTGGGCAGCTCTGACATGCTCTCAGCTTCTGGAGGCAAGAAGTCTCTCCTGGGAGGTGGCTGAGCACTTAGAGACACCCCTGCAAAGTGCCCGCGGCACGGTGGTCATTGCCCAGGGTTGGAGGTCAGAGGTCGGAGGTCAGAGGTCACTGCAGTGGACTCAGTGCAGCGCTGTGGCACCGCCCAGCAGCACAGCCCCAGGACACATGAGCGATCCCTCACAAACCTTCCAGGGGCACCCACTGCCCCGAGGGAGCCCGATGCTGGCCTGGGAGTGGCCAGGGAGGAGCCGCTGCCTCTGAGTTTTGGTTCATTTTCACCTCTGCTGGTGCATTTGTTCTGTCCTCTTTTGGATGAGCGTGAAGAAAAAGTTTCTGGAGTTAAATCCACGTCTGCAAAAACACTGAAATCTTGCACTGTCGTCCAGCCTGGGCTCTGCCACGCCCAGCTCCGTGGGGACCATGAGCAGGCCCCATGCTAGACCTGGGTTGGAGAAGCCCTGCTCTCACTCCGGGTCCTTATTGCTCAGACGTGAAAACTGAGGCCCAGGAAGGAGGGCTCTCAAGATCCCTCGGGCTCATTCCTTGAGCGAGGGAGACAAGAGCTGGCCCCTGACCTCCAGCCAAGCCCTTTTCCTCCTGTCCCCTGCCTGTGGCTGCTGAATTGACAGCAGGCTTCTTGCCTTCTGTATCCCAGATCTCCTCGTCGGATGTAGGGATGTTCAACACAGCCAGTCTTCCCATTTAACTCCAAGCACAGCCAGGCAATTTCAGGAGCTAGAGCCCAGTGCTGGGGTCTTGGTCCCAGCTCAGGTGAAAGAGGAGAGGGCAGGATGAATGGACAGGTGGGGACCCCAGGAGGTGGGAAGGGGCTGTACAGAAAGGGAAGGTGGAAAGAGGTGGCCAGGGACTGGGAGGAGGCTTTCTTCCTCTGAGAGCGAGACAAGTGTGGGTGAACCCAGGTAGGGCGTCTGGACGGGAAGTGTTTTCTGGTTAAGACTTGCCTGCCAAATTTCCTCACCAGACATCTGCTCTGCTCATCCCCAGAACACACAGTGTCCAACAGACACAGGTGCTGGGAGAGGGTGTGCTGGGCCCACCATGGAAGCCCTGGCATGGGCCACACCAGAGAAGCCAAGTGGTCTAGACGTGATCCCCAAGTTGAGACTCAGCAGGCAGCTGGACTTAACTCAACAGGCAGGCATCTCCCGCCGGAAGGTGGGAACAAGGAAGGGCAGAGGGAACAGAAAAGCTGGGCCGAGGGAGAGCCTGCCCTCTTCCAGGAACTAAGAGAAGCTCACTGGTATGCAGAGGCTGCGGGACAGGTGTGTCATGGGGCGATCTTAGTGCCTTCACCGCGGCTGCAGTGGGTGAGCTCCAATCTCCACTGGGTGAGAAGCGCTACTGGATGTTCATGAGTTCCAGCCCTTTCTTCCTCCCGAGACACAGCCGTGGGGAACACACACTGCCTGCCCTCAGCAGCTCACAGTCTGGGTCGGGGAGTCAGACTTGAGCCCATGGGGCAGAATACTGGCCCTGGGGAGTTGAGATCAAGGGCTGTGTGTCCTCAGAGGAGGGGGGCTGGCATTACTCATGGCAGAGTCCAAGTGATACCATTGCTCTGGGTGCCAGGCAGGTTCTGGTGGGTGCAGAATTCATTTATCATGGAGGGACTCCTGAGAGGATGACAGGGCCACTTTGGGGGTCCAGCAGTGCTGGTGACCAGAGAGGCAGGAGAGACAGTCATCTTTGTTCTGCAAATGAGCAGAGAGCTGGGAAGCCGAGAGCTGGCAGGGAGGGGGTATTCTGCTGGCCGTAGGGTCCCAGGAGAGGCACAGAGACTCCAGGAAGACAGCTCCAGTTACCACCCACAAGTGGGGATGCTGCAGACCCCAGAACACAGCAGGGACTGGCCAGGCCCCCAGGAGGGGCCAGGTGCACTGAACTGCCCCGGACAGGCCTGGCGGAGGGAGACCTGATGAAGATGCCCAGGCTGCCTGCACACTTTTCTCATTCTCAGTGTTAGATTCCCTCTAGGTTGATTTGTTTTGTTTTCCCCATAATGCTCAAGTTCATTTCTTCACAAAATATCCCAAACGCTGTCTCTGGAGGCAGCCAGACAAAGACTTTGGCCCAGATATGATGATGCCTCAGCCTTCTCATCTGTGTAATGGGAATGAAACTCTCACACCAAATGACCATCCTGAGAATTGTGTGGGGTAAATTCGGGTAAGATCAGCCTGGCTCATCTCAAGTGAGCCCAAGTGTTCCAGGCCCCTGCGTCCCCGTCTGGGTGAAGCCTGTCTGTGGGGAAGTCCCCAGTGAGGTCTGGCAGAGGAGGGGACCCACTGGCCTTGGCTCATCCTCCAGCTGGGAGATGTGACCTCAGTCCAGGAGAGCACACGTGTGGCTGCCTGGCCAGCGCACAGCACCTGAACCATGATTCTCCCTACTCCACATAGCTGCTTTCCAACTCACAAAGCAACCTTCCCACCAAAGGAAAGAACCCCTCAGGCCCCCTCCCTGGCCCTCTGTTCATTTGTGGAGCCGAGACGGGTGACATTTTTCATGACCAATGATGGTTCAGACTTTCCCTGCCCTGGTGGCCACCGCCTGGGTCCTGCACCACAGGGGCCTCTGTGTCTCCCGTTTGGGTGTCAGGGTCAGAAGAGGCTGAGCAGCTCCTGTTTCTCCTGTGGATGTACTGCCTCGGCTGCTGGGGACCTCAGAGCCACATTTTCAGCTCTCCACTAGCAGGAGTGTGAGGCCAAACAGCTTACTGGGTGCTGTTTCTCCCGGTCCTGTTCTCCCATGGCCTCCACTCTTCCTCTAGCCTTTAGGTCACCTCTGTCTATTGTCATCTTTTGCTCCCTTGTTCTAAATGAACTAAGTATAGAGGCTTGTTGATAGATGGACACAGAGAGAGACAGAGAGAAGCAGCAGTGGCCAGCTGCCTGTGGCCCACAGACCCCGGTTAATTTCTTTACAAAACAACAGTAACAAAACATCTGTGTCCCTCCCCTTGTGCCTTGCAGAGGGGGAAGCCTGGGCCTGGAGTCCATGCATGGCTGGGCCTGGGACCAGGCAGTGGAGATGCAGTGCAGACAAGACTTGGCCCCTCTAAGATCACGGCTGGCAGGAGACAGGGACAACGTGGCAGGACAGGTCCTGTCGGTGAAGGACGTGCGGCCAACTCGGGGCTGGCATCTGACAGACCTGGCATCACTTGATGCAGCCTGCCTGGGGCAGGGGCGCTGCCTTGGCTACTCCGTCTGGGCAGGGCAGAGGACGGGGGCTGGCAGGAGGGGGCCTGTGGGAGGAGTCTGTGGAGGCTGTGCCTGGAAAGCTGGGCCCAAAAGCTTGAACCAAAGCACCCTTGGGTGATGGGGACTCTGATGGACATGACATTAAGCACTGTGAGGTCTTGTGCCTCAGTTTCCCCGTGTGCTCAGTGAGGGGCCTGGCCGTTCTTTCTTGGCGCCTCCTGCCTTCTGACCCCAGGACGCCTCCCCAGTGTCCTCCCCAGACGCTACATCAGATGACATCAGCCCCTGTCTGTCCATCTCCCACGCAGCCAGGTTGGTTCTAACTTAATCTGATTTGCTGTTTCACAAAAGCACAGATCCCGCCAGTGTCTGGTCCCTAGGGTGCGGCGCTGACTTGTGTATCAGGAGGGGCTAAGGAAGCGGCCTGAGCTCAGGCACTGGGGCCCCGGGTGCTGGGTAGAGACCAGGCTGGCCTGGGGCTCAGGGCCCACCCCAGGGTGGCCTGGGGAGAGAGGGAAGCTGGTTAGCAATGTTGGGCTGGGGAGAGGTAGCCCAGGATCCCTGGTGGTCAGAGCTAGAAGGGGCCCCACAGGATTCTCTGTCCACATGAGCGGCTCCAGGGCACTTGCTGGAGGTCTGCAGTGCAGGGAGCTCTCCGCTCTCTGAGGCCCGCCCATCCCCAGACAATGCTGCTTGTTAAAATGTCCTCCAGGCAGAGCGAAAAGCTGCCTCCCCGTAGCTTCCCCTCAGCACCACGCAGGCAGTTCCTGGCCCCTGAGGTCCTCCTCTTTGGCCCCCCACCCCAGCCTCAGCTCCAGGTTCCCAGGAGCCTCTGAATGTGGCTCCCACACTGCATGGACGGGAGTTGGGTGCTGGATAAGCCAGGGGGTGCCCCCTCTGCAAAACTTCGGCCTGGCAGGAGGCTTCTTGTGACTTCTGAGGCTTGCCAACAATGTGCGGGGGTCGCCGGCTTTCTGCTGGATTTGCTTTGTAAAGAGGTCTTGGCTTGGGGTCAGCTGACCCCTGTTCCTGTCCAGCCTGCCACCAAGGACTCCGTGTGCCCTGGGGCAGCCACTTAACCCCTGGCCTGTGACGCTGCAGCTTAAAGGGTCTGAGGCCACCCACCTCGCACTCTGCCTGAGGAGCACGCTCAGGAGAGGGAGTCTCAGCAGTTGTGCCAGATGTCACCCAGGTCCAAAGCTGTAGCTTTGCCTCCTCTACCCCGGCCCTCAGTCCCAGACGTGGGAAAGGAAGGGCCCTAATGGCAGTGGAGCCCCCCGAGGCTGCGGCAAGGGGCAGGAGGGTGGTGGGTTGTGGTGGGGGAAGCGTATTTTAATTCTCAGCATCCCTCACTGCTTTCCTCTTCTAGAGACAAGAACAAGCCCAGAGTAAGTGATTTTCCCAGAAAGTTGGGGCATGAGACATGTCCAAGTCCTAAACCCCCATGCCTGTGATTGGAACCTTATTTGGAAATAGGGACTTTGCAGATGTCATTAAGACGAGGTCATCCTGAAATAGGGTGGGTCCCATGTCCAATGACGGGTGTCCTGATGAGAGGAGGAAAATCTGGAAGCAGAGACCCAGGGAGAAGACCCTGCATTGAGAGAGGCAGAGACTGGAGGGAGGCCTAGGATGGCTGGAAACCACCAGGAGCTAGAGAAGTGTGGGAGGAGTCCATCCAGGGCCCCAGAGGGAGCGGGGTCCCACCGCTTCTTGACTTTGGACTTGGAGCCTCCAGGATGCATTATTTGAAACCACCCAGTTTGGGTTGCTTTGTTTGGCAGCCCCAGGAAACGAATGCAGTCGGGTTTGGGATCCGAGCTCTGCCACGAAACCGGCTGTGTGACCTCGCAGGACTTGCTGAACTTCTCTGAGCCTCGGTCCCCTGGTCAAAAAAATGTTGATGCAGCACGTCCCTCACTGGGAGCCGTGGGGACGAAACAAAATGCATAAGGGGCACACGGCGAATGGGTGAGCTGCTTTAGACAGTGGGAAGCCTCCTCCAGCCCCGCCGGGGCCCGGGGGTGCTGCTCTGGCTGTGGGTGGGGGTGGGGTGTGCAAGGGAAATGGGGTATCAAGAGGCTTCCTCCAGCTCCCTTTGATGTATACAACTGCCTCCAAGGGCACGTGAAACCCTTTGAGCCTAGGAGTTGGGGGCAGGAGAACTCTGAGAAAGGCTGCCCCTGGCAATTAGCTGCAGATCAGGTTTCTGCCCGGCGTCCCATGGGTCCTGTCAACAGAGGAGAAAGCCTGGAGCGGGGCCGCAGGTCCTTGGTCCACACATCCCCCTGGTTTCTCATGCCCACCCCTCTCCATGAGACTCTGCTTAGTAAATATTAATTTACCCTCAATTACTGATGACAGGTCGAGGAAGGCCTTGCCCGAGCCGCAGGATGAGGCTGTGTCCTTCAAAGCCGGCACCAAGCAATTAGGGCTAATGGTGTCTGCAGCAGGAGGCCCGTGTGGCTGGCCCCGTGGCCCATCCCCTGGCGGCTACCATGGCAGTGGCCCTGCTTTCGGGTCTGGAGAGTCGTCTCCCACCTCTCTTCCCAGGAAGGACAAGAAAGCAATGTTGCCAAGTGCCCAGGAGGACCCAGAGCTGGGAGGCCTGAGGACCCTGCTAAGCTGGTGAACACTGGCAACTAAGAAATGGGGTTCAGCTGTGCCCTGGGATTCCAGAAGCCCACATTTCTGAGGTTTGGCATTGGAACACAGAGGAGTGTAGGAGCCGATGGTGGCACACTGTCACCACAGACGCCAGTGCAGGGAGCTGAGCAGAGAGGGCAGCCCTGGCCTCACCACACCTTGCTGGCTGACAGCAGCAAATCACTGAGCCTGAGTCTCCTTGGCTGTTAAGTGGGGATACAGTGATTCCCTTGTGGGTGGTGGTGAGGATGGGATGAGACCATGGTCTGCTGTGACTCACGGTTGAGGTTCCTGAGTGTAAGTAGGTGGCCGTGTGTCCAAGGAGGCCCGTTCCCATGCCCTGAGAATTCAGAGGGTTTCGGAAAAGGGAACCCCCTATCATACACTGAGGTCAGCTGAGAGGGAGCCTGATTGAAAGCCTCAGAAAATGAATCCAGAATGAATGAACTTAGGAGGCAGGGGGTGTGGCCTTTGCACACCTCAGCACCATACAAAACCACCCAGTTCTTGCAAAGGTGTCAGCTCACCTGCTATAACAAAGTCCTACAGACTGGGTGGTTTAGAACCAGCAGACACTTATTTGTCACAGTTCTGGAGGCTGGAAGTCTGAGACTGAGGTGCCAGCATGGCTGGGCTCTGGTGAGGACCTTCTTCCAGGTTGCAGACAGCTGCCTTCTCATAGTATCCTCCTGTGGTAGGAAGAGACCTCTCTGAGGTTTCTTTAAAAGGGCAGTGATCCCATTCATGAGGGCCCATCCTCATGACCTGATCTTCTCCTAAAGGCTTCACAGCTTAGTACATCACTGTGGGGATTAGATTTTCATGGATGAACTGGAGGGGGGACACGAATCTTCACTCCCAAGCAAAAGGGCTGTCCAAGACCTCAGAATTCACCCTGCAGATGAAGAACACAGCCCCAAGGTGGGAACCCTGGGATGGGGTGGGCACCGGGCCAGGTCCTGGCTGCTGATCAGGGTGGCCTGCCCAGTGCACCTCTGCAGGTGACGGCACTGTCCTGAGGTCCTGTCGTCCCCTCCCACCCATGCCCCACCACGCCCTGCATCCTGGGACCTCGGTCTCCCACTCTCCCCACTGGGGCTCTGGAAAGTCAAGGTCACTGGGTGAGCTTGAGGATGCCCAACTCCTGCACGGTTCGCATCTGGCCCCTGGGACGGGCATCACTCTCACACCCACCCTGCTGCCACTCTCTGCGCACTCAGCACCCGCGGGAACCTGAACATTCCGCCTCCCAGGATGTGGCCAAGCCAGGGCTGGGACCCAGGGGGGCGGACAGGATTCAGCTTCCCCGGGGATTCAGGGTGCTCAGGCTGAAGGCCAGGCCCTCAACCTCTCAGGATGGGACAGAGCAGGGAAGGGAACATTCACGTGGGCTGTGTGAGTGTTGGGAGGTGCGGTGCATTGAATTATGTCCCCCACATATCCATGTCCATCTGGAGCCTTAGAATATGACCTTATTCGGAAATAGGGTCTCTGTGGCTGTGATGAAGGTGAAGATAGAGATGAAGCTGTCTGGAGTAGGGTGGACCCAAGTCCAGTGATGGGCATCATTCTAAGAGGGGAGGAGGCATTGGGGTGCTGTGGCCACAGCCCAGGAATGCCTGGAGGTGACAGGAGCCGCAGAAGCAGGGAGAAGCCTCCCTCAGCCATTCAGGGGGGCTCCGCCGACACCGTGGTCTGGACTTCTGGTTCCCGGGGCTGGAGAGGATCAGTGTCTGATATTTGAAGCCCCCCAGTTTGTGGTTATTATGGCAACCCCAGAAAATGAATCCAGGAGACACCGAGGCTGGCACGGGTTCTGCCCCCCACAGAGAAGATTGCCCCAAGACAGAGTCCCCCCAGGATTGCCCCCCAGAGCCAGAGCCAAGACCAGAGGTCATATTCCTGTGATTCCCATCTCCTGGGCTGTGGGCACGGAGCCCCAGGTCTGGCACAAGGTCCTCACTCGACTCAGCTCCTCCCATCCCTTTTGGCAAACAGGAATAAGAATTCAGTAAAAATGCAGGCCGGACCCTGCCGGACACAAGGGAACGTCTGCTGCTGGGTGCGTGGTGGCTGACGCTCCACCTCAGCCATTTAAAAGGATTCATCAATGGCATCCTTGCAGCCACTCTAAGAGACACTTTATTATTACCCTGTTTCACAGATGAGGAAACCGACGCACAAGGGGGTGAAGCAGCTTTCCCAGGCCACACAACAGTGTGTGGGGAGTGGCGTCCCACAGCCCTCCCCTTCCACACTTTCCTAACCTCTCAGCTGAGAAGGTGAATTCGTACTGATTAGAGTGTCAAGCTATCCGGTTAACAAGCCAGCATTCGCGGAGCTCCTGTGTGGAGCGCTGGGGACGGGCGCAGCGGGGAATTGCACAGCCAGTCCCGGCAAACAGTGAGGAAACGTGCAGCCAGCGGGAGGCCTTCTTCACAGGAAGAGGCAGGAGAGGACTCAGGGGGGCATCTCTAGCCCTCCACGCCTGTGTAGGGAGAGCACGAAACGGGTCACAGGCTCACAGGAGGAAGCGGATGTCACTTCACTCCCTCTCCAGCTGCCCTGTCCTCCTGGCCTTTCTGCCCCTGGGTGAGGCTAGCAATTCCACAACCTCTCCCCATTCCCCAGTGCCCGGGAACAGGGTGTGGCTCAGCACCCACCTGTCATGTTCTCCCCCCAGAGACTTGGCCCTCCAGTGGGCCGGGGAGGGGGGCTGCTAGTGCTGCGCTGAGTCTCCTTCCCAAGGCCTGGCAGCACGGCTTTCCTTTAGGCGGGTACGGTGCCCCAGCAGCTTGCAGGAAACTCCTTTTTGCCTAAGTTAATCGGAACCGCTTTCTGTTGCTTGCAGCCAAAATCCTATCTGGTGCAGCAAGGCCTCCTGCAGGAAGCAGAACCTGAACTGGGCATTCCCTGGTGGTAGGACCTGTCCAGTTCAGGAGGAGAGGAGAGAGCCACCTGGCAAGGGCAGCTGCCCAAGTCAAGGTGTGGGGTGAGGGCGTGGGATGTGGGTGTGGGGTGTGGGCGTGGGGTGTGGGTGCACTGACCATGTCCACAGGGACTGAGGAGACCATCTGGGAGGGCTGAGACCACAGGGAGGCAGGGCAGTGGGGGTGAAGAGACCCCTCCTGCCTCACCCCTTGCCACCCCTCCAACCCCTCAACTCCTGCTCAGCTCGGTGGCGGGAGCGCCACACTCAAGAGTCACCCACCCAGTATGGACTGCATGTCATGTGGACAGTGCGTTGAGGGCAGGAGCCTGGGCTCTCACATCTCCGCATCCTTCACACCTGAGCCCCACCCAGAGTAGGTGTGGGGCAATGCTGGGTGCATGAAAGAATCTAACTGTTGCAAACACAGGAATGATGCCACTGAGCCATCACTCTCACAAATGTCCAAGACTAATTTACGTGGAGGTACACGGCCCATGCTAAGTTGATCGTGGGATGGAAAGTTGGTCCTCCATGCCCGTGAGAAGTGCCAGTCCCGCTCCTGCAGCCCAGGGGCATTCAGTCCCTGCCAGGAGCAGGGCAGAGTGGAGCAGACAGCTGGAGACCATGTGGACAGATGTGGAGCTTGGCCACTGCTGGGGATGGGGGGAGGTCCTCATAGGAAGCCTATACAGACATCATGTGTCTGGGAAATGCCCTCGTCCCAGAGCCGTGTCAGGCCTGTGGTCTGCAGCAGTCAGAGATGAAAGCCAGTCCAAACTTTGACCAATGTCCCACTCTAACCACCGACAAGGTCAGGGCTGGGGCCTACAGAAAGAGCAGACCCCAAGACCCCACCCTGCCCCCCAGAACCGGGCAGTGCAACCGGGGCAGCAGGACCCAAGCACACGAAGGGTCAAACAAAGCAACAGATCTGAGAGGCAGCTCCAGGGAGCCACAGAGATGTTTCCAAGACAGGGCATGATGGAGGCCTAATCAGTGCCACACAGCCCTCCTGTCCCTTCTGCTCCCTCTCTGGGGCTCCCTCTTCTATGTCCAGACCCTCTCCTCCCCACCATGGTCTCCTTACCTCCCTGGAAGCATTACGTCCTAGCCACCTGACCTCCTTGTAATCCAGTCCACACTGCTGCTTCAGGGACAGTTTCAAATGCCCCTGGGACGTCCGGGTGCTGTGGCTCCCGCCTGTAATCCCAGCACTTTGGGAGGCCGAGGCGGGCAGATCACGAGGTCAGGAGATTGAGACCATCCTGACTAACACGGTGAAACCCCGTCTCTAATAAAAATACACAAATTAGCCAGGTGTGGTGGCGGGCGCCTGTAGTCCCAGCTACTTGGGAGGCTGAGGTAGGAGAATGGCGTGAACCCAGGAGGCAGAGCTTGCAGTGAGCCAAGATCGCACCACTGCACTCCAGCCTGGGCAACAGAGTGAGACTCCGTCTCAAAAAAAAAAAAAAAAATGCCCCTGGGACATCCAGGTAAACGTGGTGGAATGGAAAGGACCTGGGCTTCCCCTTGTTAATCAGTGAGCACAGAGAACAACAAAACATGAAAACTGGTGAGAGTCTGCCAGCAGCATCCAGGCAATGACTTAAAGGGATAGCTGCCTGCCATGCTCATATTTTCACTGAAGTAAGCAAGGGAAACCGATCCCCGGGAGTCATGGCATGGCTCCTGAACACACTTCTGCATGGTAGAAGTCGTATTGTGGGGAGAGGGCAGGTTGACAGAATCCTAAGCACATCCATTGAAGGCTTATCAGCTTTGGAAGTTTCTATTGTCATATCCTTAAGCTCAGAATTAGTAGGCCATGTCCAGCCTACTAATAAACACGTCAAAGGCATTCTTCATTTCTGTGACAGTGTTTTTGATATCTAGCATTTCTTTTAAATTCTTTCTCAGAATCTTTCATATCTCTGCTTGCATTACCCATCTGTTCTTGCAATTCTTGGTCTGATAGTTTCAACATTCCTGCCATATCTGACTCTGATTCTGATACTAGTTTAGTCTCTTCAAACTGGCTTTTGCCTTTTAGTATGCCTTGTAATTTTTATTGGACCTTCCCTTAATCAACCAGTGAGTATAGCAAACAACAACAAAACATAAAAACTGGTGAAAGTGTGCTGCTTTAAGGTATGGTGGAAAAGGGTATGGGTGGACATCCTAGGAAAGACCCCTTGGGAACAAGGGACACAGGGTTTCAAGAGACACACAAAGTTTTTCAGGCCTTACCTTTTTAAATGTCTCCTGCTTATTTGAGAAAATGGCTAAAACCAAGGAATGAGAAACAAGCAAATCAGAGAAAAAAGGCAAAGATGTTGAAACAATCAGAGAGAGGGTAATAGAGGGACAAAATGATTCAAGAAAGGTAGTTGGTGGCCCTGAAGAGGATAACTCAACAATGGAACATAAATTATATTTTAAGATGTAACAGAAGACAATTTCCCTGATATAAAGGAAAGATGAATTTGCCAAATGAGCAGCAAATAATTTTCCAGGGTAAGGTGATGGAGAATGAGCCACACTGATACAAATCCTGGTCAAATTATTGAACTTTGAAGATAAAGAGGCATTTTCAGCCATCCAGGCAGCAAAAAACAAGTTAGGCCGTTATCAGATGACTCCACAGTTTCATTCAATATCACAACACAAACTTCTGGAGGTAAGAACCTGTGGGTGGAAAAGTATGACAATAAAAACAGACAAGTTGCTCAAGTATAAAGGCAACAGGCCAACATTCTCAAACATGAACTAATTCTGGGCATACAGAAAAAATACTTGATAATAAAGTCCAGCTAACCAAAGATAAAAGAAAGAGAAGTTGTGATGAAAGGTAGCATTCAATTTCAGGAGACAGTAGAGCAATGGCTGCAATGGCTAAGGGAGAGAAAAATGTAGCCAAGAAATTCTATACCCAGCTAAGATGGCCATTGGGTATAAAGGCAAAGCACAAGCATTCTCAAGTATGCAAGAATTCATAAAATATAACCTTTATGATTCTTCTTGTGGTAAAGATAACTTTTTGAAAAAAAAAATCTAGTTAAAAAATGGAATCAACTGAAATGCGCATCAACAATGCGCATCAACTGAAATGCGCATCAACTGGACAAAGAAAACATGGTACATATACACCATGGAATACTATGCAGCCACAAAAAGGGATGAGATCATGTCCTTTGCAGGGACATAGATGGAGCTGGAAGCCATTATCCTCAGCAAACTAATGCAGGAACAGAAAATCAAACACCACATGTTCTCACTTATAAGTGGGAGCCGAACAATTATATCACATGGACACAGGGAGGGGAACAACACACATTGGGGTCTGTCAGGGAATGGGGTAGGGGGAGGGAGAGCGTTAGGAAAAATAGCTAATGCATGCTGGGCTTAATGCATAGGTGATGGGTTGAAAGGTGCAGCAAACAACCATGGCACATGTTTACCTACGTAACAAACCTGCACAACCTGCACATGTACCCCAGAACTAAAAATAAAAATTTTAAAAAATGATTAAAGTTTTTAAAAACATGAGATTAGAGAAGTTGTGGTTAAACAAAAGACTGAGGGTAAGCAATCAATTAAGATGTATACACTTTAATAACTATATGAATTAAGATTACAGAATTCATAAATGTTATAAACCTTGACAAAGTAAAATCAATGATACAATAGATAAAAAATCCTGGGATTTTGTTTGAAATTGCATTAAATCTATAGATTAGGAGTGGGCAAACTTTTTCTTAAAGGACCATATGGTAAATACTTTAGTCTTTGAGAACTATATAGTCTCTAGCACAAGTATTTAACTCTGCCATTGAAGTACAAAACCGCCATTGACAATACATCAAAGAATGGACATGCTATTTTCTGATAAAATTTTACTTACAAGAATAGGCAGTCAGCCTAATGGTCATAGTTTACCAACCCCTACTAAATATCAATTGGAGGAAAAGGGACACTTAACAATATTGAGTCTTCCAATCCATGAATATGGTATATCTCTCCATTTGTGTAGATCTTTAATTGCACTTAGCAATGTTTTGACTTTTTATAACTTACATAACTTTTATTAAATTTATTTTGAATTATTTTGTATTACTCTAAATGGTATTTAAAATGTTTTAATTTCAATTTCCATTTTTTTTAAAAGTCAACTTCCAAACCATTGTTAGTATGGACAAATACTATTGAGCTTTTGTAAACTGACCTTGTCAGTATATAAATTATATATTTATAATTCATTCATTATACTCTAGAAGACTTTTGAAGATTCTTTATGGTTTCCTATATAGACAATCATGCTGCTGCAAATAAAGACTTTTTTTCCTTTCCAAAATGCATGCTTATTTTTTTAAAAAATTCTCTTTCTTGCTGTACTGAATTGGCTAGGACCTCCTGTACGATAATAGACACATATGGTGAGAGCAGATCTCTTGTTTTATTCTCAGTCATTGTAGGGGGGATGCATTCAGTCAATCACTATTAAGTATTATGTTGTCTATTAAGTTTTTCATAGACAGCCTTTATCAAGTTAAGGAATATCCTTTCTATTCCTAGTTTGCTGAGAGTTCTTATTATGAATTGAGTTTTGAAGAACGAGTATTGCAGAATGATTTTTCTGCCTTTGTTAAAATGATTATATGACTGTCTCCTTATTCTGTTAATGTGGCAAAGTACATTGATTTATTTTTAAATCTTGAACCAACCTTGCATTCCTAGGATAAATCCTACTAGTCCTTATATACTATTCTTCTTATGTTCAGTTGAATTCAATTTGCTAATGTTTTGTTGAGTGTTTACATATATGTACGTGTGTGTGTGTATATATATATATGAAAGATATTGGCATAATATTTTCTTTTCTTGTAATTTATTTGTCTAGTTTTGTTATTGGGGTAATAATATTGGCCTCAAAAAATAAGTTTTAGCATTCCCCCTTCCTCCTCCTCTATTTTCTGAATCTCTGTGACATTTGTATTATTTTCTTCTTATAATATACTTTGATAAAATTCACCAGTGAAACCATCTGGATCTGGAATTTTCTTTGTAGAAAGATATTTGGTAACAAATTAAATTTTTTCAGTAGTTATAGAGTTTTTCAGAATTTCTGTTTCTTCTTGAGTCAGTTTTGATAAACTACAGTTTTCAAGGAATCTGTCCATTTCATCTGTTATCAAATGTGTTGGCATAGGTTATTTGTAATATTCCCTTATTATCTTTTAATCTCAGTGAGATAGAAGTAAATTCAAAGTAAGTAGAAAAAGGAAGTAACATAGGTAAGAAGAAGTGAATTTAAAGTAAGTAGTAAAAGGAAATAATATCACTCTAAATACCTACATTAGAGAAGGAAAATGGTTTAAAATCAGTGATCTGTTTTTAAATCATTTCCTTCTCTAATATGGCATTTAAAAAATTAATTATATAGGAAGAATGTTTAGTTATATTCCACAAATTTTGAAATGTTTTCATGATAATTTATATTAAAATATTTTCTAATAGGCCAGGCATGGTGGCTCATGCCTGTAATCCAAACACTTTTGAGACTAAGGTGGGTGGATCATGAGGTCAGAAGTTCGAGACCAGCCTGACCAACATGGTGAAACCCTGTCCCTACTAAAAATACAAAAATTAACTGGGCATGATGGCGCACACCTGTAATCCCAGCTACTCAGGAGGCTGAAGCAGAAGAATCACTTGAACCCAGGAGGCAGAGGTTGCACTGAGCCAAGATCATGCCACTGCACTCCAGCCTAGGTGGCAGAGCAAGATTCTGTCTCAAAAATAAATAAATAAATTAAATAAAAGCCAGGCACCATGGCTCATGCCTGTAATCCCAGCACTTTGGGAGGCCGAGGCGGGTGGATCACGAGGTCAGGAGATCGAAACCATCCTGGCTAACACGGTGAAACCCCATATCTACTAAAAATACAAAAAAAAAAAAAAATTAGCCAGGCGTGGTGGCGGGCACCTGTAGTCCCAGCTACTCGGGAGGCTGAGGCAGGAGAATGGCATCAACCTGGGAGGCGGAGCTTGCAGTAAGCCGAGATTGTACCACTGCACTCCAGCCTGGGGACAGAGCAAGACTCCATCTCAGAAAAAAAAAAAAAAAAAAAAAGGATATGGGCCGGGCACAGTGGTTCATGCCTGTAATCCTAGTACTTTGGGAGGCCAAGGTGGGTGGATCACTTGAGGTCAGGAGCTCAAAAGCAGCCTGGCCAACATGGTGAAACTCCACCTCTACTAAAAATACAAAAAAGTCAGCCAGGCATGGTAGCAGGCACCTGTAATCTCAGCTACTCAGGAGGCTGAGGCAGGAGAATCACTTGAATCCAGGAGGCAGAAGTTGCAGTGAGCCGAGATTGTGCCACTGCACTCCAGCCTGGGCAACAGAGCGAGACTGTGTCTCAAAAAAAAATACATATATATATATATATATATATAAATGAATCTTTTATCCAGTTATTAATGGAAATATCATGATTAAAAGTATAATTTTCCTGCATGAAAAGTTTAATAGATGGGATTAACAGCAGTGTGGAGACTGCAGAGGAAAAGTTTAGAGTACTTGAATACAGGTGGGGGAAACCTATCCAATTGTAAAAACAGAAATTGAAAGGATTGAAAAAAAGAACAAAGCATCAGTTCTAAACAATAGAAATGGTTTAACATATGTGCAATTGAAGTTCCAGAGGGGGAAAGAGAAAAAAAAAATGGAACAGCAAAAAAATAGGGAAATTGCAGTTGAAATTTTACCAAATTTAATGAAGAACCTACAAATGAAGTGAGTCAAGATCTCAAAAGTCTACAGATCCCAAAAGCTTGGTAAGCCCAAGAGAACCACCCCTAAGCATGTTACAAGCAAACAACAGAAAAATCCAAAAAATAAAAAGAAAAAAGAAAAGAAAAAATCTTAAAAGCACCAAACGAAAAGTGTACATCACTACAGGGAAGCAACAATAAGAATCAATGATGATGATCTCTCAGCAGATACTATGGAGGCCAGAACATAAGGGCAACATCTTTAAGGAATTGAAAGAGAGAAGAGAAAGAAAGAAGAGAGAGACAGAAAGAAGGAAGGGAAGGGAAGAGAGAAAGAAAGAAAGAAAAAAAAAGAAAGAAAGAAAAGAAAGAAAGAGAAAGAAAGAAAAGAAAAGAAAGAAAGAGAAAGAAAGAAAGAAAAAGAAAGAAAGAAAGAAGGAAGGAAGGAAGGAAAGAAAGAAAGAAAGAAGGAAAGAAAGAAAGAGAGGAAGGGAAAGAAAGAAAGAAGAGACAAAGAAAGAAGAAAGAAACAAGAAAGAAAGAAAGAAAGATAGAGCTGCGACCCCAGAATTACATATCCATCAAAAATATCCTCAAGAAAGACGTTTGCAGATCAAAAATACCCAAGAGAATTTGTTGCCAACAGAGCTGCACACCAAGGGATGTTACAGAAAGTTTCTTGTTTGTTTTTTTTGTTTGTTTTGTTTTTGGTTGAAGAGAAATTATAGTGGGTGAGAACATGGGTCTATAGGAAGAAAGAAAGATCACTAGAAAGAGTACATCTGTGGATAAATAAGAAAGACTACCTTGTACTTATCAATTTCTTTGAAAGTCAATGAGCTATTTAAAGCAGATCTGTCCACAGTAAGTTTCTCTGAGGACGGAAATGTTCCACATCTGTGCTGTCTCACAGGGTAGCCAATAGCCACAGGTGATCACTGAGCACTGAAAATGTGGCGAGAGTGATGGAAAAACTGAATCTTTAATTTTATTTCATTTTGTTAATTTAAATTTAAATAACTACATGTGGTTAGTGGCTATCGTATTGGGCAGTGAAGATTTAAAGCAACAAATATGGTATTGTATTGGTGGGGGCATCATACTGTATACAGAGGTAAGGTAATGGCAGCAGTCCTACAGAGGAGAGGGAAGCTGAATGGACTTGGGCAGTGGTCAGATCCTTACATTGCACATGAAACAGTATAACATCAACTCCAAGTAGATTCTGATTAAGTTAATGATGCATGTTGTAATCCCCAGAGAAATCACTCAAAATAATACAAAAGGACCCTTTTTTAAAAGCCAAAATAAAGGCCAGACACTGTGGCTCACACCTATAATCCCAGCATTTTGGGAGGCTGAAGTGGGCAGATCATCTGAGGTCAGAAGTTTGAGACCAGCCTGGCCAACATGGCAAACCCAGTCTCCAGTAAAAATACAAAAAGTAGCTGGGCACAGTGGCGGGCACCTGAAATCCCAGCTACTCGGGAGGCTGAGGCATAGGACTTGCTTGAACCCAGGAGGAAGAGGTTGCAGTGAGCCGAGACCATGCCACTGTACTCCAGCCTGGGCAACAGAGAGAGATTCTGTCTCAATAAATAAATAAATAAAAGCCAAGAGAAAAATTAAAACAGAATGCTAAACATATTTAGTTAGCCCAAAGTAAAGGAGAAACAGAAGAACAACAGAGGAACAAAAAAATTCAATGAAACAAAGAGAAAAATAGGACAGACTTAAACCTAACCATATCAATAATTATATTAAGTGTAAATACATTTATTAAATGTAAATATAAAAGGCAGAGATAGACTGAAACATATCTATATTATCTGCTTTAGATTTCTAACATCTGAACTATAACAGGATCTCTTTCTAGTAATGCTTTCTTTTAAATTATAGGTCATAGTTTCTTGCTTCTTTGTATGTCTAGTAATTTTTAATGTATTCTGGACATTATAAAATTGTAAATAATATGGATTATGTTATAAGGATGTTGAGCATTGTTCTGGCAGGCAGCTAAATTACTGGTAAATCTTTTTTATTCTGTGGGGCTTAGCTTTATTCTTTGTTGGGGGGGTGTACTTCAGTTTGATCTTAATTCTAAGGCATGGTCCTTCCTCTAGGGTGTGATCCTTACTCCTAAGGCATGGCCTTTATGGGTCTCAACCAAATGTCCAAGTGCTCAATGAATTCTTGGCACTCTAACTGATCCAGAATCCCATGTCTCCCTGCACTTCACAGCCTCTGGAAACCCAGCATAGCACGCAGCTAAGCACTGGATGGACGATCACTGTGGTGGCTTATGAAGACATGTCCTGTACATGTGCAGCACAGCCTGAGACGAGGATCTGCACTGACCTCACGGGGCTGCTGGGGCTGCTCATCTGTGTGTCTCCCTCGTCTGATACGCTGCCCCCCAAATTCAGCAGCTCAAGCTCCAGTCTCTTTCTCTTCAGCTCAGTGAGATTCGGAGCTCCACGTGGGCTCCAGGAGGGAGAGGGCAGACAAAGCTCACCCACCTCCTTTGCTCCTCTTCTCTGGGGAACCACAAACCTGCTCTGCCTGTTGTCCAATATCTGAGCACAGTGGCCTCACATGTTCTCTACCGTTTCATCATTGTTTACACTGGGAGGGAAAATCCAGTACCTGTTATGCCAGAAGTGAAAATCCCAACAAATAACTAAGCTTGAAATTCCTTGTTCTTCTGGAAATGTATATGTATGGGTCCAATCTGGCACATAGTAGGTGATTGACAAATCACAAAAATTCTATGTTAATTAACTAATGCTCATCCCCCATATTTTGTAGTATTCAGTGTTTTCAAAGCATGTTTACATCCGTGGCCTCATCTGCACATCGTGATAGCCCTGTAAGAGGTTTTGGTTCGATATTATTTTCTTAGATGAAGAAACTCAGATTTCAACAGATCAAGTGATTCATCCAAAGTTGCCAGCCGAGTGCGGTGGCTCATGCCTGTAATCCTGGCATTGGGGAGGCTGAGGCAGGCGGATTGCTTAAGCTTAGGACCAGCCTGGGCAACATGGCAAAACTCTGTCTCTACTGAAAATGCAAAAAATTAGCCAGGCATGGTGGTGGGCGTCTGTAATCTCAGGTACCCAGGGAGGCTGAGGCAGGAGAATCGCTTGAGCCTGGGTGGTGGAGGCTGCAGTGAGCTGTCATCGCACCACTGCACTCCAGCCTGGGTAACAGAGTTAGGCCCTGTCTCAAAAATAAATGAATAAATAAAAACAAAGTTGCCGAGCTAGAAAAGGCGTCTATATGTGAAGCCCCTAGGCCGGTGCCCTCTGCACGAGGGACTGCAGCCTTCTACAGACACGATCTCCTGCTTCATCTCTCTCCCCTGTTCTCCTTGGGAAAAAAAAAATGTTCACCATACAGGTTTCTCTCCTGAGCAGTATGAGGGATCCATAAATCAGGAATAGTTAATTTCCCCATCAAAGCTGGTAACATGTGAGCCCCCCACGCCCCAGGAAGCTATGTCATTAGATTATTCAAAATCTATTCAAGTCAGTCTCTAGGTCAAAGCAAATTAGGGGAATGAAAACTTTGAACAAATATCTATGAATTTAAGTGAGGGGAGTGCAACAGATATTCCAGTTAGGTAAAGCAGGAAGGAAAAGAAATGAATTTACCCCAAACCCAAATACACAAATCGTCAACTAAGGCTAATTCCCTTCCACTTTGTGAAAAGTTACCCAGAGCTTCTTGGACTAAGACAGCGGCAAACGCTGCAGGAATGTCTCTTTAGTCTCTGGATCCAATTGGGCAAGATATTGTTTTGTTTCCGTGTCTCCGGTTCTTATCAAAATTTTAGAAGAAGAACACTTTAAAAATGTCCAAAGGTGCCCCCATCTCTCAGGGTGTTTCAGAACAGGCAGCATACGGCCCAGATGCTCTGGAGCTGCGCCGAATATTCACTGTCCATAAAATCAACCACTCATTTGTCTTTGTAGCTGGGAGGTTTCCAAAGAGAACCTTCACCAAAGATTCCAGCTTGGAAATTCAAGCCCAGAGACAGTGACTAGACACACAAGCTTTTTAGCAGATAACACTGCTTTGAAGCAGTTCTTTATTTGTATTAATATCTGTCACTCAACAGATATTTTTGAATGGGCAAATAAAGCCAGGAAAGAATCGATGAATACATTGAATGTATACAATGAATACAACTCGACTGATCCAAAATGATTTTAAAAGCAGGATGATTCCTATTGCATTTTAAAAAACAAAACAAGAACAGCTCTTACCTTACGTTTCACAGGCTTTCCCTCAGTATTCTTTACTCCCAGCTCAGAACTTTAGGGCCAAGATTGGCCCTGCTACCTGGCAGATAGTAGGTGCTCAATAAACATTTGTTGAATAAATAGATGAGTGGATAACCTTCAAAACTGCAGATTCAGCAAGGAAGCCTAGAAAACGAGTTTAGGTGCTTCCCGAAATGGAAATAAAGACTCAATTAAGCACACCCACACCCAGCAAACTCCTCCCCGAGGAACCCCCTGAGCTGACTCGTCCCTGCCCCATCTCCACCGCTCTTTCCCACGGAAGTGAAAGGTCCCTGTGTCCTTTCACTGGACCTGCCTGATTCATATTGAGGGTGGAGATTTGACCAGGGCCTGGCCCAAAGAGAGGCCTGGGGAAGGAGCTATTGAACACTTTACATGAGACAGTAAACCTTACTGTAAATCTTACACCGCAGACGGTGTTACCCATTTCAATGGAAATGTGTCCTGTTTTACAAAATCTAGAGAAGTGAGTGAGTAATTTTTTGTAAAGAGCTTTTTGGACCCAAATCTAATAACACACAACATATAGTAAAATGATATCTATATATAAAAGTATATAAAACAAGTATATAGTTAAGTTTGTCATACATAAATTTATTATTTAATAAGTTAGAGATTAATATATATGACCTATAAATATATAATATATAATACATATATAAATATATAACATAGATGAATAGATACACACTATATAAATACATTATTTATTTCCCTCCCCGCTGGGAAAAAAATCTGATAATTCTACCAGTTTCCATTGGTTTAACTTTACTGATTGGATTATCTCTTGTATGTAACTTGAAAATGTGGAACTTAAAAACATTTAACAAAAGACAGATAGTCTTCCTGGATATTACATGTATAGAGGCAAATTCAAAACAGAAAGCCAATACCGAATGGGTATTAGAAACGAATTGCCTGATTAAATCTTGTCTGAATTATCAGGTACATAATAAGGCAAGTGTTAGCTTTGCAGCAGAGCTGAGCCGTCACTCTGTGTGGCTCGCCTTCATCTAAAAGAGACCAGATACTTCTCGGTGGCAACTAAGAACCAACATTTTTCTTATTTAAGATGATTGGAATGACGGATGCATAAATCATAACATATGAAATTCCCCCCGTCACTTAGACCCCTTTAATACTAAACATTTGTTCCAATTTCTTGACCACCGCTGCACCCGGAGCTGCTTACCAGTTACGCCTGTGCTGATGCAGGCATTTTCTAAAATGCTCCATCACCTTGGCCCTCAAGGTGCTGTCTTGAAACTAGGAGGTCAGGATGTAAATGAAGGATGACTGAAACGCATTGGCTTAATCAACGATGGATGGCATGTGGCAATCATTTTTGGGCTTCTTCTAGATATTTGTAAAGAAGGTACCATGGCTTGGTTGATCATCTGAATATGATTATTTTTGGTGGGGAAGTAGGGGGTTGTATTTGTTTACCTCGCATTTTCTCAGGATTGCAAACTGATCCATAACTCTCCTGAAAGACTCTTAACTTTTAAGAACATAATTTAATGGTCTACATAGTAAAACCCCGTCTCTACTAAAAATACAAAAAAATTAGCCGGGTGTGGTGGTGTGCTCCTGTAATCCCAGCTACTCGGGAGGCAGGAGAATCACTTAAACCTGGGAAGCAGAGGTTGCAGTGAGCTGAGATCGCACCACTGCACTCCAGCCTGGGAGACAGAGAGAGACTCCATCTCAGCCAGAAGTACCCTTCCTGGGGGGCTCAGCCACGCCCACCCACCTGTTCTCCAACCCTAAATGATGGGGTCACACTCAACTTTGAAGCTCATACCTTTCCACCAGCTGCACCCAAGAACCTGGGGACGACCTAAAGCAGTCAGAGGAGGCCTCACATAGGGATGTTGAGAGGCAGCTGCTGTGCTGAAAGGAGCCTCGAACTGGTGAACAGTGGGGAAGGGGACAGACATACGAAGCCAGGAGGCCCCTAGGCAGGGCCTGTACCTCTGAATTAGCCTTCAGGGAATCCAGGAGACAGACACTGCCAGGGGGTGTGTTCCCGATTCCTCTGGGGACTGGGCCTTCAGCTGTGCAGAGCAGGATGGATGATGCCCATTTCAAAGGAGCAGAAACTGAGGCTGGGGCAGGGGCTGGCGTGCAAAGCCTTGGCTTGGGTCCCATGGGTGTAAGCCATGGAGTTTGCGCCTGCTTTCCACGTGTCGGGGAACTGGATAAGGTCTGCTGAGGCCTTGCTGAGTGTGCACTAGGTGGCCACTCTCCGGCAGCTGGCTGGAGCAGTGCTGAAGCCGATCTTGTGCTCTGATAGGTGTGGTCACTGCCCAACCCCCTCACACAAGAGCACACCGACAGCAAAGCCGGGCCCAGCCCAAGATGCCCATCCATGCCTCAGTTTCCTCTTTGGTGGTGGCCCTTCCTGTGAATGCCGTTCCCCCTGCAGAGAAGAGGGGGCGGGGACAGCAGGGGCGCTGCAGAGGAGAGGGCTGGCCGGTTCTCCTCCCTTCTGGGGCTGCAGCCAGTGGGGCCACCAAGCCTCCCTTTTTGTGTGAATCAGGCTGAAAAGAACCATGGGGGAAGGAGGGACCGAGACCCAAGTCAAATTAGGACTGTGGATTTTCCTTAGTGAGTTGTTCTAGAATGTTCCTAGGACAGAGCAGAGAGATGGAGCAGAAAGAGGAAGAAGAGAAGGAGGAGGAATAGAAGAATAAATAGGAGGAGGAAAAGAGAGAGCCAGAGAAACAGAGAGAGAGAGACAGAGAGAGAGGAGGTCTGGAGGACAGAGAGGGAGAGACCAGGAGAGGGGAACAAAGAGACAGAGACCTGGAGAAAGGGACAGAGGCAGAGACAGAGACACAGAGAGATGGACTGGGAGTTTCGGTGGGGCTGGGGACAGGTGTTGAGATCCTGGATGTCATTTGTCAATGGAGGGTGCTGGCAGCACTAAACCCCGTGATGGGGCGGGCGGGAGGGCCGGGGATGGCAGGGGCAGGTGGGTGGCAGGCCCGAGGGTCCAGGCTCAGGGTAGACCCAGGCGGGAGCATCATGGAGGTGGTGTCCACCAGCAGGGCTAATGGGGAGGCTGCCAAGAGAGGTTCCAGTCAGGAGACAGGAGGAGCCACTGGGGGACCGAGAGGCCACGGTCAGGGAGGGGAAAGGAAAACAAGAGGCTGAATCCAAAAGCCGAGCAACCGAGGGTGGACGTCTCCGCTGGCCCGCCCCTCCTCCCTGGATGGGTATTCTCAGATGCGCCTGCTTCCCCAACACAAGCCCCCCTGCTAAGAGTAAGGACAACAACTGACACTCATGTGTGGGACTCTACAGCTGGCAAATTTCCTCCCAATGTGGTTCTCACGGATGCACACTGTTCCAAAGCCCAGAGAGTCTGCGCCACTTGCCCAAGGTCACACAGGAGGGCAAGCTGGGGTACGAGCCCAAGACAAGTCCCGCCACCCTCCTCATGCTGAAGCTCACCTGGAGAATGTCCGGAAGAATGCGCTGTGGACAGAAGACACCCCTCCCCCTCCTCGCAGGTTCCTGCCGCACCCTGGGAACAGTGCCCTGGGGATACCGGGCCCTTGGGTTGCTGCAGGATCAATCTCTTTGCCTTCAGCTTCCACCAATGCCGGGTTTGCAGGGAGAGGCAGCCGGGACTGGGCATGTGGCCATGTGCAGGGCTGCGGAGTCCACTCGCTGGTGCCTGGTGTGTGGCCTGTGAGTCCCTCTGCCAGGTGTGATGGCCGGGCCGCCACAGGGCAGCTGGTCTTGGGGCGCCTGTGAGCCAGAGCAGAGCCGGCAGGAACAAGGCTGCGGGCGCCTAATGAGAGCCAGGTGGGGCCACACCTCGCCTGTCGGCGGCACCTCCTGGCTTTGATCAGTGATAAGGGACTAAGTGTTCCCAGGACCCCTGCCCTCCCCCACAGCCGGCTCCTGGCCTGGCCACCGCTTCCCCTTCAAAGCCACCTCTCATCACCCAGCCACAGGGCAGACAGAGGCAGAGGTGGAGGGGCCCCGGCTGGAGGGGCCAGGGGCGGGGCAGAGGTCCTGCTTCCCTGGGATCCATTTCTCCAACACTACTGCAAAGCCCCACGTGCTGTATAAACACACAGGCACACCCCAACACCACCCACTCCCAGCCCAGACCTAGAGGAAGCTTCCCTCCTCCCGGCCCTCGGCTCAGCCACCCACTTGTCCTCACGGGGCTGCCCCACCAGCCAGCAGGCCTCCTCCACGGTGAAGCCTGGAAACCCCTGCTCCACGGCCTCCCTAAGAGCCAGGCATCCCTGTCCCTGTCGGGGAAGGATCCCCCGCACCCCCTCCCTCCTCTCTATTTTGTTTTGGTGATTTTTTTAATTATTAAAAAAATGGAGCTTTAAAGTCTACTTTGCCCCAAAACTGGAGCAAAGCCGTGTGGAGGGACAGTGACCCTGACCCCGGTGTGGGACCGTGAGAGTGCAGGAGGGAGGCCGTTGGCCAAGGCTGCTGAAGCCCCCACGGCTTCTGATCCTTCCCCGCCCTTCAAAGTCTCACGGATGACCCTGGACCCATGGACTCCAGGCAGGTGTGGGGTGTCTGCACTGTCACTTGGGGTCACACTCACAGCCCTGTGATGCCTGGGGTGTCTGTCCTTGTCTGCTCATGGACGGGGCTCCCTGCTCTGAGGACACGACATGGGGGTGGAATCTGCCTGTATTTGGGGGGCGGGTGGGTGCAGGCACAGCTGCTGTGGGGCTCCTCATGAGTATGGCAACCTCATTAGTAAAGCAATCAACACTTGGTCACCAGCAGGGCTTCAGAGCCAGCAACCTGGGGGTGGGCAGCCCCCACCCTGTGTCTCCCAGCTGTGGATCTCCTGCTGGTTGACCTCCCCAGGTGGGAAGGAGAATTGAGAGGGTTAATGCAGATGAAGCCCACGGAGCAGAGCTGGGGCCCCACCACTCAGCTGCTCCTGCTGTTATCACCATTACCACCCTCACGGCAGCTGCCCAGGAGAAGTGCCAGGCTCAGGCTGGCTGGGGCAGGCAGGTGTGTGTTGAATGACTAAGCAAATGCTCTGACATCGGCCCCGGGAGGCCCAGAGGAATTAACAGCCTCCCCCAGTCTTCAGCTGTTTGCAGCCATAGGCTCCCTGTGCATATGACCGCCACTTGCAGGAGGCTCAGGGTGAAGCTGTCCCCTCCCACCGCCCACTCTGCACCCTCCCAGTGGTCCCCCCACCAACAGAGTAACGGTGCCCAGAGCAAAGGCCACAGCTCCGCTGCCCAGTGGCTCGGGAGTGTTGCTCTGAAGTTCTTCCTGGGGCCCAGCCTAGAGCTCACTCCTGCAGCAATGCACTGTATATATGTGCACGCTGCCGGTCACAATCAGGATCCTAACGTTTAGAGTAATTCCTGATAAATGATAGGTGGCCTGATTAAGATCCAGTTACTATTTGTTGAATGAGTGAAGGAATGAATGAATGAATGAATGATTGCAGGTTATTCGTACACTGATGATCTTATTTAATGTTTACCAAAAGAAAGATGCCTGTGCTGGCAGTTATGTGATGAACAGCCCCATTTGTTAGTTTCCCAGGCTGCCATAACACGGTACCACAAACTGGGTGGCTGAAAACAATAGGAATTATGTCTCCAGTTCTAGAGTCCAGAAGTCTGAAGTCACGGTGTGCAGGGCTGGCTCCTCGGGGGGCTGCGGGGTGGGGGTGTCATTCCCTGACTCTTCCTGGCTTCTGAGGGCTCTGGCATTCCTTGGTATTTCTTGGGCAGGTGGACGCATCACTCTGATCGCTGCCTTCGCCTTCACACGGCCGGCTTCCCTCCGTGTCTGTCTCTTCTCCGCTGCTTATAAGGACCCCAGTCATCGCATTTAGGGCCCACCCTACTCCAGTGTGACCTCATCTTAACATAGGTAATTGCACCTGCAAGGACCCTATTTCCAAATAAGGTGACTGTCACAGGTATTGGGGGATAGGACTTAGATGTGTCCTTTTAGGGGAGCACTGCTCACCCCAGTGCACCCTGTTTTCTAGGCTCATACTCACAGACAAAGCTGCAGAGTCAGAGGGCTCAGGGCCCTCCACCAGCCCAGGCTTTCGGGAGACAGGAACTGAGAGGTGGCCTGGCCGAGCTGCTTCCTGGAGGTTCTGAGGCCCTGACTGTGACTCTTCCTGCCACCCTGGGCTGCCGGGCAGACACTGGATGTGAATTTACACATGAGTATTGCAGCAGGGGCCGCCACCAACCCTGTCCCCCACCAACGGGTGCAGTCAGTCAACTGCTGGCTCGGCCCCACTGGCCTCCATTCTGGAGAATGGTCACTGCTCCCAAAGCAAAGCTTGTGTCCAGTTGCCCACACCGCAGTCAGATAGAATTGTTCTCTGACCAATGGGTGGGGGCTGCAGGAGCACAGAAGGTGTGGCCTCCTGGGTTAACCCCTAACTTGGAGCAGAAGAGGGGCTTTAACAAGGACCTGGTGGGAATGGTAAGCCCAGAAGGCTTCCTGGAGGAGGTGATGGGCGCACAGAGAAGAGGGAGCTGGGGTTGAGGCTGGAGGGAAGGTTCTAGCGAAGGCCAGCAAGGAAGAGGGTGGGAAGGTCCGTCCCATTCTGGACAAGGCTGGGCCACTGGAGACAGGCCTGGGAGAGAGGGTCTACCCAGCATGGAGGCCTCTATGAAGGACAGAGGGTGCACTGGTTTGCTTTGCTGCTGATGGAGCCCAGTAGCCCCTGCCAGTGCTGGATTGAGACAATGGAGTTTGAGGGAGAAGGAGTTGCGGGGAGGCCCTCAGAGGCGTGGGCTGGTTACTCGGTAGCCATCTCCTCAGCGCTTCCCTCCTGCCGGGGCTGAGTGGCCACCAGGGTGGGTGGAGTAGGGATTTGGGCCACTTCCCCAGGCTTCGGCTTCCTGTGTGCAGTAGGTGCCTTTGGCTGGTGCATCCTGAGTACTCAGAGTTTGCTGTAGCCGAGAATTTCCCAGGGAGACAGTGGAATCTGGGGTCAGTGAGCTGGAGAGGGGCCTACGCCTTCACCTCATGCTCCCTGCAAGAAAGTTCAGGATCCCTGTCCTCCCCCAGGGCAGAGGTGGGTGGAAATGGGTGGACCACAGCTTCTAAATCCATCTCTACCCCGAGCCTGGGGTGGCCTTGGGCAGGAGGGCAGGAGATCTTGTGTCTCTGGGTCTCTGTTTCCTCATCTGTGAAGAGGGCGATGCTGGCGGCTGCCCCAGGTGCTGTGAGACAGAAGGAGCAGATGCAGGAAAAGCCCCCCAGTGGCACAGCAGGCCGGAGACACCCCGGGACGTGCACGCTCCGCTTGGCCTGGCCTGGCCTGGTGGTCTTCATATTTGCTAACTGTATGGAAAGACGGAGTTTTCTTTCTTTAGAATAATACAAATGAATTCACTCATGCTACAGAAACCGATCGAGCTCCACTGGGCAGGGCGCTTGGGATGTGTCAGTGAGTGAGGCAGCTGCATCTGCCTACCCATCGTGTTTGCACTGGGAGGTGGCGTGGGGGAGGGAGATGGGTGATAAACTACAAAGACAGCAGGCGACTGTCTGCTAGACAGACAGATGGACACTGGGGGACAGCAACAAACAGAGCCGGAGAAGGGGATGGAAAGGGCTGGGGCAGGAAGGGAGGCTGGGTGCAGCTTCAGACAGTGGCCCAGAGCTCATGGAAGGGGGCGTCATGGAGCGGGGGCCTTGTGGAGTGGGGGGCCTTGCAGGGGGACCTCATGGAGAGGGGAGCCTCAGGTGGGGGGCGTCATGGAAAGGAGGGCTTCGTGGTGGGGGGTCTGGAAGGGGACCTTGTAGGTGGCTTCATGGAGAGGGAGATCTCATGGAGAAGGGGGCCCTCATGGGAGGGCTCAAGTAGGGGGGCCTTGCATGGGGGCCTCGTGGAGGAGAGGCAGCATGAGGGGGTGAGGAGTGAGCCTTAGAGAACCTGCCGGAAGGGCATTCCAAGCAGAGCGAGCAGGTGGCACAGAGGCCTATGGGGTGCACCAGGGCTGGGCTGGGGCAGTGTGAGTGGGGGAGGGGCTGGGAGCTGGAGCCAGGGCTGCAGGCCCAGCTCATGGTACCTGGGTGACCACTGCCAAGGCCATGGGCTTTAACCCCGAGTGGGAGGAGGGGCCTGTGCAGCATTCAGAGCCGAGGAGGGGCATGACCCAATGACACCGATCCTTTAAGAGGACAAGGTGCAGCATGCTCACTCGCTGGGGCTGAGCAGGTCAAGCCGTATTTCAGATGTCCCCCAAAGACAGATCTAAGTTGTAACCCCGGTACCTGTGAAGGGGACCCTATTTGGAAATAGGGTGGAGGCGGCCTTGCTGGCGGCCTGGCTGGGGCATGAGGGGCATGGGGGACGATGTTCAGGTTCAGGGCCAGATGAAGCAAGGGAAGTCTGGATACACCCCCCAGCCAGACACAGGCCTTGGGGCAGGTCTCAGCAGGATGACGGCAGCTCAGGTGTGGCCGAGCTGTTGAGTTTGCTCTGCGGGTGAGACGTCTACTGGAGAGGTGGAGGGTGGTAGGTAGAGACGCAGGAGGCTTGCAGGGAATGAGGCCTGGCCTGGAGATACAGCGGTATAAATGTTGCACAAGTCAACACACGTGGTGATGTAGGTGATGTGTCGAGGTCCTGCCCATTTCTAAAAGGAAGGTGTTGAGCAAGAACCAGCTCTCAAGTTGAGTCTGTGACTGCAGCAGCATGAGAAGGAGCAGGGGTGGGGGCCTTCGCAGGTTCCGGAGGTGACAGGGTCAGGGGATGCTGCCACCAAGCTCTGTGATCAGAGAGAGGCCGGGTAAGCCCCATCTGGCACCTTCACACATGGTCATCTCCTCACCTGGCGCCCCTTCCCTGGGGTCGGCCTCTAACCTCAGACCAAGAAGAGCTGTGCTTCTTCCCAAAAGGCCTTTTCAAAAACCACAGAGTTTTTGCATGGTGGATGTAGGAACTGATGCATTTTTCACCCTCGCCCTGGTTGCTAGAAGGCTCGGGACAAACCCAGGGTCCCTTCATGTGAGTGGGAAGTTTTCGGGGACTATTTGGTAAACTGGGTCATATCCGAGCCAGGACAGGTCCCCTGACCTTATGTGATCTTTGCTCAGACTTCCTTGTTCATTAAAATCACATATTCACTGTTTGGGTTCTACCACCCACCTATACTAGTAAGTTCATTTATGTCTCCAAGTATTGGACTTAATTGCTATCTAACAGTGGAGTGTTCGCCTGGCCAGCCCTTGTAAGTCATCTGCCTTAGACTTGTGCCCACAGTGGGTGGCCAGTTGCTGGAGAGAACTCCCAGGCTGCACCAGGCATGTTCACCTGGAGCCCGGGGAGAAGGTTCCTGTGGGACCCTCAAAGCGCCCTCAGTGTGTGGGGAGGGAGGGAACCTGGCGGCATCTCTTGACCATCTACCACGAACATCACATACACATTCTCCCTTAAACTTCAGCCAAGCCTGAGAAGTGGGTCTTTTTTTTTTTTTTCTGAAACGGAGTCTCACTCTGTCACCCAGGCTGGAGTGCAGTGGTGCAATCTCGGCTCACTGCAACCTCCGCCTCCTGGGTTCAAGCCATTCTCCCGCCTTAGCCTCCTGAGTAGCTGGGATTACAGGCACGTGCCACCATGCCTGGCTAATTCTTGTATTTTTAGTAAAGATGGGGTCTCACCATGTTGGCCAAGCTGGTCACAAACTCCTGACCTCAAATGGTCCACCCTTCTTGGCCTCCCAAAGTGCTAGGATTATAGGTGTGAGCCACCATGCCCAGCCAGAAGTGGACCTTTTGTCCCCATTTTACAGATGAGGACACTGGGGCTTGGGCACAACAAGAAACCTGCCCAGGGTCATGCCTAGTGCTGACCTGTGAGCCCAAGTCCGCCCAGGTCGAGGTCCACACTCTTGGCTGTGAGCATATGAATAGCTCACCTGGGAGACAGGTGTGTGTGTCCGAGCAGCACTCCACCAGGAGGCAGCATGGCTGGGCAAGACCCCTGAAGCCCTCCAGGGAGGAAGGCGTGGCCCCAGAGAAATGGCCCCTAAAGTGGTCCACGTTGGAATCCAGGAATCTGTGACTGTGTTAGGCTTTGTGGCCCCAGGACATCCAGACTTCAAGTCAGTTGACTTGAGATGGAGAGATGATCCTGGATCATGACACAGGTCCTGCACTGGGCGGGAGGGAGGCAGAAGCAGGGCCAGAGTGACTCAGTGCAGGAAGACCTCCACCCACTGTGGTTGGCTTTACAGTGGGAGCTCAGGGCCACGAGCCAATGAATGTGGGCACCTCTAGGAGGTGGAAAAGGCAAGGACTGGCTTCTCCCCTGGAGCCTTCAGAAGGAACACAGCCTCACTGACACCTTGACATTATCCCAGTGAGACCCGTGCTGGACTACGAGCTCCAGGACCATGAGATAATTACTGAGCACTGACCTGCCAAGTCCATGGTGTTTATTATGGCAGCCACAGGAGACGAACACCACAAAGGGTTAAACACTGTTTCCCAGAAGGCTGGGGGAGGCTGAGCTGCCACAAAGGATATGGAGTGTCATGGATGGAGGATGAAACGGGCCCTCTCTCCCTCCTCTTGGTCAGCCTTGGCCGGAATGGGAGACCAAGGAGTTAGGCCAGGCAAGTGGAGGAAAACCTCAGAATCCAGGCAAAAGCTGAAGAAACTGAGGCCATTGTGTGCAGGGGGCAGGGGCACAGATAGACCTTGTCACCTTCTCCACGTCTCAGAAGGGTTGTCACTGGCAGCGGAGCCCAAGAAAGGCTCGGCCTCTGTACTGGAGGAGGGGTCTCAGGGGTGGTGCACAATGCAGGGCGAACATTCATGGTAGTGAGCTCCCCAGCACTGGAGACGTACAAGCCAGGGTCAGTGTGCCACCATCAAGCCAGAAGGACAGCTGGCCCGGAGACGCTGATAGAGTTCTCACGAGATCTGTTTGGTTGAAAGCGTGTAGCACCTCCCACTTTGCTCTCTTCCTATCGCTCCAGCCACATAAGATGTGCCAGCTTCCCCTTCATCTTCTGCCATGACTGTAAGTTTCCTGAGGCCTCCCCAGTCATGCTTCCTGTACAGACTGCAGAACCATGAGCCACTTAAACCTCTTTTCCTTATAAATCACCCAGTCTCAGATAGTTTTTTGTAGCAGTATGAGAACAGACTAATACACCAGGATTTCCCTTTCACTCCCTGACATCCACCCCCATCTTGAGGCCTGAAAATGCCCAAGGGGAGGCCACAGGGATCTGGGGTTGCCTGACTCTGGGGCAGCCTGTCCACAGGAGAAGGGCTCAGCCTCAGCGGGCAGCTGACATCTGGGCATTGCAGCCACTGGCCCCACAAGGACAGGGCATGGTCAGACCCTCCAGCTGCGAAGAGGAAGGGGATACTCTGTACTCTGCCTCTAGGACCCCATGGGTGCCCAGCACCTCAGTTTACCCCAGAGATCTCCCTTGAGTAGTTTTGGGCCTATAGAGCAGGGATCTCCCACCCCTGGGCCTGGACTGGTATCAGTCCATGGCCTGCTGGGAACCAGGTCTCACAGCAGGAGGTGAGTGGCAGGCAAGTGAGCATTCCCGCCTGAGCTCCACCTCCTGTCAGATCAGCAGCAGCATTAGAGTCTCATAGGAGATGAATCCCATTGCGAACTGTGCACACGAGGGATCTAGGTTTCATGCTCCTTATGATAATCTAATGCCTGATGATCTGAGGTGGAACAGTTTCATCCCAAAATCATCCCTCCACCCAACCTGGTCTGTGGAAAAATTGCTTTCCACAAAATTAATCTCTGGTGCCAAAAAGGTTGGGGACTGCTGCTATATGAGATGGATATGGGTTTACTGGGGACTGAAGTTTACATAATGGGGTGAGGGCTTTTAAGAAAAAGAATACAAGGCCGGGTGCAGTGGCTCACCCCTGTAATCCCAACACTTTGGGAGGCCAAGGCAGGTGGATCAGCTGAGGTCAGGAGTTCAAGACCACCTGGCTAACATGGTGAAACCCCGTTTCTACTAAAAATACAAAAAATTAGCCAGGTGTGGTGGCACGAGCCTGTGATCCCAGCTACTCAGGAGGCTGAGGCAGGAGAATCACTTGAACCTGGGAGGCGGAGGTTGCAGTGAGCCAAGATTGCGCCATTGCACTCCAGCTTGGGCAACAAGAGCGAAACTCCATCTTGGGAAAAAAAAATACAAAATTACAAAATTATAAATGCAAATTTAGTTATAAAAGTGAACATTTACTTAGAATGAGGAAAGAAATAACACATTTCAAGCTTAAAATAGCTTACAAATACAACAAATTTCAAAGCTCCAGAAAAATTACATCAATTTTACTAAGGAACATTCTTGTGACTATTTACTTTATACCCACAGGTTTTGGCCACATGCTTGCTCCATCTCTCCATAAGATCCTAATTTGACAGTATTTTCCATTGAGACAATCTCTCGTGGTTGGTCAAAGCTTGTTTTCAAGTGTTGACATTTGAAAGAAGTTTCCCTTTTACTATTCGTTATTTGTCATATTATATAAATTATGAAACAGTTGTCAAATTTGGGGAAACCTCATCAAATTGCTTCTCTACTTGAGATGTGCAATATCAAGGCACTTCCAGGGCTCTTGGATATAACTCATGTTGGACGCTCTTTGAATTGATGACATACCTCAACCAGTTGGTCATCAATGTCCTTGCTGTGTTGAATATTGTGAGCTTTCTACTCTCTTCAGTGATGTCAAATGTTTTGTGTTAAATCAGCAGGAAATTTAGATATTTTCATAGAGTATTCATGTGACCCATTTATTAATGGATTATCTGATGATCCAAGAGTTTATTTATTACTTTGATTTAACATTTATCTCTTTTCCTTATTGCTCGCCTGGGTATGATCTGCTACGTGACTGCTGCATCTGCCCAGCCTGTTGTGAAGGCGGCCAACAGGGAGCACACTGCATCTCATTTCTGTACATCCTTCCTTGGCCCCTTCCCTTTTTCCTCCATCCTCATCACCCTGGGTTTGCACCTCCCAAATAACGTGTTAGTTCCTTGATTTGTGCTTCTTTCTGCGGGCCTGGGGCTGGGTCCAATGGGATGCCTTTCCCCTGTTCTTGGTTTTCAAGAAGGAGAATGTATCTGTGATGTATTCCTGCTCTTCACTGCTCCAGGAAGGTGGAGTGACTCCCATGATAGGCAGATTTGGGAAAGATAACTGAGACGTCTTGGCCTAGCTGAGACCTTCCCCTTGAGAGAGGCTGACAGCAGAGGCCAGATGGAGAGGCCTGGCCTGGCCAGGCCAGGGCTGCCTGGAGCTGGGTAGGCACATCTTCCTTCTCATTCTCAGCCACATTCACTACCCTGGCCTCCACCACTCCGATGGTGATGTTGAGAGATTCCATCTGTTGGCTCCTATTTTATTTCAAAAGCGTTGAGCCCTGGGCCAGCTCCAGAGACCCCATTCTCCCCAGGGCCTAGTATGGAGCCCAGGGTCTGGAGCAGAAGAGGAGTCCTGGGACGAGGACTGTTGTTGTTGTAACTTGATGACAGTCAGGGAGAAGCTGTTTTGCATAGCAACCCCCAATGTGCATTCTACCATCCCAGGGCCTAGAACCCCCTACCAGGAATCTTCAGCAGGTCCCAGGAAGCAAGAGACCTCAAAGAACTGGCACACTTTTCATCCCCTTTGGCCACACCAATCTGGAACTTTCAGAGTTGCTGTCAGAACCAGAGGCACCCCCCACCAGAAATGCTGAAGGATCTCTTAGGGCAATTCCACATTGGGCAGTCATGAAAGGGTCTGTCCTGGCAGAGGGCCAGGCCAGTAGTCACTGACAGAGGGGTGTGCATTGAGAAGCAGCCCCTTGGAATGTGCCTCGGGTGTTACCAGGGCCCCAAATGCACGGTGCTGGCCTCCACGGGGCCCCACTCATCTGACCTAGGACTTCACCTATATATGGCCATGTACTTTATTTGGGGGTGATCCCAGAAAGCACATGATGGGGCTAGGGAAGGGAGACAGAGAGGGGAGGAGAGCCAGGAAAAGTGCATTGATGAGGGAGTGGCCTCCACGGACAACTGGAGCTCAGCCCTCCTGGGCACTGGAGGTCCTCACAGAGACAGTGCAGAGCCCTCCACAGAACTGTGCCTACACAGGGCCTTCCTTCACCTAGTCTTCTCCAACAGTGAGTGAGGGCTGTTCTTGCAGGAACAAACTCCCTAGCTTTTCTCGCCTGCCCTGCAAGTGGGCCAGGCTGACTTCCATGACCAGAGTAAGCTCACAGGCTCGAGCCTCAGGGGTGCAGGGGAACTGTTCAGCAACGGAAACTGAAGCCCTAGGTGGGCCAAGGGGCTGCGAGACACACAGACAGCCGGCATCGTCGGGAGGACAAGAGCGCTGGGTTACCCATGCCAGATTTCCCACTTTTGGGGGTGTCCGGGGTGAGGGGGCTGCTCTTTCTGAAGCTGGTTTTCCCCTGAAAGGGGCACAGCCTGTCCCATTCACTCATTTAGAACCTGATGGTTGGTGTGGGGAAGGGGATGCGGATTTTTCTCCTGTTGCCCCAAAGACAGTTCCCAAGATAGAGCGACTTCTGAGCAGAGCTCTTCCTCTGCTGCAAAACGTTATGGCTGTGCGATTCATAATTGGAGCAGTCATCTCTGACCAATGCGATGGGGCTGCTTCCAAGAGCTTAACCAACCAATTCGTCCAGGGGGAAGGAAATGAAAGCTTTCCTTAATGTGTGGCTATCTGGGAGCCGCGGATGGGCACTGCCTGTGTTATTAACGACAATCAGACTGTTATTAATTTATATTCCGCCTCTTAAAGGAAAACCTATGTGTGCAGAGACCATGAGGGAACACCTTGCTGCTCATTTGCTTTCCAAGTCTATCTGAATTATTCAGGCCTGCTAATGAATTTGTCTTGTCCAGGGCTCTTCCATATTGTCTAGACAGATTTCAGAGAGTTAATAGCAGAGTAAATCCTGCAGTCTGGCCGGCCAGACAAAAATAGTTGCATATAATTATGTCGTTTCCTAAAGAGGTGATTTCCTGGCTGAGACCTGGGGGGTGTGGTCAGGATGCGTAGACATTTGCATGGACGCGTGGACATTTGCATATTTCTCACTGGAGCTGAGACACTGGGCAGGGAAATTCCGACTGAAGTCATCTGAGTGGAATTTTGTTTTTTTTGAGATGGAGTTTTGCTCTTGTCACCCAGGCTGGGGTGCAGTGGCGCTATCTCGGCTCACTGCAACCTCCCCCTCCCGGGTTCAAGTAATTCTCTTGCCTCCATCTCCTGCATAGCTGGAACTACAGGCGCCTGCCACCATACCTGGCAAATTTTTTACATTTTTTGATAGAGATGGGGTTTCGCCCTGTTGGCCAGGCTGGTCTCAAACTCCTGACCTCAAGTGATCTGCCCGCCTCAGCCTCCCAAAGTTCTGGGAGGCATCCCTGAGGAGCACGGAGGAGGATGAGAGCCATCAGCTGTCCAGAAACACAGGATGAGAGCTGTCAAGCATCCAGAAACAACTGCAGCAGCCCGGGTTGAGGGTGCTTCCAGCTTGGAAAGATGTCTGCTTGTCCTCAGTTTCCCCATCACATCAAACCAACAGGCATTCATCGTGCAGGCACTGGGCTGAATTCTGGGGACGCAGAGGCTGTAAGGTGCAGGTGCCATCACTGCATTGTCACAGGAGGTTCTGCCCAGGGCTGCCTCGGTGTTGGGTGGTAGCTGCATCTCTGAGGCATCCGGAAGCTTGGAGGGGAGGTCAGGGTGCAGGAGGCAGGAAGGGCTATTCTCGGCCTCAGGAGCAGCGGGACCTGGAATAAGCCTGGGAGACGTGTCCAAAAGGCCCAGAAATCTGGGTGTTTCAGGCTGAACCGCGTCCCTCCAAAATTCGCATGTGGAAGTCCTAATTCTCAGGACCTCAGGATGTGATCACATTTGGAGAAAGGGTTTTTAGGGAGGAGATTAAGTCAAAATGGGGTCACAAGGGTGGGGTCTGATCCAACCTGCCTGGAGTCCTCATAAGAAGAGATTAGGACACAGGCATGCACAGGGAAGATCAAGGGAGGACACGGGGAGACTGTGGCATCTGCAAGCCGGGAGAGAGGCCTTGGAGGAACCAGCTCTGCCTGCTGGCGGCTGGACATCGGGCTTCCAGCCTCTGGACTGTGACAGTGCATTCTGTGGCGTAGGCCTCCCCATCTGCAGGACTGTGCCATGGCAGCCCCAGGAGATGCGTGCCGTGGGAATAGGAAGCCCAGCCCTGTGGCCCCGCCAGCATATTCCGCCTCCTCCGTCTCAGCCAGAGCCCTTCGGGCCCATCCAGACTGCAGTTCAAACCCAAGCGTGTCTCCACCTGAACCTATGCCCGCCCTCAGCCCAGATGAGTTGGGGGCTCCAGGCTGGCGAGACAGCTGAGCGTCTGCCTCCCTCTGCACAGTGCGGTGATTTCGCCCTGATGGTTAAGTGGAGCGCTTAGCTCCTAATTGCTGTAATGGTGCTCGGGGAGGGCCCTCGTGGTGGGCGGATCAGGTGTGAGCCCAGAGTAGGCACAGTGGTTGGAGTCAGTGGCCAGCTACCCCCTGCCCCCTACCCCACCTGCAGCAGATGAAATACAGCCTTGCCACAGGCCTGCAGGCAAGGCGGAGAGAGTGGGCTGGGCTGCCAGGCCAATTGTGGCCACCTGGCACCTCTACCCAGCAGCCGGGAGGCAGAGGGTCTCATTCATTCATTCACTCATCCACCCATTCATTCAGGGAAGACACAGGCTGGGGGCTACTGTGCGCCCCACACTGTACAGGGCACTTGGCACAGATTGACTCAGTTTATTTTTCTGATGGGCCTTGGGGGCATTCACTTCATGTCACAGCTGATGCAGATCGGGCCAAGGGAAGCTAAGTCACTTGTCCAAGATCTCCTGGCAAGAGGAGCTGGGACTCAAGCACCAGCAGCCTGGGTGGCTCCAGAGACTGTGCTCCCAGCAGGCAGCACAGCCTCAGCCAGGCAGGCAAGGCCCTGCAGACAGGCGGTGAGGGCCTGCAGCAGCCCGGCCTCTGTCCCGCAAGGCTGGAGCTCAGGGAGGTAGGAAGCGAGGAGGCGCCCAGAGGGAGGTAGGAAGCGAGGAGGTGCCCAGGAGCCATGCCCAGAACTCCCGCCTTCCAGCTCATGGCCCACCTCCTGCGTGTTCTTACCAGGGCCCGGGATCCACCGGCGTTCCCAGCCCCAGAGAGGAGCAGCTGTGGAGGGCTGGGCCCTGGGGCTGCACTGGGAGGCCTGGGCGCTGAGTCCCCAAGCAGATGGTCCAGCCTTGGGGCCTTTGGCCACGCTGCCTCCCCTGATGCCCTCCCTGACCACCGGCTGCAGCACCGCTCTGAAACCATGCACACAACGTACTGCTATGTATTTCTTTGCTTACTCATTGCTGTCTTTCTCCTTCCCAAAGCACGAAAGTTCTGCCAGAGCACAGCTGCTGCCTGTCTTGTTCTCTGGCATCATCCAGGCCAGGACAGCACCCAGACCAGGATGATGTCCAGCACAGCTACCACGGTGCAGACTCCCGTCCCATGTGAGTGGTGGGGACGCTCCTAGCTGGAGCACGTCCCACCCTATCCTGACGGACATGGGGTTGCTTCCTAAGGTGGGGAGCTAAAGGTGGTGTCATAGAGCAGAAACTGCGCACCGAGAGACACAGCCAGGCTGTCATCCCCAACATCTTCCCAGGGAGCCGGGCCCTCACCCTGAAGTCTGCTGAACAAAGCTTTTAGCCTCCCAATAGGTGTTTGCTGATCTCAAGCTCCACAGAGCAGTGCTTTCCTCTCCTGGTGAATCATAATTACTTTCCTAGCACTGTGAGGGCCCTTTGTACAGAAGTAAGTGAATAACATACGTGCTTTGAAATGTCTTGGACATACTCGATGCCAGGCCTTCCATTGGCGTTTCCCTCTGTGCTTGCTGTTAATGAAGCCGGTGAAGTGGCCTTCCAGTGTGGCCCTGGCGGGGCACCCAGTCTCGGTGAATTAGACGCAGCAGCAGGCGGATACCGTGCCAGCTTCCTGAGCAGTCTCCAAATCGGCATTCGCCAGTTTTACCTCCTGCTGCTGGATTTAGGAGTTTAATTGAGGTTTTCTTTTTTCCAGGTTTTCAGTTACCCCTCCTCATTGTCTCGAGCCTCTAAACAAAATTGAGAGCTAAACAAATTACAAAGTTTTATAAAAGCCCTTTTTGAACATTCCTAAGCATGAAAGGATGGAGGGAGAAAAGGAAGAAGCACAGGGAGAGATGTCTGCAGAAGGAAGAGGAGCCTGGGGCTTGCAGCACCACCTGGACAGGCCTGTGTGGGGAAGCCCAGGAGGACCCTGAGAAGGAACCCAGGGGAGCAGGGGTGCAGAACCGCACGTGTCACCCCCTCTAAAGAGGCCCCAAGAGTGCACCTGAGCTGAAATTAATGGGGCATGGGCAACACGGGTGGGACAGGGGCCGGCAGAGCCCGAGTGAGCAACTGGATGGGTCCTATGAGTGCAGGCTGGGCAGGGGGAGGGTGGAGTGGGCTGGGGCCTTGGGGACTTGCAGCTGTGGGCTAGGTTCTCCGGTCAAAGGAGCAGAGGGTGGTCCCACAGTGAGGGCTGAGCCTTAGGAAGAGCTGGCAGCAAGTGCAGATAGAGCTTCAGAAACAGGGCCACTGGCAGTGTCCTCTGGCCTCACCTCTCCCCAGCTCTACCACACCTTCCTTCCCAGCTGGGTACAGTGGTCCCCCTGCCCCCGCCCAGTCCCTGATGGCGCCGGAGTCCTTTGCAGGCCACAACTCTCGCTTTTGTCCACCCTCCTCCCAGGGGAAGGGAGCGAGCATGAGTCAGGCCTTCCGTGTGCTGTACCACCCAGTAGGCGCAGCCGGCTTCCACAGCTCGCAGAGCGCATGTCTCTTGCTGGAGCCACTGGATCCAAATCCAGGCCCTTGCCTCCGTGCCCGAGCTCTGACTCCCGTCTCACAGGCACTCGGTAAAGGCTGAATGAATCAACAGATGCACCAGCAGTGTGTGTTCATGAGAGTCGTTGTGAAAAGCCAGTCTTCTTTAATTAATGACTCGCCTATAATTGCCATTCTAGTGCGCTACGTGCCGCCGTCTGTGATGGGCTTTCCAGACCAATTTTGGCGTCAGCGGCCTAATGTGGGCATGCTGTGCCTGCGCACCCAGGGGCCCAAGTGCCCCATCCATCAGCCTGCCTCCTGCAGCCCCAGCCGCCCGGATCAATACCCTCTCCCACACCCAGGCTGGGGCTGCACCCTCAGTCTGCCCCTCATGGTGGGCCACCTCCCTGGCGCACGACACTCCTGGCTTGTTCCCAAGGTGTCAGCATTTCCTTTGTGCTAGACTAGGGGTCTCAGAAAGGGCCCGCCCCTCGAGCTGGTCAGGGGCCAGGCACGTGGCCCCTCTGCAATGTGGCCCCTCTGCAACCTGATCCCCGTGGACGTCCTGGGCCTGCCTTCCCTCAGCCCCTTCCCCTTTCCACTATTCACTCCACCTCCTGCTTGCTGCGCTGCCCCCAGCCCCCATGGCTCAACGCTCTGCTCTGTCCCTGGGGAATTCGTGCTTCCAGACTCAGCCCCTTTCATTGGAGGTGTCTCCCAGGGAGGCATCCCCCTGTCTCCAAGGTAAGCCCTGCCCTGCCAGCCCCGGAAGCACTCACCACTCCCCCAGATGCCTCTGCGGCTTCAGCCTGTCTGGGTCCCCAGTGCCTGGAACCAGGACTCAATGTTGAGGAATGATGACATCAGCCAGTGTGGGTGGGGGTTGGGGTGGCCCACGGTCAGATCCCACGGATTCATCCTCCAGCAGCACACAGCTTGGCAGGTGAAGGGAGGCCCAGCAGGCAGCTAACTGTGTTCTTGTCCCCAAAAGATAACTGTGTTTCCCCAGAAGAGATCTTCAACCCCCGAGACCCAAGAATGTGATCTTATTTGGAATGATAGCCTCTGCAAATGTCATCAGATTAAGATGAGGTCACACTGGATGGTGTCCTTAGAGGAAGAGAAGGAGATACACAGGAGACAAGTCCGAGTGAGGGCAGAGGCAAAGGCTGGAGTGGTGCCGCTGCCAGCCAAGGAGTGCCAAGGGTGGACGACTGCGTCCAGGTGGGTGACATAAAGGAGGAGCCCCCGCTGGAGCCTGCAGAGGGAGCACGGCACTGCTGACACGGTGATTTTGGACTTCAGACCTTCAGACGGTGAGAGAATCAATGTCTGTGCTTTAAGCCATGCAGTTGGTGGTCCTTTGCCATGGCAGCCCAAGCAAGCTAATCCCCCTACCAGTGCCCTGCCCTAGCCAGGCAGCCCTGCACCCCACACCAGGCCCCCTCCATCACGACCAGCATCACTATAACCCCCCCAGTGCCCCAACCTGACCAGGCAGTCCGGACCTCACATCAATCTCACTGCCTCACCACCAGCGTCACCATCCCCCTCCCAGTGACCCACCACAGCCAGGCAGCCCTGCACCCCACACCAGGCCCCCTCCATCATGACCAGCATCACTATACCCCCTCCCAGTGCCCTACCCCGACCAGGCAGCCCCAGACCCCACACCAATCTCACTCCCTCACCACCAGCATCACCATACCCCCTCCCAGTGACCCACCCCAGCCAGGCAGCCCCAGACCCTACACCAGTCCCCCTCCATCACCACCACTGTCACCCTGCTCTGGGCTCTGGCTACTGGCTGTGACATCCATCTCTTAACCCAGCAGTCCCCAACCTTTTTGGCACCAGGGACCATTTTCTGGAAGATAATTTTTCTATGGATGGTGGGGAGTTGGGGGGCACAGAGGATGGTTTTGGGATGATTCAAGCACATTCTATTTCTTGTGCACTTTATTATAATATAGAATGAAATAATTATACAACTCACCATAATATAGAATCAGTGGGAGGCCTGAGCTTGTTTTCCTGCTACTAGATAGATGGTCCCATCTGGGGTGATGGAAGGCAGAGACAGATCATCAGGCATTAGATTCTCATATGCTCAGCATAGATCCTTCACATGTGAAGGTCATAATAGGGTTCACATTCCTGAGAATCTAATGCTGCCACTGATCTGACAGGAGGTGGAGCTCAGGCGGTAATGCAAGCAATGGGGAGTGGCTGTAAATACAGAGGAAGCTTTGCTCACTTGCCTGCCACTCACCTCCTGCTGTGTGGCCCAGTCCTGGCCCATGGCCCCGGGGTTGGGGACCCCTGTCTTAACCACTGTCCTTGACTTCACACCTCTGCCATCCTTAAAACCAAAAGTATCTTCCATCCTCCAACTCCCTGGGTCATGAATGCACTGGGTCCCTCTCTGGCTCCATCTCCCCTCACATCTCTTCCTGTTCCTGCCATCTGGCTATGCTTCTTCTGGTATCCTCATCATGCTGGCCCCTCTGCCTGAAATGTCCTTCCCATTTTCAACTGCAAACTCCTACTCATCCTTCAAAACCCAACCCAGACCACCTCCTCTGAGTAGAGCTAACGAAGCAGGAGGACTGTCTTATCAGCTCTGTGAATGGGGTGTCATCTCATCATATAGTTTAATGTCCTAATGTCAAACCCAGCAAATTAGGACCAGTCCCTTTACCCCACTGAGTCTCACAGTCCTCTTAACAACTGTTTAATGAACAACTGGTTTGAACCACCTGCTGGAAGGTTTTGGATCTCTCTATACTAAACATCTTGATTTACTTCTCAGAGTCCTTAATCCCAGTAATGATTTTTTAAAAAATTTTAGCCCAGCTTTTGAGAGAAAGAAAAGACATGAAAGAGTACATGTTAACATCAGGGGCATAGTTAATGAGCAGAAACCTACTAGGAAGGATCCTAGAGTGGCCAGTCTGTCCAATCCAATTTCTCTAGTCTAAGATAGAAATCGCTGGTTTTGTTGCTGTGTAACTGATATAGTTTGGCTGTGTCCCCACCCAAATCTTATCTTGAATTGTAGCTCCCACAAATCCCATGTGTTGTAGGAGGGACCAAGTTGGAGGTAATTGAATTATGGAGGTGAGTCTTTCCCATGCTGGTCTCATCATAGTGAATAAGTCTCATGAGACCTGATGGTTTTATAAATGGGAGTTCTCCTACACAAGTTCTCTCTTGTCAGCAGCCAGGTAAGACGTGCCTTTCACCTTCTGTCATGATTGTGAGGCCTCCCCAGCCACATGGAACTGTGAGTCCATTAAACCTTTTTTACTTTATAAATTACCCAGTCTCGAGTATGTCTTTATCAGCAGCGTAAACATGGATTAATTCAGTAACTTTTTAGTTATTTAGTTAAGTTCCATTATTCTTCTTATAATGGCTCTGTGAGGTAGGGGCTATTCTCCTGACATTTTACAGATAAGGAAACTGGGGCTTCCAGAAGTAGTCTGCCCTGGCCTCAGGGCTGGGCAGCCTTGGCAGGGGTGCACAGTCAGGTAAGAAAGACACAGGTAAGAAAGGTAAATGAAGTGGAGGGGGTTAAGCGAAGTGTGGAGGCTGCAGGGGACCACATGGGGACACCTAGTCCAGACTTGGGAGTCAGGGGGCTTCTCTGGAGAGCAGCATTGAAGCCGTGACCTACAGGAGGAACGAGCAGGAGCCAGAGAGATGAGGGTGCAGAGCTCCCAGGTGTCAGGAGTGATGTGTGTGGTCCCAGCACAGGTCACGCCACTGTAAGACCTATGCGGCCAAGTCCAGGAGGGAGTGAGGTGGTGCCCCCTCCCTCGAGTGGAGTCTCAAGTAGAGATGAGAGAGGAAGGCACCATGAATGTCCTCGCACCCAGGTGCCTGGCACATGGTTGGTGCTCTGTAAGTTATCTTTCAGTCAAATTGAACTCGCCGGCGAGTGACCTAGCAATTGAAAAGTGAGCCTTAGATCGGATCAGAATCTTTGACCTCACTTCCGGGAACTGGGAATCACGCAGCAAGGCCAGACCACGCGTGAAGGGTGTGGGGGAGGCACTCCCAGGGCACTGACCCCCTGTCATGCTCACTGCACTCCACCAGGCGGCGGGCACTGGGGCCCTGGACCAGCCTCCAGCTGAACCCCATGCCCAGCCTTCCGGGGACACAGCCTGCACCTGCTCACCAGCAACATGGCTCCCCAGGTTCCAGGCCTACCTTGGCACTAAAGTTCCCCACCTCCACGGTGAGGTTGTCTCTCCTTCTGGTCCTCAGTTTCCCTGGCTGTCAAATGAAGAGGATTCCCTAAGATGGTCCCCCAGTGCCATCCAGCTCCCACAGGCCCTGATCTTCTGTAGGCCCCTTTTGCTCTTTCAGGACTTCTCTATGTGTCCTTTATTGAGAGCTTTGCTACTAGGCCGTTTGTATTTTCTGAAGCTGTTCTCTCCCCTGAGCAAATGTGCTTCCCTCCTGTGCCATCTCTCCCCTGCCTCCAACTCACGGTATTGATATTCAAACAAAAATAGCTCCTATCCCTCTGCCCACATCACCAGATGCACAGAAATGCAGAGTTACTTCCCGAGGCAATTAATCCCATTAACAAGCAATAGTTCACAGCCTTCAACCGGGAGGCCGCCTTCATTACAGACTGTTAACCAAGATCTTCCTTAATCCCATGCAAGGCGTGCAGGCTGCTGCTGGGACACCCAGACACCAGCGGCCTTGGGATTAACTGCTGCCCCCATCCCACCACAGCACCCCACGTCCGCACACAGCCCTTCCAGCATCCCTGGGCACCGACGCCAGGGCTGGGCACATGGCAGCTGTACGGGGGTCCCCTCAACATTCAGCGGATGTCAACAGCCCACTCCTGATTGGGAGTGATTGTTTTCAGCATGGAGTCAGCCCGGACTGGATTTATCAAACTGTTAACTGTGCTTATCGCAAATCACTTTAATGATGTGTTAACATTTAATTAGATCGCTACCGAATGCTTCAGATTACACGTACGGCCGGTGAACCTGACCATCAGAGCAAAGAGAGTCACAGAAAATGGGATCCTTGCCCCCAGCCCCAGCTGGACAGGCGGTCCTGGGCTTGGCAAGCCAGCCCATTTTGGGGGGAAGTTTCTTGGCATCTGCTTTACGTCTCTGGTGAGGCCATAAGGCGTGCAGTGGGCATTGTCGTGGAAACCGTGCACATCCTGGAAAAAAGAAGTCTGCTCATGTTCACGCCGCGTGGCTGTGTTACGTGTCCGCTGTCTGCAAGGCACAGAGTTGATGCTTTGAGGGACCCTGAAATGGAGAAAACATGGACCCTACCCTTGAAAAGATAGGCTCACAGAGCAGAAAGAAAATTCCTGTTCCTGCACCCAGGCCCATGCTGAGCAGGGGGCGGCCCCCGATCCTACTGCTCAGCTAGGAAGGCGTTTTATCTGCATTTTACAAACAGGGAGATCAAGGCTCACAGAAGTGGTTGTTTACTCCTTGTGGAGGCTCCACGAGGGCAGGAGGGGAAAGGTCTTGGGTGAACAAATGCTCGCTCGGCCAGGCTGGGGCCAGCGCTGCAGGCCCGGGAAGCAGAACCAAGGGGCTTCAAGCTGTGCTGTAGGCAACCACGGAGGGGCTTTGAGGCAGGGGTCGGGGTGACGCAGTCCAACCCACGTTTTCAAGATCCTAAGAAACAAAATGTTCATTATCCTCACGATTTGGAAATAGGAAATCCAGGTCTGTGCTATGACCCCACGGTGTGTCTGATGCCCTGTGTAGCAGGTTGGGTGTTGGCCCGTGAGTGTCAAATGCCTCCTCTTCTTTGGGTCATTGGTTCATTGATAATTATTGAGTTATTGAATCATTGATTCACTTGCTGGGAATCTGCTGGGCATGGACGGTGCCCACGAGAAGCGCTCTCTCCATCTCAAACACATATGCACACCATGCACATATGCACATGTGGGCCCACACACGCATGTGTGCACATACATGTACAAATCCACCCAATGCACATACACATGCATACATTCACATACACCCTCACACTTGTGCACACTCATGCACACAATACACGTGTGTGCACATTCACATGCACACCCACACATTCCACACGTGTGCACACATGCACGTACATTCATACACATGCACGTACATTCATACACATGCACACTCCACACACTTGCACACAGATCCATGCACACACACAGACGCATGCACACGTACGTTCATGTACATGCACACTCCATGCCAGTGCACACACATTCATAAACACAGGTGCGGGCACACATGCATGTGCACACACATTCATACACACATGCGCAGGCACACACATTCACACACACAGGTGCAGGCACACACATTCATACACACATGTGCAGGCACACACATTCACACACAGGTGCAGGCACACACATTCATACACACATGTGCACACACATTCATACAGGTGCAGGTACACACATACATGCACACATGTGCACACATATTCATACACACAGGGGTAGGCACACATATTCATGCACACGTGCACACACATACATGTGCAGGCACACACATTCAGACACACAAGTGTGCACACATTCATACACACAGGTGCAGGCACACACATTCATATACGCATGTGCACACATTCATACACACAGGTGCAGGCACATACATTCATACACACGTGCAGACACATTCATACAGGTGCAGGCACACACATTCATACACACATGTGCACATTCATACACATGTGCACACACATTCATACAGGTCCAGGTACACGCATTCATGCACACATGTGCACACACATTCATACACACAGGTGCAGGCGCACACATGTTCCGCCACACATGCGTTCACACATACAGCGCCAGCCTTCATATGGTTCAGGCAATCATGCGCCATACCCAGCTGCTCTCCAGGTTTCCATCTCCGGAAATGCAGGAGCCGGGGCAGTGTGTGGGGGCCGGTGTCCCATTTGGCTTCGCTCTCCCCTCCACCTGCATGAGTTGGGGAAATGCCCGTTTTCAAAGGACATGTCGATGGCCCTGCGGCTCTGCCTCCACGGGGCCGTGGCCCAGCACCTCCGCAGCGAGGCCTAGGCAGCAGCTGTGCTGCAAACACCACCCTGGCTGTGCTCAGAGGCGGCCGGCCGCCCCGAGAAACCCTCCATGATGTGACGCGACCAGACAGGCGCAAGGAACAGGCCCCGCAGTCATGTAAAATGCAGGAGCGCTCCCATCCCAGACGCTGGCTGACCGAGCAGCAGCGCAGCAGTAAGCGCATCCCAGTCCCCGTTTGGGGGCAATTTAACCCGGGCCCTTGCGTAACAACAGCCTCATTATTCGGAGGAAGCCGGAGGCTCAGGCGTGTTCTTTGAATGGCATAGCCCTTGTAGGGGGTGCGCGAAATCATCTGGGGTGGACGCCACGTGGCCTCCCAGAGCTAGCCCAGCCCACTACCCAGATGGAAGCTTCCAGATGAGTCAGTCCGTGGGAAGAGAACAGGAGTTTGTTCAGCAAGCTCCAAAGCCTCGGGCAGCCTGGGGGATGATTGACCTGGAGTAAAATCGTGCATCCTTAAACTGGCAAGCCTTGGGCTGCCCGACAGATTCCACGTACGGGTCACCTCCCCGAGACAGATTAAGCTCCATGGTACCCCTCTGCCCAGGCGGGGGGTGGGACGGCCCAGCCCTGCTCCTGGATGTGCTGTTGCCTCCCACATGGTGTGGCAAAGGAGAAGGTAGGAAAGGCCAAGGCATTGGGGCCAGGCCGGCAGGCTTGAGATGTGGCTGGTGCTGAGGCCCTTAGGGTGAATGCCTAAACCTCTCTGCACCTTGGTTCCTGTGCCCCAAAAGTGGTCATAATAAGGGAGACCGCCATGCAGGCCCTGTGTGGGAGGCTCTCACAAGGACAGGGCTGAGCCTCTGGACGTCAGCGTTGCTCTCTGGGCACTGGGCAGGGGCTGCGGCACCGTCCCGGGCACTGCCATGAGCAGGCAGCAGGGCCCTCGGAGCCAAGCCCACACCTGCTCAGAGAGGAGACTGAGCACACTCACTGGGAATTTGCGATGGCACGTTGGTAAGAAGAGTTCAGCAGGAATGGCAGGCAAATTGGTGAAGGCATGCAGGCTGGCAGGACAGGGTAGACTCCTGCGGCTGCAGAATTTGGAGGATTCCCCATCATCTACTGGCTCTGTCTCACAAACCCCGCTGGATGCTCACAGAAAAGTCTGGAAAAGTCCCCAAGTTTTGTCCACTGTGGTGGACCTCGGAGAGGGGTTGAGCAGCCACATGGAACTGGTGTGAAATTCCAGCCAGGCCCTTCTCCCCACTGTCCATCAAGGTACAAGAGCCTAAACCTGAGCAGGACATCAGTGAAAACGCATTGCAGCTAAAGGAGACTGGGGAAAGAGGACTTTACTCTTCAGGGAGGGTGACAGGATTGAGGACTGAGCCCACAACCATGGCTAGAAAAAGAGCAGAAGATCCGAGAAGGCCACAATCCCAAGAACCAGGGCCACAGTAAACCTAAGACTAAGGCTTATCCAGAGCCTCGGCAAGCGCACTCACCTCCACCTCCTGCCACCAAGCTAATAAGATCTGCAACACCAGAAACAGCAGAACGATGCCGAGAAAGGGAGAGGAGAAGGGAACCAGCATAGGAAATCTCTCTGAAGCACAGTGCAAAAGGAAAACCTAGAATTCAGAGTCATACGTTGCTAAACACAGACTATCTATGCAGCTGCTTGAAGCAGTTAGAGTGATCACAGTAACACATCTCAAACCTAGCCCAGCTCCTAACTAGATTAACTTAAACCTCCTACAAAGGGTCCGGTAGGAGGAAGTTGTGCCCGTATAAGATGCCTGGCTTTTAACACAAAATTCTGATGCATACAAAAAGACAAGGGAAAAAAAATCACACTCATAAGAGATAAAGAATACACATGTTGGAAATACTGGGCAGGAAATTTTAATAACTATGATTACTCTGTTGAAGGCTGTAATGAAGAAAGGGGACAGTGCATGATCAGATGGGTTATTTCAACGGAGAGATGGAAACTGTAAGGGAGAATCAAATGGAAACGCTAGAAATGAGAAACACAGAGACAGAGAGGAAGAGTGCCCTCAATGGGCTCATCAGTAGATGCTACACAGCTGAGAAAGAATCACTGACCTTGAAGACGAGTCAAAAACAATTACCCAAACTGGAAAAAAGAGAAAAAAGAATGAGCATCACATGGACTAGAACATCCAAGAGCTAGGAGACTATATCAAACTCCTAACATACGCATACCTGGAATCCTAGAAGTAGAAGAGGGAGAATGAGCAGAAGAAGTATTTAAAGAAATAATGACCAGAAATTTACTGAAATGAACAACAGACACCAGAAGACAGATCCAAGAAGCTCAGAGAACACCAGCTAGCATACACACCAAAACGAAAGCAAACAAAGAACCACACATAGGCATGTTATATGCCAGCTCTGGAAACCAAAGACAAAAAGATAACACTGAAGCGAGCCAGACCAGGGCAGGGTGGCGGGCAAGCATTATGGAAGAGTAAACGCGCAATTTGCAACAGAGTTCTCATCAGAAATCATGCAAAACAGAAAACAATGGAGTGAATCTTTAAAGTGCTGGAGGACAAAAAAAACCAGTTAACTCCGAGAAAAATATCTTCGCAAAAATGAAGGAGACATAATAAATTTCTCAAAGAAACAAAAATGGAGAAAATGCATTTCCAGCAGACCTACTCTAAAGAGAATGCTGAAGAAGTTCTTCAGGTGGAAGGACTAGGATAGTAACTGAAACTTAGCTCTACACAAAGAAATGAAGAGCGCTAGAAATGGAATAAATGAAGGTAAAATTAAATTTATTTTTTTCTAGTTTCTAATTGCTCTAAAAAAAAAAAAAAAACATTTAAAACAGGCCGGGCGCAGTGGCTCACGCCTGTAATCCCAGCACTTTGGGAGGCCGACGCGGGCGGCTCACGAAGTCAGGAGACTGAGACCATCCTGGCTAACACGGTGAAACCCCGTCTCTACTAAAAAATAGAAAAAATTAGCCGGGCGTGGTGGCGGGCACCTGCAGTCCCAGCTACTCGGGAGGCTGAGGCAGGAGAATGGCGTTTACCCGGGAGGCAGAGTTTGCAGTGAGCCGAGATCGCACCACTGCACTCCAGCCTGGGCCACAAAGTGATACTCTGTCTCAAAAAAAAAAAAAAGGTTGCACCGTATTGTGTGTTTATAGCATATATAACAGTAAAGGTGTGACAGCAACAGCACAAAGGCCAGGAAGAAGAAATTCGGAATATGCTATTTTAAAGTCCTTATACTACATACAAGGTGGTACAATATTATTTGAAGGTAGATTCTGATTAGTTAAAGATGTACATTTGAGGCAAAGGTCAACCACTAAAAGGTTTTCGAAGAGGTATAAATAATAAGTCAGTAGAGGAGATAAAATGGAATCATAAAAATTGCTCAGTTGACGAAAGAGAAGGCCAAAAAAATGGGAAAAAAGAAACGAAGAAAAAATAGAATAGAAAATGGTAAGTAAAATGATGGATTTTAATCAAACCATATCCATAATCACATTACTTATGAATTGTATAAACATACCAAATAAAAGGCAGAGATTGTCAGATGTGATTGTTTCGATTGCGTGCTGTACATACGAAACCTGCTTGAAATATAAAGATATAATAAATGTGTTACAAAAAGTGAAGGAAAAGAAAATACAGATCATGCAAACACTAAGCAAAAGAAAACTGGAGTAACTATATTAATATCAGACAAGGTAGACTTTAGAGAAAGGAATACTGTCAAAGATAAAGAGAAACATTACATAACGATGAAGGAGTCAATTCTCCAAGAATATAACAATCTTAAATGTGTATGCAACTAGCAACAGATTCAAAATACATGAGTCAAAAACTGATGGAACTGGAATGAGAAATGGATGAATCCACACAATTATAGTTGGAGATGTCAACTCTGTCTCAGGAATGGACAGAAAAGTAAACAGATAATCAGTAAGAACAAAGACTTGAACAACACTATTAGGCCTAATTGGCATATACAGACTCCACCCAATAACAGGAGATTGCATCTGGACCATAAAACAAATTTCAGCAAATCTAAAAGAATATAAACCTTTTAATCTTTAACCATAACAGTAAACTACAAATCAATAACAGAAAGGTAGAAGAAAAAAACACTTATAAACTAAACAATGCACTTATAATAACCCATAGATAAAAGAGCAAGTGTCAAGAACAATTTAAAAATATTTTAAAGTGATATTAAAATGAAAATAAAATATGCCAACATTTGACGGATACAGTTAAAGCAGTGCTTAGAGGAAAAAAGAAAACTTCAGTCCCAGCTGATTTTGCTGGAGAATTCTACCAAATGTTTAAGAAAGAGACAGTATCAATTCAACACAATCTCTCCCAGAAAATAAAATAGGAAAAACATTTCCCAATTCATAATTCCAGCAATACCCCAATATCAATCCACACAAATACACTGCAAGAGAGAGAAAATTACAGACCAATATTTCACATGAATAAAGTGTGCAAACTCTCAATACAGTATTAGCACGATCATGTTTTATCCCAGAAATACAAAGGAGGTTACAAAATTTTAATTTAACCTGATACATCATATTAATATACTACAGAAGAAAAGCCATGTAATTATCTCAGTAAATGAAGGAAAAGTAATTGATAAAATTCAAAATCTATTGATGACGAAAAAAATTCTCAACAAACTGTAAGTAATAGGGAGCTTCTTGATGTGAAAAAGAACATTGACAGCTAATGTTAAACTTATAGGTGAATGTTTTTTCCCAATATCAGAAACAAGGCAAGGATGTCCTCTCTCACCATTCCTATTCAAGCATTTCTGTCCTGGAATTATAGGTGCACACCACCATACCCAGCTAATTTTTATATTTTTAGTAGAGAAGAGGTTTCACTACGTTTGTGAGGCTGATCTTGAACTCCTGACCTCAAGTGATCCACCCACCTCAGCCTTCCAAAGTTCTGGGATTACAGGCATGAGCCACCGCGCCCAACCAAAGTATAAATTTTTAAGTATGCAACGTCTGCATGCTGAAAACTACAAACATTGATAAAAGAAATCAAACAAGAACTAAATAGTGAGATTTATAGCAAGAAAGACTGAGAATTGTTAAGATGTCACTTCTGTACAATTTCATTTATAGGTTTAATGCAATGCCAGCAGGCTTGTTTTTTGGATAACACACGTTGAATCAAAACTGTCTATGGAAAAGCAAATTAACTAATAGAGCCTCCACTAGAAGTTTGTAAAAGGAGAACAAAGTTGGAGAACTCACACCACCTAATTTAGAGACCTGCTGCAAAGCTATAGTAATCAAAACAGTGTGGTCTTAGTGTGAGGACAGACATACAGGTCATCAGAACAGAATAAAGCCCACAGATAGATCCAGGGAAATACTGTCACATGTTTTTTGACAGAGGGGCAAAAGAAATTGAATAGAAAAACATGGCAATTTTTTCAACAAATATGCTGAGGAAATTGTGCATTCATGTGAAATTAAATAGCTTAGTCTTTAACCCTTATAACAAAATCAAATCAAATTGGAACATTTGTAAAATGTATAAAACTTTAAAACTTCTAGTAGAAAACATAGGAGAAAAGTCAGTGTGGCCATGAATTGGGCAGAGTGCCTAGAGAAGACCAAATAACATCATGCACCAAAGAACAGCGCTGATAAGTTCAACCTTATCCAAATCTGGAACTTCTATGTAAACAAGTTAAAAAAAAAAAAAACTATTAAGAGCATGAAAAAACAAGCCACAGGCCGAGAGACTATGTTTTCAAATCACATTTCTGACAAAACACAATATCCAGAATATATATACAGCAGTCCTCCCACCTTCTTATCTGAGGAGGATACATGCAAAGACCCCCAGTGGATGCCTGAAATTACGGACAGTGATTTCACGGACGGTGATATACACTATGCTTTTCCTCTACATATGTATCTATGATATAGATTAATCTGTAAATTAGGGACAGACAGAGATTAACAACAGTAAGTAGTAATAAAATAGAGCAATTATGACAATATGATGTAATAAAAATTACGTGAATGTGGTCTCTCTCTTTCCCCCCTTTCCTCTACCCTCCACCCCTCTCTCCCTGTCTCCTCTCTCTCTTTCTAAATATCTCACTGTATTATATACCATGGGCAACTGAGACCACAGAAAGCAAAACCGCAGATAACGGGAGACTACTGTAATTTTTTTTAAAAGCTCTCAAAGGTCAAAATGAAGACAACAAACAGAGCTTTTTAAAAGGGGGAAAGATTTACACCAACAAGTCATTGAAAAGGACGTACAGATAACAAACAAGCATGTGAAAAAGTGCAGGAGAAAAAGAACAAGGTGAGCTTAGAACATCTTAGGGTGCTAGAAGGTAGAGAATCGGTCTGAAAAAAGAGATGGGCACATGTTAAAGCACAGGAGCGCTGGAACAATTTAAGCATCAAAATAGACAAAATACTGGATTTGAACCCAAATAATAAAATAAACAACCCGAGTCCATACTGATATCATGAATAATGAACTAAATAAATAAACGAAGTAATAGATGGAGAAGGGACCATTCTTTCTTCCAGGAGAATTCCAAATAGGAGCTATAGAAAGAATTAGGAAAATAGACCATCACCATTAGAACATCGCAGTCGTAACTACTACAGGGAGGTCCACTGCTGAATGCCAAGATTAGTAGGCAGAAGTGTTACTGGTGGAGGGTTTTGACTACAGGTTGTCCAGGTTCTTGGCTTGTTGAACAAAGAATTGGACAAACGACACCAACAAAACAATGACGGAACAAAGCCACAAAAGCACAGATTTATTGAAGTGAAAGCATACTCCACAGGGTGAAAGCGGACTCCAGCAAGTGGCTCAAGAACCCAGTAGCAAAATCTTCTGGGGTTTAAGTACCCTGTAGAGGTTTCCTATTGGTTACACCCTATGTAAATGAAGACTTGGCCTTTGACCAATCAGCGGCTGAAATGAAGTTACACCCTATGCAACTAAACTTGGCCCACAACCAATTAGAGGCTGAAGTGAAGGCTCCCTGTTTTCAGACCCTATTTTCCTGCCTCAGAAGTTTCAGGAGGAGCAGGACGCTTGCACAGCATCAAAGTATCTCTTCCAAAATTTTAGGAGTGACAAAGGAAAAACAGCTAACTGTGCAGAGGAGAAACCTGGCGGCCACCACCTTACTCAAGAATCACAGCGAGTATCACCAGTGATAATGAGGTAGGAGGTGGGGCTTGGACGCCGGACCAAATTGAGGACTAGCTAAAACAGGACAGGGAAGCAAGCCACTTTCCATAAGACACGCCCACCAGTGCCATGTCAATTTATCATTGCCATGGCAACACCCGGAAGTTACCACCCCCCTTCCATGGCAGCAACCTAAGGACCAGGAAGTTAACACCCTTTTCCTAGAATACTCTGCATAATTCACCCTTTAATTTGCATATAATTAAAGCTGGTTATAAATATGAGCGCAGGGCCGGGCACGGTGGCTCATGCCTGTAATCCCAGGACTTTGGGAGGCCAAGGCGGGTGGATCGCCTGAGGGCGGGAGTTTGAGACCAGCCTGGCCAACACGGTGAGACACCACCTCTACTAAAGATACAAAAATTAGCCGGGCGTGGTGGCGCCTGTAATCCCAGCTGCTTGGGAGGCTGAGGCAGGAGAATCACTTGAACTCGGGAGGCAGAGGTTGCAGTGAGCTGAGATCACGCAGATCTGCCTCTGAGCTGCTGCTCTGGGCACACTGCCTGTGGGGTAGCCCTGCTCTGCAAAGGAGCAGTACTTCTGCTGCAGTACTTCTGCTCCTGTTTCGAAAACTAACTGCTAAAACCACCGGCTTGCCCTTTAATTCTTTCCTGGGTGAAGCTAAGGACCTTCCTGGGCCGAACCCCAATTTCGGGGCTCACCTGCCTTGCATCATCAAGACACATGGGATGGCCCCTGATGTAGGGTACATCTCTAATGCAGCTCTTCCCAGTAGTTCAAGGCGTCAGTGTTACCATGAGAAAACATCAGTCAAACCCAAGCTGAGAAATTGTCTACAAAATAACTTCCAAGTCTTTTCATAAAAGACAAGGAAAGATTGAAGAACCGTCAGAGGTTGCAGGAGATGGAGGAGACTCAAAAGCTACATGCGTTGTGGAATCATTTGGCCGGGCGCGGTGGCTCACGCCTGTAATCCCAGCACTTTGGGAGGCCGAGGTGGGCGGATCACGAGGTCAGGAGATCTAGATCGTCCTGGCTAACACGGTGAAATCCCGTCTCTACTAAAAATACGAAAAATTAGCCAGGCGTGGTTGCAGGCGCCTGTAGTCCCAGCTTCTCGGGAGGCTGAAGCAGGAGAATGGCCTGAACCCAGGAGGCGGAGCTTGCAGTGAGCGGAGATGGAGCCACTGCACTCCAGCCTGGGCGACAGAGTGAGTCTCCGTCTCAAAAAAAAAAAAATGTGGAATCATTCAATTTTTGAACAAAAAAGAACTTTAGTGGAAAAACTGTTGAAATCTCTACTTTAATCATAGCAATGTATCAATGTTAATTTCTTAGTATGATCATTATACTATGGCTACATAAGATGTTAATGTTAGGGGAAACTGGATGAAAGGTGTCCAGGAAATACCTGTAGTATTCTCACAACTCTTCTGTAAATCTAAAATTATCTCCATGCAAAAGGTTAAGAGTAGGAAGTGACTGAGAAAAATAAAGGTGAGGTACACATACTACCCAATTTTTTTTCTTTCTTTTTTTTTTTTTTTTGAGACAGAGTTTTGCTCTCGTTGCCCACGCTGGGGTGCAATGGCGCAATCTCGGCTCACTGCAACCTCCACATCCCAGGTTCAAGCAATTTTCCTGCCTCTGCTTCCTAAGTAGCTGGGATTACAGGCATGTGCCACCACACCCGGCTAATTTTGTATTTTGAGTAGAGATGGGGGTTTCACCATGCTGGCCAGGCAGGTGTCGAACCCATGACTTCAGGTGATCTACCCTCCTTGGCCTCCCAAAGTGCTGGGATTACAGGCATGAGCCACTGAGCCCGGCCCACACTACCTAATTTTATAGTAAGTAGCTACTATAAAGCTACACAATCAAATCAGTGTGGCCCAGAGTAGAAGGTCCAGGAAGACAGCCACTCGCACATATGACCAACTGATTTTTGACAACGGTGCAAAGGCAATTCAATAGGAAAGGATTGTCTTTTCAACATATGGTGCTGGAACAATTAGACAAGACATGAAAAACCAGGGGCTGCCACCACACCTCACACCTCATACAAAATTAACTCGAATAGATGACATACCTAAATGTAAAACGTAAAACTATAAAACTTTTAGAGAGAGATAATTGGGACATTGAGTTAAGTGAACTTTTCTTATATACACCCACTGAAGCAGGGGTCCCCAACCCCCTAGGCCACAGAGCAGTACCTTTTCATGGCCTGTTAGGAGCCAGGCCGCACAGCAGGAGGTGAGTGGTGGGCCAGCGAGCATTACGTCCTGAGCTCCACCTCCTGTCAGACCAGCGGCTGCATGAGATTCTCTTAGGTGTGAGAACCCCGTTGTGAACCACGCATGTGAGGGATCCAGGTTGTGCACTCCTTATGAGAATCTAACTAATGCCTGATGATCTGAGGTGCAACAGTTTCATCCAGAAACCATCCTCCTACCCTGGAAAAATGGTCTTCCCTGAAACTGGTCCCTGCTGCCAAAAAGGTTGAGGACGGCTGCACTAAAGCAGGATCCATAATAGAAAACAATGATACATTTAATTTATTAAAGTTTACCTGGCAAAAGGACATTGTTATAGAGAACAAAAAGACAAACCACAGGCTAGGAGAAAATATTTATAAACCACAAATCTGTAAAAGGACTTGTATCCAGAATATATAGAGAACTTTTTTTTTTTTTTAAACAGGGTCTCACTCTGTCTCCCAGGCTGAAGTGCAGAGGAGTGATCATGGCTCACTGCAACCTTGACCTCCTGGGCTCCAAGGATCCTCCTGCCTTAACCTCCTGAGTATCTGGGACTACAGGTGGGCACCACTATGCCTGGCTAATTTTTGTATTTTTTGTAGAGACAGGGTTTCACCACGTTGCCCAGGCTGGTCATGAACTCCTGGCCTCAAGCAATCCCCCCGTCTTGGCCTCCCAAAGTGCTGGGATTACAGGCGTGAGCCACCGCACCTGCCATAAAGAACTCTTAAAGCCCAATAATAAGCATATTATTAATTCAATAATAAAATGGGCAAAAAGTTTGAACAGACACTTCACCAATGAAGATATAAGCACATGGCAAATAAGTACTTGAAATAAGCTGGCGTGGATGCGGTGAACGGGGGACCCTTCTACACTGCTGGTGGGAATGTCAACTAGTATACCCACTATGGAAAACAGTGTGGCGATTCCTTAAAGAACTAAAAATGGAAATACCATTTGATCCAGCCACCCTACTACTGGGCATCTACCCAGAGGAAAAAAAGTCACTGTACAAAAAAGATACTTGCCCATGTATGTTTATAGCAGCATAATTCGCAATTGCAAAATTGTGGAAACAACTCAAATGCCCATCAATCAATGAGTGGATAAAGAAACTGTGGCATATATATATATATAGATACACACACACACACACACACACACACACACACACACACACACAATGGAATACTGCTCAGCATAAAAAGGAATACATTAATGGCCTTCGAAGCGACCTGGATGAGATTGGAGACTATTATTCTAAGTCAAGTAACTCAGGAATGGAAAACCAAACATCGTATATTCTCACTCTAAGTGGGAGCTAAGCTATGAGGATGCGAAGGCATAAGAATGACACAGTAGACTTTGGAGAATGACACAATGGACTTTGGGGACTCGGGGAAAGGGTGGGAAGCGGGTGTGCAGTGTATACCGCTTGAGTGATGGGTGCACCAAAATCTCACAAATCACCACTAAAGAACTTACTCATGTCACCAAACACCACCTGTACCCCAATAACCTACGGAAATTTTTTTTTTTGAGGAGTCTTGCTCTGTCGCCCAGGCTGCAGTGCAATGGCGTGGTCTCGGCTCACTGCAACCTCCACCTCCCCGGTTCAAGCGATTCTCCTGCCTCAGCCTCCTGAGTAGCTGGGATTACAGGCATGCACCACCACGCCCAGCTAATTTTATATATATTTTTATATATTTATATATATTTATATTTATGTATATCTATATATATATATTTATATTTTTATATATTTATATATTTATATGTTTTTATATATTTATATATATTTATGGTTTTATATATTTATATATTTATATATTTTTATATATTTATTTATATATTTATATATATTTATATATTTTTATATTTTTATATATTTATATATATTTTTATATATTTATATATATTTATATATTTATATATATTTATATATTTATATATATTTATATATTTATATATATTTATATATTTATATATATTTATATATTTTTATATTTATATTTTTATATTTTTGTATATATTTATATATTTATATATTTATATATATTTATATATTTATTTATATATTTTATATATTTATATATATTTATATATTTATTTATATATTTATATATTTATATATATTTATATATATTTATATATATTTATATGTATATTTATATATTTATATATTTATATATTTATATATATTTACATATTTATATATATTTACATATTTATATGTTTATATATTTTTATATATTTATATATTTATATATTTTTATATATTTATATATTTATATATTTTTATATATTTATATATACTTATATATTTATATATATTTATATATTTATATTTTTATATATTTATATATATTTATATATTTATATTTTTATATATTTATATATATTTATATATTTATATATTTATATATATTTATACATATATTTATACATATATTTATACATTTATATATTTATTTATATATATTTATACATATATTTATTTATTTATATATATTTATACATATATTTATATATATTTATATATTTATTTATATATATTTATATATATTTTTTTAGTAGGGATGGGGTTTCTTCATGTTTGTCAGGCTGGTCTCAAACTCCTGACCCAGGTGATCCGCCCACCTCAGCCTCCCAAAGTGCTGGGATTACAGGCATGAGCCACCGCTCCCCGTCAGAGATAAATTTTTTTTAAAAATACAGGTACTTGAAAAGCTGCTCATCATCACGCATTAGGAAAATGCACATTAAACCCCCAGTGAGGTACCACTCCACACTGGTGAGAAGAGTTAAAATTAAAAACGAAACGAAATCCCTGACAGTACCAAATGCCAGCAAGGCTGCAAAGTGACCAGAACTCTCCTGCGTTGCTGGTGAGAATGTGTGAAAAATGGTTAACAGCGTCCCGTAGCATTCCGCACGCATTTGCCACAGGACACAGCAGTCACCATCCTGGACACTTACCCAGGCGAAATGAAACCTGTGTTGCCACAGTCGCCCGAATGTCAATGGTTAGAGGAGCTTTATTGACGATCGCTCAAACTGGAAGCAACCCAGATGTCCCTCAAGTGGAGAGTGGATTAATAGACTACAATACGGTCACGCGATGAAGTGTCACTCAGCAAGACGAAAAGAGGAAGCATCAGTTCACACCACAATGTGGACACATCTCAGAGGGATTACGCCAAGCGAAAGGTGCCAGGTCAGAAACCGCGCACTGCGTCATCCTGTTCGTATGACATTCCGGAGAATGTCATGGACACGATAGGGATGGAGCACAGATCCTGAGTGCCATGGGTTAAGGGGAAGGGGCGGCTTTCACTGCACTGGAATTGGTGTGGGCAGGGGAAGGGATGGAACGGTTCTGCATTTTGACTGTGGTAATGGTTATGTGACTATGCATTTGTCAAAACTGCATGCAAAAAAGTTAATTTTGCTGTATGCAAATTAGAAAATAAACTTGTTGTTTTTTTAATGTCAACACTATTGCGCGGTTGGGGTCTGTCTCTCGCTCTTTCCCTGTAACACAAGAGCAGCGTGTCCCAGATGGGGTTGCTTCCTCAGCCCGGGTCCCGGATAGACCCAGAGACTCCTGGAGACTTGGGACTGGTGTCCAGAGCTGGGCGCTGCCCAGGAAGGAGCAGGAGAGACGGGGCACACCTGGACCTCTTGCTCCCTCTGTCCTGTCTCAGAATCTGGTTCAGCCCCTCCCCAATGCCCCTGGAGCCACAGCCTGTGTTGGCCTGGACACTGCGGTTTGGTCTGCCCAGACCCCTCCCTGCTTCTCCCTGTGGTGAACGCGTTCACTCGACTTTGAGAACACCCTCTCCCCTCTGGGTGGTTCCACTGCGGCTGCCAGCCCTGCCTCCCACGCCCCTGCCAGAGAAGATGCATGACCTGGCCATGCCAGTCAGAAGCCTTCTGTGGATGTTATGCCGGCATTGGAGAGAGAGAGGACCTCTGTCTTTCTGTGGATTTGAGCTGTCAGAGTGTGACCTTGAGTAGTTGGTGGCCACATCCTTTGCCATTTGGAAAAGTCCAAGTGACCACCAGAGATGGCAAAGGCACTGGTTCCAATCTGAGGGGTATGCTCCATCCCTACGCCTGCCAGCCGGGGCAGCCAAAAGCCCCCCTTTTGTCTTGAATAGCTTGGGACTCCACCTGGAACCCTGAGTCCCTGCTGCTGCTCCCCTGGGCTGTGAGATGCTCCCAGGTCTGCAGCTCTCTCTCCTGGCAGCACCGCAGACTCAGAGCCTGAACTCTGCCCGGCCAGACTGAGGGCAGCCAGAGCCCCAGCAAGCCTCCATGCCCAGATTGGCCTGGGCCAAGCCCACGGCCAGGGCCAGCAAGCAGAGAGGACCAGAATGGCCCGTGCTTTTGGCAAGAGCTGGCCTGGAGCACGGAGGCAGCTGCCACCCTCCCTGGAGCCCCACAACAACCCCCCTTCTAGAGTGTGACTCTAGAGCCACACTCTTCCCTCCAGCTGCTCTCTCTTCCACCTCTCCCCGCACCAGCACCGACACCCAGTGCACGGAGTGCACACCCCACGCCAGCCCACGCTAAGCTGGGGAGGAATCCATGCGGAGGAACCTGCTCTGCCCCGGAGGCTCACAGCCTGGTGGAGAGGAGGACGAGTTCACAAATCATTGCAACCCAGGGACGCGGCAAGGGCCTCAGTAAAACCAACAAATAACCAGGAACTGACCACAGGCTTTGCTCCAGGCAGTGAGCCCAGCAGAGTAAACCTCAAAGGGCCGGAGTCTTTCCAGGTGTCCCGAGAGGCATCTGGCAGGGAGGTGGTGCCTGAATTTTAGAGCTGAGCTGGGTTTTCAGGGAAAACCAGGGGAGTTTCCCCCAACGTCATCCAGGGAAATCTCCGTCAGGTTGGGCGGCAGCACAGAGGAGCAGCTGGGAGAACTGAGGTCTCACCAAGGAAGCCACCATCAGCCGGTCCTGGGGCCTAAGGCACTGTCATTTGCAGGGCAGAGCCATGGACAAGGCCCACGGGGGTGGCTGGGCATGCTGGGGAGGGGCTCCACGGACAAAGAAAAAGGGGCCCAGCAGGGGTGAGGCGGGGAGGTCAGGGGTCAAGGCACAGGGCTGGGAGGAGCCGTGGGCAGGAGGCAGTGTCCCCGAAGAAGCCGGGCCAAACACCGAGGCCTGGACCATGGTTGGGCTGGTGGCCCCCGCCCAGCACTGGACAGCACATACCACCCCTCACTGAGGCCTTGTCCCCCTCCTCACTCCTCTCCCCAGCTTCACTCCCCATACAGTGAAATCACTGAATTGTTGCTGCCCCAAATATCATTTTCTGATTTCCAGCCGGTTTGGACTGGAAGGAACCTTCATGTCCATCCCTCGCAGCTGGCCTGCCCGGGAGTCCCAGGCTCTCCCTCTGCCCTCCAGCCACAGACCCCCGGGGATGCCGCCTTTCATCAGCAGGCCCAGGGGCTGGCACTGCCTGGCAAGGGGCCTGCTGCATCTGGGAGCCAGGACGGGGCTCCAGGCTGCCCCTCAGACCCGGCCACAGGGTGCCGCTGCCCAGGCACTGGCTCAACAAACAGTCACTAAACACCTCTTAGGGATGACAGTTCTGCTCTGGGCATTGAGCCACAGACAGATGACCACACCCTCATGGAACATTCTGGAGGGAGATGCAGAGAACAAATGGGAAAATAGGAAGGGTGTGAGGACAGTAACCCATGGTGGCTAGAGTGCAGCTTCCCAAGTTGTGCACTGGGCACATCAGGCTGTCACCTGTGCAAATGGGTCACCTGTACAAATGGGTCACCTATGCAGATGGTTCATCTGGGAATAAACGTCACCTGTGAAGGAGGGTCACCTGTGCAGGTGGGTCGCGTGCAGGTGGGTCGCCTGTGAAGGAGGGTAGGTATTCTGTGGAGATGAACCACCTATAAAGGAGGGTCATTTGTGAAGGGGGGTGGTGAGATATTGGTCTTCCCCACCCACAGCAGAGGCTCTGGGTCCTGGAGGAGGTGAAGCCCTAGGCTAGTAGCCTCCTGCCCACAGCGGCCTTGGCAGGGGCTCCTCAGAAGGTGCCTAAGTGGCAGGGTCAGAGGACAAGCCCTGTGGTCCCCGCAGATGATGACCACGGCAGCCACATCAGCACTTGTGCTCAGGGACACAGGAGCCCTTCAGAGGCTCTGCCTCCTGTTGCCAACTTCAGCAGCCCAAGCCTCTACTTGCTTCGGGTGAGGCCCATGCCTGGTGCCCCAGGGTCAGGGTGGGGCAGCAGAGTGAGTGGCCCCTAGGGGCTCTTGAGGCACAGCTGCAGGCAGTGGGCATCAGCAGCCCCTCAGCCGCCGAGGCCAGCTGGGCCACTCAGGCTGGGTAATTTGCACGTGGGGGCTTTGCCATTGGCTTTGAAGTTTGTGAAGTGAGAGCAGCCAGTCGCCTCCAGGTTCTCTGCGATCACAGGACATTGCAAGGTTACATTTTTCAATGAAATAAAAATCACGGAGCCAGCTGCTGGCATCCCTAAACACAGCGCCCGCCGCTGCCGGCTTCTGACGGCTGCAACCCTTGTTGAAAATATTTACCCCCATCAGGATGGGCTGTTTCTCGTCCGCGGTGACCTGCAAGAATTTGAAAATAGAATCATTTAAAGCCCCAATGGAGAATTACTCGAGAATTACTTGGGCCGTCTTACGTGTGAAGCACTATAGAAAAATGCCCGCGTTTCTCATGAAGTGCTGCAAACTCCGGTTTCTCACTAAAATTCAGGAAAAGTTACTTGGAAGTTTTATACAAATTCAACATGAAAAATTGTCCTAATTATAAAATACAAAGAAAACATAGCGCATTTCTTTCCTCCGAGTCCCCAGGCCAACTCCACTTTACTCAGAGTGTCATACGAATGACACCATTTCTTTGCATGGTGTGCTGAGGAAAAGCGTGGGCAGCCCGAGGGAGCCCCGCACAGGCTGCAAGGAGGCCTGGGGGAAAAATGGGGTGCAGGGGGCGTGGTCAGAGCAGCAAGGAGGCCGTGGGGCCGGTACAGTGGCCAAGGAGGTGGAGGTGGAAGCTGAGGCAAGAGGGTCCCCGGCCGCCCCTTGGAGGCCAGGCTGAGTGGCTGCGTCTGACCCTAGGATGGGTGAGTAGGTGGGGGATTTCATAGGGGGCCACGGTTTGTGAGATGCAAAGCCCCATGGGTGGGAGGCCAAACCTGTTGACCCCTCAGTCTCTGTACGCTGAGATGTGGCCTGTGTGTGATGGGGGCTCATAGCTCCACGTTCCGCTGAGGGCAGGTTGGCAAACTTGTTGCTGGCGGCCCCAGGGCCCTGCACGCTGGCTGCGCGACACTTAGCAGGGAAGCCAGAGCCCTTAGGGAGGCATTGAACACTTCTGAGCACTTTGCATAGGTGACCCCCCCCACTTCAGAGACATGCCCCTTCCCCAAGATGAGCCCCTTCCCGGGGGGCTAGTGAGGAAGGCTCTGGGCACCTGGGGTGCGCAGCTGGGACGGGGAAATTAGCACAGCACATTAACACAAGGACGCACGAGGATAATGTGCTCTCAGGAAGGAGATCGATGGGCCCTCTCTGGGTGCCTGAAAGGAGTCCAAGGTCAAATGGCTCGGGGCTGCGGGCTGCCGGCGGTCAGGCTTTCGGTGAAGCCACGCAGACCCCAAGGAAGGCAGTGCTGAAGTTGCAGGTGCCAGGCCAAGGCCTCCCTTCTCGGGCGTACGCGGGGCTTCTCCACCCCCTCCCCTGCCCCGTCGTCCCCACCAGCGCCCCAGGATCCACTCTCTTGGCCCACCCCACCTGTCTGGGAACTCACTTTGCCACCTCCCATGCCCCCAGCTCTGCCTTGGGTGAGCTCCCAGACGGCCTCGATGGCACCCAGTGAGGTGGGCCTGCCTTAGATGGGACGCTCACGTTCTGCTAAACAGGAAAATGCCTTTGCCACCTGCCCCAAGAAGGAACAGATGGAGCTCATTTGCGCCACGGGAAACACAAGACAAACCATTTGCCAGCAACTGTCTGTGTGCCCAACGCCAGATCACAGGGTTACTCCTGGGGTCTTGCCCCCAATCTACAGCCACCTGGTCACTTCCAGGGTGTCATCTCCATCTTGTTGACAAGGGAGAGAAAGCGGCTCCCCCTGGGTGGTGTAGCCAGGCTGGAGTCGGGCTAACCTGTCTCCCCACAGCCGGGTTCTGATCGGATGTGACCCATGGATTTGGCCTCGTGCTGCTGGATGGAGCAGCCCTCGAAGACAGCCCGTGCTTTGCTCTGCTGAGAGGATGAGAGGCTGCCCCATGATGCTGTGGCCACACAGAGAGGCCCTTGGCTGCAAGGGCAGGTCAGCCATAAGCAATGGCCCCCAAACAACATCATCCCCAGCTGTTTGCCAAAGTGGTCGTTAGGCAGAGGACGGCCGGTATGACAAGAGTTGTACCTACATGCCCTGCGACAACCCAGCAGGAGACAGGCACAGGCCACAGCCAGGTTGGGGGACAAGAGTAGGGAAGGGCTTCAGGAGATACTGGGGGGACTGGCCTGTCCTGGGCTGGGGCAGGCACATCACAGGAGGGTCATTTGATGAGAGCAACAGAGAGAGAGAGAGAGAGTGCCCCATGTACCATCCATGTGTCAGCTGGCCCTTGCCAGCCACGCACACAGGAACGGGCCCTTGCCAGCCGCACACAGGCCCTACTCTCCTCATGTTATTCACTCACTGACTCATTCACGCACTCACTCATTCTTTCATTTGCAGAGTGAGCACCTGCGAGCCGGGACCTGGGGGTGGGTGCAGCCGTGTGTGACAAAAGCGTGCTGCCCACGGGGCTCCCTGTCCAGAGGCAGCAGAAATGAAGGAGCCAGACAGCGTTGGGAGGAGCCCGGCCCCAGAGCCCAGAGGACTTGCTGTGAATGTAGCAGAGGAGGGTCAGGGTGGGATTTGCTCCAGCCCCTTGGGTCAGGGCCTGCGCAGTCCACACCTCTGTCTCCCTCCACATCTACAGAAAGAGGTGACGTTGGTGAGGGCCAGGACACATGGCCAGGCCTTTGGTGGCAGCATTGCCTCCTCACCCTCATCAGCCCTGGCACCCCCGGCAGTGACCCCCACCCCCAGGCTCTCAGGGTCCTTCCTATAGAACAGGATGTGCCTTGAACCTCCCAGGAGACAGTGGGCACTGAGCAAACATTCCTCCTGCTGTCCTCCCATGCCAGTCCCCAAGGCCACCAACCTGGCCCAGGGTTTCCTTCCGTGGGTGTGTTGAGGAAGCATGTCACTGCTGGATTCCACCTGCCGAAGTGCTCCCAGTACACATGCAGGGCTCTGAGGTGTTCCCTGCTCACAGGCGGGGCTCCGAGGTGCTCCCTGCCCACAGGTGGGGGCTCCAAGGTGCTTCCCAGCTTACAGGTGGGGTTCTGAGGTGCTCCCTACTCACAGGCAGGTTTCTGGGGTGGTGCCCGCTCACAGGTGGGGTTCTGAGGTGCCCCCCACCCACAGGCAGTGTTCTGAGGTGCCCCCTGCTCACAGACAGGGCTCTGAAGTTTGTGGGTCTTGCTGCCACCCTCCCAGGAGACAGACAGGAACCCGGCTGGGTGAGTGATTTGGAAGGAGGAGGGAACATCACTGACCCCTCTCACAAACAGGAAGGGCAGCCTTGCTGAGCATTTTACTAAATACCCTGCACTCTGCAGGCATGATCCCGCACAAAATGGATCAAAAGCCGGGTGATCGGACCATGCCTGTGTGAGCCCCTCATGGCCTCCCAGGGAAGGCCCTTGGCACCCAGGACAGAGCCCCTGTCCGCCCACATCCCCTCCCTGCTCCCCCGACCTGCCCACCCTCACCTTCCCCTCCGTCCTGTTCTGGCCACGCAGGGTCTTTCCACTGCGGCGTCTCCGCTGACTCTCACTGGGGACTTGCCCCTGCTTCGCACCCAGTGTCTGTGGGGTCCAGTAATGCCTGTGGAAGACTTTATGGGCAAGAAGGGTTATTTACTATTTAATCGGGTTTTAACTTAATACACAACTTATTAAAGTTAACATTGACGTTTCATATTCAAAAAGCCAATTTCCCTTGAGCCGTAAAGCTCGACTTACAAATCTCATTGTACTGTTTATAAAGCTAGTCATTGTTGAATAAGAAAAGTATCTTTTACGTGTTCTTTAAGTAGCATCCGAGGCACTGAAATTAAAGACCTTAGCCCCCTGTGCTTTATTTGCCTACTCCACACATCTAATTAATTACACCTTTTAGATTGCATTCATAAAATTAATATTTTTAGAGGTTTTATTTTTTCCCTAAGAACTTCAAAGGCCTGTCAGGGTATTCTTATAGACCTAACATAAAAACCTTCCGAAGCACTTTAATAGCCCCTGGAAATAAAATAAACTGTATCCATTGCTATGCTGTCAGTAAGTTCATTCCAACCCTCTCCTTCATTCTATTTAGAACCACTACACTCTCGGCATTGTCTAGAGTGGATGTGGGTTTTTATTTTGTTTCGTTTTTGAGACGGAATCTCACTCTGTCGCCCAGGCTGGAATGCAGTGGCATGATCTCGGCTCACTGCAGCCTCCACCTCCTGGGTTCAAGCAATTCTCCTGCCTCAGCCCCCTGAGTAGCTGGGATTACAGGTGCCTGTCACCACACCTGGCTAATTTTTGTATTTTAAGTAGAGACGGGGTTTCACCATGTTGGTCAGGCTGGTCTCGAACTCCTGACCTCCACTGATCCACCCGCCTCAGCCTACGAAAGTGCTAGGATTACAGGCATGAGCCACCGTGCCTGGCTGGATGTGGGTTTTTGTGCCGAGCTCATAGCCTCCTCCGGCTGCCTTCCAACCTAACTCCACCCCCTGGCCCCTGGCTCAAAACTATCCCCCAGGCTGTAGGAGGGCCAAGGATGCTCACCCCGCTCCCTCCATGCTTGCCACAAAACCTTCTGGGCATCTCCTGCCTCTGTGCCTTTGCAGCGGCTGTTCCCTCTGCCTGGAATGCTCTTCCTCCTATGTCTGCTCAACCTCATGGCATTCAGGCTTCGTCTGGATGGCCCGGGAGGCTATCAGGGCCCTGCCCTGAATTGAGCCCAGCCACCGTCCTTGGCTTTACTTTCCCACGTGGCATTTACCACCACCGGGCCCCACCCATGGGTCTGCTGTGGGTTTGCTGTCAGCCTCTCCCTGGAGGTCAGCTCCTGGAGGGCAGCACCTTCTGCTGCTCACACCTCTGTCCCAGGCTACCCTGGAAAGAGTCTGGAACAGAGGAGGCATCAGCAAGTGTTGACTGGATGAATGAATGAATGAATCAGTCTGTCAATCAATCAACCAACCAGATCAATCGCCCTCACAAAGATGATCCCTTGCGAGAGGGCCGTGCTGCTCCGGGTACTGTTCCACTTCAACGTTCCTTCCTGTTTCTTTCTGTCCCAAGATTAAAACATCACCACCGAACGGGGAGGGTGGGGACATGGCCATCATTTCAGGCCAGCCAGGGTTGCTGCACCGAAGTCCAGGTGGTCGGAGAGCCGTAGAGCCATGGCCGTGTGCTTCGTGACGTCTGTCCCAGGTCACCAACTGCTGAGCCCTGGCCACCCTCGCAGCCACCCCAACTCCATTCCTGGTTCAGGCCCTTGGATGGCCAATAGGATTCACACTCCTTTCCTGGGTATTCTTGTCCTGGCCACAAGGCCGAGGTTGCCAAAGGGTACTGCTGACCCCCCGTTACCCTCCTGCTCCATCCACCCAGCGCATTCACACTCCCACAGCTGCCCCCGGGCCATGTCTGTCTCTGCCCCTGGGTTGCTGGAGACATCTGACTCCCATCCCACCCTCACGTTTGGGTAAACAGAGCCCCCTCTCTGGGAAAGGGGACAACAGCTGGGCTCCTGGTGGGGACGCATGGAGGTCAAGGAGCCTGCAGGCCACCAGCACCACAGGAGAAGGGTGCCCTTAGCGCCTGGCCATTTGGACCCAGTGTGGCCATCACAGCACTCCTTAGGAATGTGTCATCTATTGTATGACACTCTCTATCCAGTGCAGTGTGTGACAGCATATTAAGGACTGCTATTTCAATTACTATGAATAATAGAGCAGCCTGGGGAACTGACTGCCTCTCAGGCCCTGGAACGAGGAAGCCACAGTGTTGACATTCACACACCTTACAAAGTCAGGGACAGAGCTGGATGGGGGCGAAGAGAGGTGGTGGGTGCTCCACGGGTGAGGAGGTGGGTGCTCCTTGAGTGAGGACCTGGGTGCTCCTTGCATGAAGAGGTAGGTGCTCCTTGAGTGAGGACCTGAGTGCTCCTCGGGTGAGGAGGGGGGTGTTCCTTGGGTGAGGACCTGGGTGCTCCTTGCATGAGGAGGCAGGTGCTCCCTGGGTGAGGACCTGGGTGCTCCTCGGGTGAGGACCTGGGTGCTCCTTGCATGAAGAGGTAGGTGCTCCTTGAGTGAGGACCTGGGTGCTCCTTGCATGAAGAGGTAGGTGCTCCTTGAGTGAGGACCTGGGTGCTCCTTGCATGAAGAGGTAGGTGCTCCTTGAGTGAGGACCTGGGTGCTCCTCGGGTGAGGAGGTGGGTGCTCCTTGAGTGAGGACCTGGGTGCTCCTTGCATGAAGAGGTAGGTGCTCCTTGCATGAAGAGGTAGGTGCTCCTTGAGTGAGGACCTGGGTGCTCCTCGGGTGAGGAGGTGGGTGCTCCTTGAGTGAGGACCTGGGTGCTCCTCGGGTGAGGAGGTGGGTGCTCCTTGAGTGAGGACCTGGCTGCTCACTGCATGAGGAGGTTGGTGCTCCCTGGGTAAAGAAGTAGGTGCTCCTTGGGTGAGGAGGTGGGTGCTCCTTGAGTTGGGATCAGGTGCTCCTTGAATGAGGACCTGGGTGTTCCTTTCATGAGGAGGTAGGTGCTCCTTGAGTGAGGAGGCGAGGACCCAGATGCTCTTTGCATGAGGATGTGGGTGCTCCCGGGGTGAGGACGCAGATGTCTTTGGGTGTGGCTGTCTCCTGCAGACATAGCCACTGTCCTCTGTGTGCTCTGGATCTGTGCTGCAGCATTAATGGTTGTAAAGCCTGTCCATCCTTCAGTCTCTCTGGAGGCCAGCTGTGTGTGAGGCACATGTCACAGTCAGACATGTGGGGGCCCCCGCTGGCCCAGGTCACTCCCTGAGGCAGGGGTGCTGAGAGTGGGCCCAGGCCCAGAGATGGCAGAGGCCACTTAGGGCAGATGTGGCTGCAGAGAGCGGGGTGGACAGTGCCGGAAGGTGCATCTCCACTCCTTTTTTCTGAGACTTTCTGGGAGGTTGTCAGGGAGACTGCCAGGATGGCCTTCCCACCACCAGGATGGCATTCCCGCCGCCAGGAGGGCAGTCCCGCCGCCAGGAGGGCAGTCCCGCCGCCAGGATGGCAGTCCCATCACTACGAGCACAACGTTTTCCATTTCTCTATTCCATTTTGTCATTTTTTTCCTCACTCTCCTCCTTAGGATCCTGCCAGACAATTTCGCCTTTGAAAGAAGGGCCATGTTCATAAACTGGGGCGAGCCTTCAGGCCTCTCGGGGTCCTCCAAGCAGAAGGGGGACTGGGAGTGGACTGCGCAGGGGTTGAGAGCAGGGGCTTTGTGGCCAGAGGGCTGTGGGGAAAGCCCAGATCGGCCTCCAGGGACGCGTGACTCCGGGCCTGTTACTTAACCTTGCTGTGCCTCAGTTTCCTCACTTGCAAAGCAGGGACATTGTGTGCCAGCTTGCTGTGAGATCTCCTCAGTTTGCTGCATGCGGTGCTCGGGTCAGGTGGCTCACAGCGGGTGTCCAGAAAGCCGCAACACTTTGGGCTGTTTCCTCCCCTGCGCAAAGCTCCCTGAGTCAGCTTGCTCTCAGGGGCACAAGTGTAAGGCTGAAATAAACGCCAGTAGAGCGGGGCGGGGTGGAGGGGGGGGTGGGGGGCAGCAAGTTGGTGGAGCGCAAGGCTCCCCTCCGTGCTCAGATGAGGAAACTGAGGCAGAAGTGGGCCCTTCTATGCAACAACTGAAGGGTGTGATATGGAGGGACAGAGCAAACGGGAAGACTGCCTGCCTGGGCTCCTCACTCAGCTCCCTGGGCTGTCAGCTGCCCTGTAAAGGGGGATGATACTATAGTAATAATAGTCAGGAAGTGGCTTCTGAGAAACGCAGGCTCCTCCTTTCAGCACAAATTTGCTGAACACCTAGTTGGGTCTAAGCCTCTGTTGAGCCCTGGCAACAAGCAGGGAAGAGTCTGCGGCCTGGGGGAGCCCAGGGTCCTGCAGTACAGACGGGCAGGAAGCCAGCAACAGTGGCCCCAGGCAATTGGCACCAGGAAGCAGAGGGCAGGGGCCACAGGGAGGACTGTGACCTCCCCCACGAGGATGCCAGGACCCAGGCCGGGAGGCAGGGCCATGTGAGCGACCACCACCACTGGGGAGAAGAAAGCTCCTTCCTGCTGCTCAGCCCAGAACGCCCTGCCTTGTGTGTGCTGGGGTGAAATCTGCAGGGAGCTGCTCCTGGTCAGAGCTCCGGCTTCTCTACACCTTCCCGGCTGGGAGCACTTCCCTGCCTCCTGCATTCCGCAGCTGCCTCAGCTGTAAAGCAACGGGGTAAGAGGACATCCGCTCCATGGCATGGTTGAAAGGTCTCCCTGAAATCACAGGGGTGATTCTAGGCAGGGGAGAGGGACCGAAGTTTGTCGGGAGTCTCAAGACGTAGAGACCTTCCAGAAAGGCTCCTCCCTCTTATGCTGGCACCGTGCAGGCCCTGAATAAATGTCTGTGAGTGTCTGTAACTGTGTTTGGTCCGTGCCTGTGAGGGCGCGGGGAGTTGGGCGGTGTGACTGCAGTAACAGCGCTGAGAGGTAGTGAGCTCCTGGTCAGGGGAGGCATTCAATGGGAATGTGAGTAATCTCCAGCCCCGCCTGGCTGGAGCACAAACCAGATGGTCTCCAAGGGCCCCCTCCCTCCACAGCCTGTGAGTCCACAAGTCTAAGATTTGGGAATTCTCAGGTACAAGACTGCTGATTCCCCAACATGGATTAAACACTTCCTGTGTGCACCCTGGTGGGGGAAAGCAGATATCCTTCCTGCACAGGTGCAGGGACACCCAGAAGAGTGGCAGACCTGTCGGGAGGAGACCACTGACATGTCTAAGATTCTGAGTCTGTGAGTTTAAGATTCTATAATATGAATATCCTATTACCATTATGGCTCATAACAGTGGTTACTCCTTATTGAGCACCTACTGTATGCTATGGTGTGTGGCCTGTTCTGGGGGCGGCCTTTAAATTATTTACTCAACCCTTTCAGAGTGAGAGGGGTGCTTACATTTCCCCATGTAGAGATGGGGAAACTCAAGCTCAGGAGGGGAGGGCCCAGGGGAGCTAGAATAGAGGAAGGCAGAACTGGTTAGTAGCCCAGGCTGCAACCAAGTTCCTAGTTTTTAAATATAAGACATTAAGACCCCTTAGGTACAAAACTCTATTAGTCCGTGATACTCAGCTTCTGACTATTACTTTAAATTTCCATGGCTTTAAGCTTATTTGGTATGCGAGCCCAGGCTCCTGTGCTTTAAAAGTGCCAGCTCCCAGGCGCTCAGGGCCTCAGTCTGTCTCCCCTGCCACTTCCCTCCTCGGGCCATCACAGGTCCCCCGGGCTATCACGCTTGGCTGTGGGAGCTGGCCAGACCCGGTTAATTGTTATAAAGCACTTAGACACTCGCAGGCGTCAAGAGCCATGTCACACCGACATTATTTCATTACCATTCCTTAGAGACAGAGCCATCAGTGAAGGTCTGAAAACAGGACTCAGGGCCAGCAGCCTGGGCCTCATCCACCTAGGAGCAGCCCTCTAGGGCTGTGGGCAAGTCATTTAACTCCTTTTAAAACTCCCAGCTGGTTGCAGCTCGGGCTTCTAGCCAGCTCCGCCTTCCTTATTCTAGTTCCCCTGGGCCCGCTCCTCCTGAGCCTCAGTTTCCCCATCTCTACATGGGGAAATACAAGCACCCCTCTCACTCTGGGAGGGTTGAGTAGATAATTTACAGGCCGCCCCCAGAACAGGCCACACACCATAGCATACGGTAAGTGCTCAATAAGGAGTAACCACTGTTATGAACCATAATGGTAATAGGATACTCACATTATAGAATCTTGGACTCACAGGCTTAGATGTTCCTGAGAGCAGAGAGAGGCGGGGTGTCCCTGGGCCCAGGGCCCATCCTGGAGCAGCCGGAGGCCATCGGGCCACCCCGCACAGGGCGTCGGGGGACTGCAGGGGGCAAGCTGTTCCCGAGTGCGCCAGACTCCCTGGAGCGTCTTCCAGCACAGGTGGCCTCTGTCCACGTAGGACGCTGAAGGGCTTTGCAGACCCGCAGTGGGCTTTTGTTAATCTCACCCATGACTGCATCTAAAACTGTGTTCAAAGCCGCGGCACCCACCCGGCACCTGGCTAGACAAGCGTGGGTCAGCTCCGTTCATTCCTCCCTGCCTTCGTTCATTCACTCAGTAGATGCTATGGGCCAGCCTTGAGCCAGGCCTCGGTGACAGTGGGGCAGGTGAATGAGTGAGAGCCCTGGCCCCTGGGACCAGCGTCTCTCTGGGGAGTTAAGCCCATGACCATGACTGTGGTCTTTGGAACGAGTGCTAGGGTGGGGTGAAGGGGAGGTGCCCAGCCCGCCTGGTGGAGGCCAGAGGTGGCTCCCAGGGAAGAGGGCGTGTGCCGAGCCCTGCAGATGAAGGGGCGCAGCCAGCAGAGGGGGACACGGGAGGACAGCATGTGCAAGGCCGGAGCCCAGGGACACGTGGCTGCGGTGGCATCCCGCCCGGCCCCCGTGCCTCTGGGTAACGTGTGCGGAGCTCCTTGGAAAAGGTGTCTCCTGCCCACACCACCCTCCCAGCGTCCTGCGCTCAGCCTCACTCTCCCTCAAAACTAAAGAACTGAGTCCCACCCTAGCTGTTTCTCACTTCCCCAGTGAGGCCACAAAGCAAAGCAGACCCCCAAGCCTGGGAACAGGTCTGCAGTGGGCGGGGGGCGGTACTGCAGCCCCCACCGCAGAGCCTCCTTCCCCACTGCCCTGCCCCCTCCCTTCGGCCTCCAGGGAAGCAAAGCACTTTAGAATCATTTTTCCTGCCAGTCTCCAGAGGCTCCTCCCTTCCTCTGGTCCTTTGCAGCCCCAGCGTGGAGCCCCCCACTCCTTCTCCTTCTATTACACGCCTGAAGGGGGCTTCAAAAGCCCTCCAGCACTCCACGATACACCAGGTCTCCCCCAGACCAGGGGCGATGGCCTGGGACCCCTGGAGGTGGGAATCTGAACACGGGGTTCCTTCGAGCTCGGTGCCCTTTGCTGGGGGGTGTGGGGGGCAGGCATTCTTTCTCCCACTGCGCTCTCCCAGAGTCTATTCCATTCCAGGTACCTGGAGATGCTGGGTGAGTCCTACAGAGGGGAGGGGCGGAGGAAGGTAAAACTGTCCCTGGCAATGTGACACACCCTGGCCTCGTCCAGCACTTCTACTATATACACTAAACATAAAATCCTTGGCCCCCCACCTACTGAACGGACCTCCTGGTAACCAAGGGGACCCCAGAAACCCCTGAAAACTGAGTTCTCGGCCGTGATGGGATGGGTGGCCAGCCTCGCCTCATTCTACTCCCCTCCCTTCTGCGGTGTAGACACAACTGCCCAGCATTAATGTTAAAATAGAGGCCATGAGACCAGCAGAACAGACTCTTGGTGGCAATAAGATGCCAAATTATAAACAGGACCTGAGGCCCTGCGGGGCACGGGTTAAGCCATACACGCTTGCACTTAAAGAATAAAAATGCTCTGGCCACAAGGGTTTTCTTTTTCTCCAGCCGCTAAGCAAGCCCTGGCCTGGAGATAAGAAACGTAAAAACAATCACAGCTCATCCAGCTCCAGACACCAGCTAGCTGACCCCCTTCTCCAGCAGCCTAACACCAGCTTTCACTGAGCGAGAGACCATTTCAGGAACTTTCTCCTGATGAGAGACCAGCAACCACGGGCTGCCTCTGGCCGGTTTCCAGAGACTGTGCACTTGCGCCTGAAAAGACCTTTCGATGTATAGGGCCTGACTGTAATACACTTATTTATTTCACTTTTTTATAAAATCAGCTCCTGCAGGAGTTGTAATACATTTAAATGTTAGATCTCCACCTCAATGTGAACACGGGTCATACGTTACGTGCATGTTTCTTCAACATGCATGCAATAGGACCACGTTTGGCAATATCCATACCTCCTCCTATAACCTGTTCCATGTTATAACCTGTGTAGCCAGCCTGGTCAGCAGAAAGCTCCTGCTCCCGCCCCTCCTCCCTCGAAGCACCTGTTTCTCATGCTTCCTGGATGGCCACCTCTCAGGCTGTGACTCGTCAGAAGAAAGTCTCCCTCTCCTTTCCAAATTCATAGATATCATAGGTCTCTTTTTTTTTTTTTTTTTTTTGAGACAAGGTCTCTGTTGCCCAGGCTGGAGTGCAGTGGCACCATCTCAGCTCACTACAATCTCTGCCTCCAGGTTCAACCGATTCTCCTTTCTCAGCCTCCCGAGTAGCTGGGATTACAGGCATGTGCCACCATGCCCAGCTAATTTTTGTATTTTTAGTAGAGAAGAGTTTCACCATGTTGGCCAAGCTGGTCTTGAACTCCTGACCTCAAGTGATCTGCCTGCCTCGGCCTCCCAAAGCGTTGGGATTACAGGCGTGAGCTACCGCACCCGCCGGTTTTTTTTTTTTTTTTTCAGTTAACAAGTAGATCATCTCATTTTGTCAAGATCCCCGGGAGTGGCACGTGCTATGGCTCTGTGGGCCCCTCTCCTCCCTGCCAGCTCTGTGCCCGAAGCCCACCTGCACAGCACCAACAGGCCTTCCCTGAGGCCAGGGGAGTGGAGGGGCCTGCTTGACTCAGGTCCTCCCAAAAGCTCCGACAGCTGTGATGGGGGGCTGCAATCACGTCCTTACCGTGTGCCGGCCAAGGTGGAGGCTGGTGCATTTGGTGCAAGGGCCATGAGGATGAGTGGTAGGAGAGGCAGCCATGGCAGCCAGGGCACCTACGCATGGCCGTTCCTCTCCCGTGTCTCAGTTCTCTGAGGTTCCCTTTGTCCTACACACGTGTCAGATGAGGAACGGAAGCTCAGGGGCCGACGGCTCACTCGGATGTTCCTCGGGCCAAGTACGTGGGGAGGACAGCAGGGGAGGGGGATTTGCTGCCAGGGATGCTCCTGGGGAGCAGGGAAGGGGCCCGTCCTGAGGCTCTGCCAGGCTCTGGGTGGGCAGCTGCCATCATCACCCATGCACAGACCCTGCGCCTCCAGGTGGGGGTCCGGCTAGCTTTGTGCAGGACGCCTGGTCTCCCCAGACCTGCTCCCTCTTCAAATTACTAATCTTAGGAAATGACGATTCTAGTTCTAGAAATTCTCGCCTTTTTTGGTACTAAAATCTGGTTTCCTGGAATGCAGTGCTCTGCTGGTTTTCTCTAATGCCATGCATCATGCTGGGGCTGCCAGCCTTTGGGCACTGACTGTGCCAGGGGCTGCTGCAGGCTACACCCATCCCATGTGGGCTTTGCAATGACCCAGTGCAGATGAGGAAACCGAGGCTCTGAGAGGTTGTGGGGGATGCGAGGCCTGGATCAGGGCAGGTGTGGAGACAAGGGGCTGGGGGCTGGAGGAAGACAGGGCCAGGGGAGGTGACTTACATATAGGCACCAGGGGATGAGAGTGGTGCTCGTTCGTTCATCTTGCATTCACTCATGCAACAAACACTCACTAAGGACCTCCTGAGTACCGAGTGCTCACTGGGTGCCCCCTGAGTACTGAGCGCTCACCGGGTACCCCCTGAGTACTGAGCGATCACCGGGTACCCCCTGAGTACTGAGCACTCACCAGGTACCTTCTGAGTACCGAGCGCTCTCTGGGTACCCCCTGAGTACTGAGCGCTCACCGGGTACCCCCTGAGTACTGAGTGCTCACCGGGTACCCCCTGAGTACTGAACAATCACCAGGTACCCCCTGAATACTGAGCAATCACTGGGTATGCCCTGAGTACTGAGCACCCACTGGGTATCCCCTGAGTACTGAGCATCCCCTGAGTACTGAGCACTCACCGGGTACCCCCTGAGTACTGAGCGATCACTGGTTACCCCCTGAGTACTGAGCGATCACTGGGTACCCCCTGAGTACTGAGTGATCACTGGGTACCCCCTGAGTACTGAGCACTCACCGGGTACCCCCTGAGCACTGAGCGATCACTGGTTACCCACTGAGTACTGGGTGATCACTGGGTACCCCCTGAGTACTGAGTGATCACTGGGTACCCCCTGGAAACTGAACACTCACCAGGTACCCCCTGAGTACTGAGCGATCACCAGGTACCCCCTGAGTACTGAGCACTCACTGGGTATCCCCTGAGTACTGAGCATTCACCAGGCACCTGCTGTGCGCTGAGAACCAGCCCCCACAATGCAGAGGATGTGGCCCTGTCCTCAGGGCACTCAGCCTCCGTGGGTGGCATCTGACTGAACAAATCTGGCCGTGCCGTCTGGCTGTTCCAAGCATGGAGCTTCAGGAAGGTGGAGTGAGTCACTCTGCCTGGAGAGTGAGATCAGGGAGGATTCCCAGGACAGGGGCAAGTCCATTTTCAGAGGGGTCTGAGAACACGTATGGCCTCAAAGGAGGCCAGAGCAGGAGGTGGGAGCTGAGCATGCACAGCAGCAGAGGAGGGACTGGCGGCTGGAAAAATGGCAGCTCATCCAGAATCTTCCACTGATGCCCCTGCTGCCAGTCCCAGGTCCTACCAGAGACCCTCCCTGGGCCCAAGCTGACCACTGACCATCTCCCTGTGTCCTGAGGGCCAAGGAGGCAGCCCGACCTCCATCGTCATGTCCACAGCCCACAGCCCCAACACCTGGTGGGGACTCGGGGACACACTTAGGCCTGGCAGCCCCCATGAAGGCCCCCATCAAGGCCCCCTTGAGGACGTGGAAATCCTTGCACAGTCACCATCAAGCCCCTCCCCAGCTCCAGCACTGGTGGAGATCACACGAGTCCTTTGTCAGTGTGATTGGAAAGTGAATGGGTCAGGTTGCCCCAGCCTCATTTCAGAGGACTCTGGTGAAACAAGAACCCCCCAGCAGCTGTGATGGGGGCTGCAATTGCATCCCTATTGTGTGCCAGCAAAGGAGGGGGCTGGTGCAGTTGGTATGAGGGTCCTGAGGCTGAGCGGCGGGAAGTGCAGTACCAGCTACGCCACTGCATCCCACCCATTGGAACACACTGCACAGAGCAGGCCTTTCATAATTTTTTTTAAAAAGTTTGCCTTTTCTAGATGTGATGACGGAATGGTTAGATGAGGTACCTGAGCTCACAGAATGCCCACGGCCTCACCAGCAGGCACTCAGCTGCCGGCTCAGCCACAGCTCAGCCCTGACCGCCTGCTGCTAACCACCCTGCTCTTCAGCACAGACTGGAGCAGCTGCCATCACAGCTTTGCCCGGATGCGGATGTGAGCCACCTTGAATTAACATCGGGTTGGTCTGTGCCCTGAACCAGCTGTCAGTTGTCCTGGGCTCTGCTGATGCCTCTCTGACCAGGGGCCACAGGGACAAGAGAGGATGGGGCAGGGGCGAGAGGCAGGCCGGGTGGGCAGAAACCGGTCTGTACCCTCAGTGGGAGCCACAGCTCAGAACCTTCACTCCTCTGATTCTCATCTGAAAAATGGGGCGCATCCTGTCTGCTCCCCGAATCGTGTGAGGGGCAGGATGTCATCAGTTTTGGGGGTAGAGCTGGGACTGCCCGGCTGTGAGCTTCTAGGACTGTCAGCTCAGAGACCAGCAGGGCGGGAGGAATCCCTCGATGACATCAGCAAGCGCAGTGAGGAGCAGACTGGAAGGGAGGGTTTGGCCCAAAAGAACCCTGTGTCCCACTGTGCATCTCTAGCCCCTCCCTTGCATTGTACAGTGAGCACCTGTACACGCACTGCCCAGGTGAAGAATGAGGCACTCACCCAACCCAGGAGTACCCCTCCCCGTGCCCTCCCTGACCTCTGACCCTGCCCCCTGCCCCCTGTGTTCAGCCCTGGCCTCTGAGCGATGAGGAGGCAGGCTCCCATCCAGCTACTGAACCTCACTCTTGGGACCTTCCTCGCTGGGCGGAGTGGAGGAGGTGGGGCCAGGATCCACCCCCAGTGCCTTGACCACCTGCACGCTGCCTAGGCAGGTCTCCTGTCTCTGCTGACTTTTCTCAGTGCTGTTCATTCGTTATGTTCCGTAAACATTTATAGGACAACAACCCCGGTCCATGTCCCAGGCCCTCAAGGATGGGAGAGTCACCCTCCACCCATGCTGGGTTTGAGGGAAGGAGCCCACCACCAAGTTCCCGGGGCAGAATGGACAGGGCACCCTGAGCAGGTGCTGCAGAGGCGAGGGCCACAGCCGGCTTCTCCTGCACCTCGGGCCAGGAGCCAGGGTGGACTCTGGAGCTAGGCTGACCCCAGCTGACGTCCAGCCCCACCTCTGCAGGCGCAGCCCTGGGAGTCAGCCCCAGCCCTGCCTTCCTTGTCCACCCTACAGTGACCACAGCTGCTGAAATCTCACTGTGTGGCCACTGCCCTCGCTGGTCTGCTTCCCACCCAGGCCTTTGGGGATGCTGGCCACGTGTGTGGCATGGGTCGTGGCCAGCACAGTCCCACGTGGAGTGCAGAGCCAGTGGCAGGGGCAGCATCTGGTGCCGAGGTTCAGAGAAGCCTGGGAGCATTTGGGGCCGCTCCTCTGGCAGCTGGACACGCCTCCTGGCCGGCCCGGGGACAATAATTAAGAATCAGGTTTCCCTCAAAAGGCTGTATTGCTGGGAGGGGTTATAAATCAAGATGACATTTTTATCACAGAGCAAAAATTAATTATTTAACATGGGACATGTTTGTGCTCTCTTAACTGCCAGCAGGGTGGCTTGACTCGGGGTGGCCAGACGGTTCCAGCGCTGCAGGAATGGCTGCAGGAACGGCCCTCTCAGGGCTCTTGATGCAAGGGGGAAACTGAGGCCCAGAGAGGGGAAGGGGCCTGTCTAGGGTCTCACTGCCATTCATAGCAACTCTTCTGGCCCTGGAGCTCTCTGCCGACTATGCTGGAAGCCAGGTCCACCCAACCCCATCCATGAAGGGCGCCCGCATTGTGCAGGCAGCAAAGCCAGTGGGTGGATGGTGGTGGGGTCGAGGCTTGGTTCGGGGGAGGCCCCAGCCCTGTGCTCCACACCTGCGCCTGTGCCAGCCACAATGTGCCCATCCCTTTCTCTCCTTCGTCCCCATGGCCCTTCAGAAAGCCCAGCCAGCTGGGTCCTGCTGCGGGGCCCATCAGGAAGGGGCGGCCACGGCTCCCTCCGGCTAGCTCAGGTCTGGCATTTCCCAGGAATGGGAGGTGGCCCTTGGGGGTGTGGGCCTGGGGGCGTGGGGTAGTCAGCATCTCCTGGAGGAACGTGGGTCCCCATCCCACGAGCTTCCAGCCCTCCTTCCTCCAGGAACTGTGGCCTCCTTCTCCCAGCCACCCCTGCCCTGGGTGCAGAAACACTTGGAGCGTGGAGATGAATTCCTGCAGGCCCCTGGTGGCTGACTGCAGAGGGAGCCCACCCGATCATCATCCTGTGGCCGGAGGGACCCCAGGACCCTCTGAAACGGGGTTGTCCCAGCAAGATGGGAGGGGTCCCAGCACCTGCTGCTCGCTGAGTCATTCACTGATATGTGCCGTCAGAGTTCTCAGAGCCACCGGGCAACAGAGCAGACGAGGGTCTCACTGCCAGCGGAGCGGGCGCCTGAGCAGACGCTCTAGATGGGGACACTGTTGCCCCCTGAATGGCTCCTCTGTCTCCCCAGTGGTCCATCTCTTTCTCTCTTGCCCTTTCCTCTCCCTGTGCCCATCCATTACCAGCCTGACCCTGGGCTCTGAGCCTGTGTGTGGCCAGCCATGGGGCCACAGAGTACAGTGGGAACCAGGCGGAAGTTCCCCCTGAGGGGCTGCTGGGCTGGGTTTGGGGCCAGCAAAGGTGTGGCAGGGTGACCAGGCTAGGGCCACCAAGCGGGGAGATGGTGGGGAGGGCTGGTCTTTGGGCAGAAAGAGTGACAGGCACTCACTTGCCACTGGGCCTGAGCTGCGGGACCCCCGGTCTGGGTGAAGGTGGGGAGACCAGCATCCTGAGCTGGGCCCCAGCCCATCTTCCTCCTGGGACCTTGTGTCCTCATCTGTTAAATGGGGTCACCCCTCTATCATGGACACATTGTGGGTGTGGCCCATACGATGGCCACTGGACAGCTCCCGTGGGTGGGAGCCCTGAACCAGGCCTTGGGAGACGCTGGCTGACTAGCTTCCCATTCCCGGCATGCCAGGAGGAGGGAGCAGAGCTTTCGGAGGCCTCTTCGTCCGCACTGAGCTCCAGGTTGGCCCAGGGCTCCGGGAGGCAGCTGGCCTAGGGGTTCGTAGAGGATGGCATCCTCCCCACAGCTGCTCTTGCCTGTAAGTGGGCCCTGTGGGCAGCCTCTTAGGCCTGATCGTGAGCTCTGCCCCCTTCCGCCAGCCCCATCCACAACCCCCAGACTCTCTACCCTTCACCCCACACTCAGGCCTCGCTCGGGACAAGGAAGCTGGGGCTACCCCTCAGCACCCTCCCCCCCAACTGAACCCCAGGAGAGGGGCTGTCAGGGCCCCTCAGGGAGCCTCTCCACCTCCAGGAACCAGAAATGAAGCCCCATGGGCAGCTCCACGAAAGGACAGCTGCAGGCTCCCGTGAGCCCGGCACTCACACAGAGCACACAGGAGGGAAGGCCCAGGGCTCCATGCATGCAGGAAGGGCAGCACCCTGCAGCGGGACAGCCAGGTGCGAGGGCACAATCCTGCTCCTCGGGCTTGCTGGGCGCTGCGGGGCAGAGGTGGGAGCTCAGGCTTCACAGAGAGGTGGGAAGGTTCAGATGCCAGTGCCTCCACTGCTGTGAAGGGATCCAAGGAGGTCACTGTGCTGGGTGGGCCCAGGCAGGTCACTGACCTCTCTGGGACTGGGTTGCTTCCTCCATAAATGCAGGTTATCACAGTGCTCTGCAACCTGAGAGTCAGAAGAGGACAGGGACAACCCAGCACAGCACCCGGTACAGAAGAGGATGGGGACAACCTAGCGCAGCACCCAGTACAGAAGAAGATGGGGACAACCTAGCACAGCACCCGGTACAGGGTGAGGTCCACAGATGCTGATTGAGGCCAGCAACCGTGCCCCTGGCACCCCCAGCCCCGGGACAGAGCAGCAAGGAAACAGGGCCACAGGCAGGGCTCTTGATCCTCGTGGGCGGCATCCTCGCCTCCCGTGGTGAGGGTAGGGGGGGCGTGCGGCAGCAGGAGCACAGGCCTGGGGTCATGGTGCTGCAGCATGGCCGCAGCTGACAGACGGGCAGGCACCAGAGGGTGGTAAGGTAGAGTGACTGGGTCAGCAGGGCCTGAGTGCCCAGCAGAGTGGACTTTATCTGGAAGTCAGGGGTGGGATGCAATCAGGTCTGATCTTCAGAAAGGCCACTTGGCCAAGGGCGGGGACAGATCAGAGAGGGGGAACTGGAGTAGGGAGGAGGGAGTGGAAGGGAGGACTGGGGTGGGCAGAGGCCAGTGGTCAGGAGGGGAGAGCCAAAGCAGCTATAAGGGTGCAACCTGGAGGGCTGCATGGAAGAAGTGCCATTTCCACCCTCAACTTGTGGGAGTCCTTGCCTTGTTCATTGCTGTGCCAAGGGTGGGGGCCATGTTGGGCATGGAGGTGGGCAGAAGAGATGGGGCCTGCCACCCACCAGGGCACTACAGAGCAGAGCACAGCCCCGGAACTGCACAGCTTTGAAGCTCCCAGCCCCTGGTGAGAGGGGCAAGCGGGGCCCCTGTCCAGAGATGAGAAAACTGAGGCTCAGCCCATCTCTGCCTCCCCAAAGTGGGGCTTCTGGAAGCCAGCATGGGAGCATCCGGGCAGAATCTGCACACGGCATGGCCTTGCCCTGTGGCTGGAAGCCCCCGAGTCGGTTTCTTCATCTTTAAAATGAGGTCACATCCTCACCTCCCTCCCTCCCTCCCGGGGATGGGAGGTGCGATTGGAGGGTACAAACTGTAGAGTGTCCTGCACCCAGGCAGTCGATGCCACCCACCTGGTGTCCATGGTGATGGATGCCAGCTGGCCTTTTCGAGTGACTTCAAGCTTCCTTGAAGGGAGGAGAAAACACCTGCGTTTGCCTGGCGCTCTGATGTCTGGAGGCCCAGGCAGGGCCCAGGGCTCCCTGCCGCACGGACAGTCACGGGGGTGCTGAGACGGGCCCCTCACCGTGTCGCAGAGGCCCTAGTTGCAATCAGGTATTAATATTTCCAACACAGATATTTACAAACCTCTCCAGAGACTGCACTGATGGACTATTGGCGATCATGCTCGGCTAAAAAGAGTATATTGATCCGGGGAAAAAAGAGGTCACTTCTTTTTAAACCCAAACCTATAAAACACTGAAATCCATCAACCCCCAGTTCCCGGGCTGCAGAGTGACATCCAACCCCGGCTGCGGTCTCCCTGGCCTGGTCAATACAGCTCCATTAGGGGCCGCTCGCCTCGTCCCCACCCAGGCCCTGTCCAACCCTGTGGCTGTCCAGATTAATATGCACCCCAGCTCTTTAATTCTCTGTCCATTAGTGTCACATTGCCAGCTGACCGGCTTGGCTATTGATCTTGAGGAAAGCCCGCTCAGAGGGTCCGGGCCCTGCGAGGTCAGTGGGGGACACCGTGACAACTTTTGCCGGCCCGAGGGCAGAAGCTACCAAGTTTCCTGGAGTCCGTCCTTCTGTGCACAGAATCTGGTGCCTCCAGAGCTGGCCGCAGGAAGGCCAAGGGGCCTCGCACGTGAGCCAGACCGAGGTCCTCCAGGCCCCTGTTACTCACCATAGCTCAGAGACACCCGCGGACCCTGGGCTGCACCATCCAGGGCCTGGGTCCCACCTCAGGACATGGGGGCCCAGGAGGGGCCGGGGGCTCAACATGTTGAGCATCTTCTCATGCCAGGCACCAGAGAGGCCCCTGATCCCTGCCCCCTTTTCCAGTTGAGAGGCTGAAGTTTCCGAGCATTTGAGTCCCCATGAAGGTCACCCAGCAGGTGAGTGAGTGAGGTGGATTTCACTGCCCCCGCCAGCCCATACGCTTTCCACCTCATGATGAACAAAACAAGGGAGGTGCAAAAGACAGAGCGAGGCCACCAGAGACAGGCGGGCACCAGGGGCGAGGCCACCAGAGATGGGCACCCACACTGCCCCTGGATGAAGGAAGCACCAGGTGCCGCCCAGCAGGGCTCGGTGGAGAGGTGGGGCCAAGGGAGCCACGCGGCTGCTGCGTGGGGAGGGTGACGAGGCTGCACACAGAGGAGCCCGGGCCCCCTCTTGGAGGGAGTAGGGGCATGATGGTGCCTCCCAGGGGCTTCTAGTCTGCGTGTGAGGCAGAGGACAGCCTGGATGGGAGGAAGGAGTCCTCAGGACCAGCCAGGGCCATCCAGGGGAGATATGGCAGAGCCCAGACCAGGGCTATCCAGGGGGGACATGGCAGAGCCCAGACCAGAGCCTGGGGCCGGTGAGGATGGAGCAAAATGGTCCTCAACAACCACAGAGCAGCAGACCTGCCGGTGACCCACAAGGGTGGCAGGCGCCATCCCCACGCCCACCCCCTCCCTGTTCTGCACTTTGTCCCTGATGTTACAAACCCCCAGCCAGCAGGGCAATGTCAGAGGTCATGAGAACTCCTCAGGTGCACGCGTGGGGGTTCCTCTGGGGGCAGCAAGGGAGTTGGGAGGAGGCAGTGTGGGAGCCCACGGCCCAGGTGGGACCCAGGCTCTGCCTCCTGTCACTGTGGGAGAAGCCTTGGGCACATGCACAGAGCTCTCTGAGCCTCAATTTCCTCATCTGTAAAATGGGGATAAACACGCTGACCCCTCCCAGGCAGGGAGGGCTACAAAGAGGCAGACAGACAGCAGGGACCCCACCAGAGCTGCTCCCCCAGACCCTCCACCCACCCTTCCCACAAATGCTGTGGTGGAAATTCCTTGACGGCACGGACACTTTGCATTTTTCTCCCGCATTGAAGTGAGTTCTAATCCCTGTGTCACTGTGCAATCGTCTCGAATTTTATCACATTTTCTCATCTGAAAATGATCTCAGCGCTGTGGTGTAGGTTGGAGGAAGCAATTGGGTTGACTGTGAGCGAAGGGGGCCGGCATCTCCAGCTGAAACCACTCCCTGTCCAGCACCCTGCCAGGGCCCAGCCCCTGGCCCCCACCGGGTAAAGGCTTATTGAGAAGTGAACTGAACCCTGAAAAGGAGCGGCAGGAGCTGGGGAGGAGAGCTGGGTAGGGGGCGTCCACCTGGAGGGTGGACGCTGCCCGCCGGCTCTGCCTTGGGGAAGAGGAAGCCACCATGAGCCAGCACGTAGACAGCTTGGCTTCCAAGAACACTGCTGTCACCTGTGGGGAGGACGTCCCTGTGGGTGTATAGTGTCCCCCAAACCCATGTCCACCCACAGCCTCAGAGTGTGCCCTCATTTGAGCACAAGGTCTTTGCCAATGTAGTTAGTTAGGTTGAGATTAGTTCACTCTGGATCAGGGTGGGCCTAAATCCGATGCCTGGTGTCTTCATGAGAAGAGGACGGGACACAAGCACACGGGGACACAGAGGGCTGAAGGAGCTGCAAGCATGGAGGCAGAGACCACAGGGACACAGCCACAAGCCAAGGATGACGGAGGACCGCCGAAGCCAGCAGGAGCCGGAGAGAGGCCGGAACGATGCTCCCTCCCAGCCACGGGAGGAGCCTGCCCTGCCCACACCTGGATCTCAGGCTTCTGGCCTCCGGGGCTGTGAAGCAGTAATGTGCTGCGGTTTGAAGGCCCCAGTTGGTGGTCCTTTGCTTTGGCAGCCCCAGGACACTGGTCCTAACCCCAGAGCTTGGGGCCTGCCCTCCCGGCCAGCCGTCTTGAGTGATCCACTCCAAGAAGCCTAGGAGGGGCTAACCCTACTGCTTATGCTTGGAGCTGTGCCAAGTTCCAGGAGAAAACCACGTGCAGTGGAGAGGGGACACATCCAGGGCCCCGAGGTGAAGAATCTGTGTTTAGCTGTTCCTGAAACCAGCAGAGCCCTGGGAGCCCAGGCATCCCCTATGAATCCCGCACGGGAGGCCCAGCAGACGCCACTGCCGGTCGCCTTGGGGTGTGGGTTGGCCATGTCCTCCCTCACATCCCTGGGGCTGATGGAACACAGGCAGCTTGGAGGGCCGTGCCCCTGCTCTGATCAGCCCAGGAAGACAGCAGCCAGGTCCCCACCACACAAGGCCACCTGGGCCTCGAAAGTGAATCCCAGCAACACCAGCCCCAGCCCACCCTGAGGCCAAGGCAGACAAACACTCGAGAGATGGGTGCCAGCCACAGCATGCCCACTGCCGCAGCGCCCACTGTCTGCAGCCCCTCAGGCGGGACCGGGCCAAGGCTGATGCAGCCAAGGCGGGGAAACCCGACCATGCAGAACTCGGCTCTTCAGCAGTCTCGCTTATCCAGGGCTCTATTTTAAACTCAGAAGGGGTCAGAAAGGTTTTCTGGGTTGCCAGCCTACACGTCCGAAGCTCCTGTACTAACAGCTACTCAAAGTGCTCATGCAGATCCTGCCACTTGTTACCCCAGGATATAGTGACCTGTTTCAGAGCACAGAGCAGGTGAAACCGCTAAATGTGAAAAGGAAGAGGATCTTGCTCAAGATACAGGTGAAAGAGTAGCCACCGCCTGCCAGCAAAGAAAATGCAGACGGAGGTGCAGGAACCCTGGCGTCCGCCTGGCCCTCTGGTGCAGGAACCAGCCTTCCACATACATCAGCAGCCCGGGCGCCATCCTCCAGGGCCTTTGTCACCTGGGAAGGATTTATCTACAGTCCTAGGCTGGAGGCTGCAGAAATGGAGATGATTCTGGAAACTCTCCTGCCCTCAAGGGGTTCTCTGCTTATGTAATAAAACATTTGATGATGGTGTAATGACTGAGGTACAAATTGGCTGCTGTTTCAGAGGCTTAAACACCGTAGGGCCAGGAGATCAGAGCTCGACAGGCAGCCCCTCCCCGACGTGGTCAAATGCATTGCCACTCTGCGAGGTTTCTGGGGACAGCCCTCATCCACTCTGCACTCGAGGGAGTTAAGGGAAGGAGAGAGGCTGACCTTCCCCCTGCAGGCCCAGCCCCAAAGTGCTGCCCCCAGCACTCGCATCCCACACCCTGGCACGTGGTATCCTGGCCACACTTGGCTGTAACGGAGGCTGGGAAATGCAAGCTTTTTTCGGGTGCCTGAGAGATACAAATCAGAAGTTCTATCGCTGTTAAAGAACAAGAGAACAAATACCGGGGTTGGATCGGAGTCGCTGCCACTGCAGGCCTACACGATGCCAACAAGGGACAGATCTCTCTAGAGGGACAGACTGGCCTGAATGCATGCCTCTCCTCCAGGTTCCTGCCCCCAAGAGCTGCCCCACTGCCCGGTGCTCAGGGAACTGCGGGCTCGAGGCGTGTAGTTGGTGGCATCAAGATCTGTGCACACCTGCTCTACCTGCCCCAGCCCAGGGACCAGCAGTAAAGAGGCTGGCTTGGATGAGGTGGTGTGGGTACAGCTGGGGCCCAGAGACTGCAATGGGACGGCGATTGACCAACTCCATCATGAAAGGGTTTGGGCCATGATGGCTGCACAACACGGGGATGTAATCAATGCCACTGAAACATACACTTAAAAACGGTCGCCAGGCGAGGTGGCTCACACCTGTAACCCCAGCATTTTGGGAGGCTGAGGTGGGTGGATCACCTGAGGTCAGGAGTTTGAGACCAGCTTGGTCATCATGGCAAAACCCCATCTCTACTAAAAACACAAAACTTAGCTAGATATGGTGGTGGGTGCCTGTAATCCCAGCCACTTGGGAGGCTGAGGCAGGAGAATTGCTTGAACCCAGGAGGTGGAAGCTGCAGTGAGCTGAGATCACACCACTGAACTCCAGCCTGGGTGACAGAGTGAGACCCCGTCTCAAAAAAAAAAAAAACAAAAAAGGTTAAAACTGCAAACTATATAGATGTAATCACACACACACAAGTGGAAAACACCAGTATGGTTGTCTGGTGGAGGGCACCCACCTCCCCAGGAGAGGGCTGCTGGGAAATGGTGTGGTGGGCATTTGTGGGTGGGGGTCTCTGTCCCTAGGGCAGAGCTGGAGTCATCAGGAGACCGGCAGCAGTTAGTGGAAGGAGGCCTGGGGAAGTGGCTCCAGCACCGGGCAGGAGGCAGGAGATGAGAGCAGGGAGGGGCCAGGGCTCCGAGTGCAACCGTGCCAGCGCCAGGCCCGTGGGGATATCTCCAGGCCTTGCCTCATGCCTCCCTCTGGAGCTGGCACTGGCACTCCCATCCCACAGATGAGGAAACTGAGGCTCAGAGAGGCAGAGTGACTTCGGCAAAGCCATGCCGGCAGCAGGACTCATTTATTTCCTGGCCCCTCGTGGGGCTCTTCCTTCTCCTTCTCACAGAGTATCTGGGTCCTCAGCCCAGGAATCCCATGAGGCCGGACAGCATCCTCCCAAAACGGAACTCAGTCCCCTGTCTCCTGTAACCAAAGGAAGCCACGGGGCCAGAGGAGTCCGGCCTTTCCAGATCTCGCCTGCCGTGGTCCTGTCACAAGGAGGATGCTTGCTGGCCAAGCAGGCAGAGGTAGAGACAGAGGCCCGCAGGCCGGGAGGAGGGAGAGGTAGAGGCCCACAGACCAGGAGGAGGGAGAGATGGAGGCCCACAGGCCAGGAGGAGGGAGAGACAGAGGACCACAGGCTGGGAGGAGGGAGAGGCGGAGCCCACAGAGCGGGGGAGGGAGAGGCGGAGGCCCACAGGCCGGGAGGAGGGAGAGATGGAGGCCCACATGCCAGAAGGAGGGAGAGACAGAGGACCATAGGCCAGGAGGAGGGACAGGTGGAAGCCCACAGACCGGGAGGAGGGAGAGATGGAGGCCCATAAACTGGGAGGAGGGAGAAACAGAGGCCCACAGACCGGGAGGAGGGAGACATGGAGGCCCACAAACGGGGAGAAGGGAGAGGCGGAGGTCCACATGCCGGGAGGAGGGAGAGGCAGAGACCCGCAGGCTGGGGGGAGGGAGAGGTGGAGGCCCACAGGCCAGGAGGAGGGAGAGCCGGAAGCCCACAGGCCGGGAGGAGGGAGAGACAGAGGCCCACAGGCCAGGAGGAGGGAGAGGAGGAAGCCCACAAACCAGGAGGAGGGAGAGATGGAGGCCCACAGACCAGGAGAAGGGAGAGGCAGAGGCCTGCAGGCTGGGAGGAGGGAGAGATGGAGGCCTGCAGGCTGGGAGGAGGGAGAGATGGAGGCCTGAAGGCTGGGAGGAGGGAGAGGCAGAGGCCCGCAGGCTGGGAGGAGGGAGAGATGGAGGCCTACAGGCCGGGAGGAGGGAGAGGCGGAGGCCTGCAGGCGGGGAGGCTTTTCTCCCCACCTCGGCATCTCCAGATAATGGTGATGATCGTGGCTGTTTGCTGCAGAATTCCCATGTTCCCATCTGGCCTTCCTAAGGACCGAGAATGGGATCGTGAGGAAGGAAGGGAGACTGGGCAGCATGGAGGGGCTGCCAGGCCAGGTGCAGATTGCAGCATCCACGGTGCTCACCTAGGGCTACAGTGGCGGCTGCCTGCGTGCTTCACCTGGGTCCTCAGCCCAGTAATCCCATGAGGCTGGACAGCATCCTCCCAAAACGGAACTCAGTCCCCTGTCTCCTGTCTCCAAAGGAAGGCACGGGGCCAGAGGAGCCCGGCCTCTCCAGATCTCACCTGCCCTGGTCCTGTCACAAGGAGGACGCTTGCTGGCCAAGCAGGCAGAGGTAGAGACAGAGGCCCACAGGCCGGGAGGAGAGAGAGGCGGAGGCCACTCCAGCTGGAGCCCATGTCTTCCTTACTTCAGAGCACAAATTATCTAATAACCCTCCTAGAGCCACAGAGCATGGACCTCTGGGCTTGGCAGTCACTGTTGTGTGCACCTAAATGGCTCCATGTCAAACTTATTTGGCAAATACAGAACAGATTGTCAGTCAACACCCCCTTTCTCTAACGAGAATGTAAAGACACCCCCCACTTCTCGCTTCTGAACACCAGCATGCCATTGCCCCTCCTTGCTTTGTGGCACAGCCTCAGGGTCTTCCTCTGACAGACTGCCTGGCAGCTGAAGCCCCCTCACCCGGGATCGCCGACGCTTGTAACCGATGGATCAATAAGTCTCCCGAGGCCCCCGGGGAGGCCCCCACATCCCTGCTGCCCCTCTCCAGTTGCAGAATTAAAAGGCAAGCTTGTTGTTGGCGTTGTAATGAGCTATGTGCCCGGGGCTCCTGTTACAAGGAGCTGAGAGCCCGTTCCTCCTTAGGCTGGGGTCAGAGGCCTCTTGCTCCTTCCTGAGATGGGTGGGTCTCAGGATGTGGTAGCAGCTGCCACGGGTCCCCTTCCTTCTGCTGGGGACCAGGGTCTAGACACCCAGAGCATCTGAGCTACAAGAGCTCCCTCACCCCTGGGCTCCACGTACAGATGGGAAACCAAGGCCCAGGTGAGGATGAAAGGTTTGCCCTGAGCCCATAGCAGGTAACTGAGTAGTTGTAATTTTATTAACTTTTTTCAAAATTCTTAAAATTCCTAAGCTTAGCACATAAAGTCCTTTATGTAGGAACTGTTGCTTTCCAAGCCATTGGGAATCACTAACTACACACACACACAGCACACAGGTGCACATGCACACACAGCACACAGGTGCACACACATACACACACAGGTGCACATGCACAGCACACAGGTGCACACACATACGCAGGCACACGTGCACACAGCACAAAGGTGCACACACACACGCAGGCACACGTGCACACAGCACACAGGTGCACACACATAGGTACACATGCACACGCAGCACACAGGTGCACACACACATACACACACAGGTACACATGCACACACAGCACACAGGTGCACACACATACACACACAGAGGTGCACATGCACACACAGCACACAGGTGCACATGCACATAGCACACAGGTGCACACATACACATGCCTTCTTCATTCTCACGATTGGATCCCTCACTTCAGTTCTCCAAGGGCCTCTGCCCTGGCCATTCCCTGTGCCTTGAGTACCCTCTCCACTTCATTTGTTCAGCCAATCCCTGCCCTTTCACAAAGCCCAGCTTGGGCATCACCTTCTCTAAAAACGATTTCCTCATCCCCCAACCTCGGCTGGGTGGGGGCCTCCTCTGGGATTCCACAGCATCCATGCTTCCCTCCGTCCCGGCACATTGACCCATGTGGTCAGCCCCTCTGGCTACCCAGCAGAACTGTGACTGCCTCTGGGGCTTGGCCGAAGCTCTGTGGTCCCCAGCCCAGCACACCAGAGTAGCTGCTCAGTGAATACTAAGTGGACACAAAATTCCTCCACTTCCAAAAAAAAAAAAAGAAAAGAAGAAAAAGAACGAAAGAAAAAAATAATAATTCCTCCATTTTCTAAATAAAAAAAAATCCTCCATCTCCCGTCAATCAAACAGTGCTCTCTAACCCAGACATGCTGATCATTGCCTCTTCCACAGGTTTCAACGGAATCATGTACTTTCGCTGACCTGTGAGGCTGGCCCCAAATCCAGTGTCTCAGGTGCACCTGGGTGGGCTGCAAACTTGAAGTCTCTGAGTGCTTCAGGAAAATCCCACGAGAAAGGTGTGTGGTCCCTTCTCTTCTCACAGCCAGGGAAGGGCCAGGGGGCGGGGGGCAGCCAGGAGAGACCTATTTGGGGGACAAGTTGTTGCAAGGCGGACTTAGAGGGACCTCAGAACTCCCACCTGGGCCCGCTTGGTGTTCCGGCTTGGGTCCGGTTTCTCAAAGTTCCCAGGGGTTGGGGAGGAAGGAGGTGTTATTGTTTAGTGGGTGCAGAGCTCTGTTGAGGATCGTGTCAGTCCGGGGTTCTTCAGGGAAATGGAACCGATGGGAGACAGACGTGCACACGCACACACAGAGGGAGACGCACACACACACACACAGAGGGAGATAAACACACGCATGCACACACACAGAGGGAGATAAACACACGCGTGCACACACACAGAGGGAGATGTACACACATACGCGTGCACGCACACACAGAGGGAGACGCACACACACAGGGGGAGATGCACACACATGCTCACACACGCAGAGGGAGACGCACACATACGCACACACGCACAGAGGGAGATGGACACACACACAGGGAGATGCACACACACACACACACAGAGGGAGATGGACACACACAGAGGGAGAGGCACACACATGCTCACACACACACAGAGGGAGGCAGACACACGCGTACACACACACACAGAGGGAGACACACACACACAGGGAGATGGACACACACACAGAGGAAGGCATACACACGTGCACACACACAGAGGGAGACACACACACATACACACAGAGGGAGATGCATGCACACACACAGAGGGAGATGCACACACAGGGAGATGCACACTCACACACAGAGGGAGATGGACACACACACAGGGAGACGCACACACACGTTCACACACACAGAGGGAGGCGCGCACACACATGGAAACCCACACACACATGCACACACACACAGAGACGCACACACGTGCACACACACACAGAGGGAGATGCACACACACACACACAGAGGGAGGCACACACACACATGCACACACACAGAGGGAGAGGCACACACATGTGCACACACACAGAGGAAGACGTGCACATACACACACGTGCACACACACACGTGTGCGCACACACACAGAGATGACATTATTGTAAGGAGTTGGCTTTCTGGAGGCTGGCCAACCCACAGTCAGTAGAGTCAATGTTCCTGCTGGAGTCTGGGGCCAGGCGCTGCTGGAGAGCCATGGTGCGCCGGCCCCACTCACACAGCCAGGCAGGAGAGTGCCCTTTGCCCAGGGAGAGGTGGCCCTCTGTTCCGTGCAGGCCTTCGATGGGTCAGACGCGGCCCACGCACTAGGGGAGGGCGACCTCCTTTACTCAGTCTGCAGGTTCAAATGTGACCCTCATCTGAAAACACCCTCCCAGAAACAGCCAGAATAATGTTTGAACAAAACATTTGGACATCCCATGGCCCGGTCAAGTTGACACATAAAATGGACCAACACAGGGATAATGGAAAGGGCTTGGGGAGAGACAGTGGTGACGAGTACATGGCATGGTGAATGTCTTTAATGCTATTGCTTGTGAATTACAGTGATTAAATGATAAATATTATGTTAGGTATATATTACCACAATTGAGAAAATCACAAGGTAGATATTTAGAGATACCACATCTTACCAGATTTTCTTTTAACGGCTATGATTAGCAAACCCTTTCTGTGAGGTTCAGAACCAGGGTCGACAAACTTTGTAAAGGCCTAGGAGAATCTGTGTTTGCACTCTCTGCTGCACCTGCTCACCTCTGTCCAGGTGTCAGGAAAGCAGCCGAAGGTAACAAGTACAGGAAAACGTCATTTATGAACATGAAAATTTGAATTTCTTATCGTTTTCATGTGTCACAAAATATTTGTCTTCCTCTGATTCTTTTCAGCCTTTAAAAACATAAAAGCCTTTTTTAGATCACCTGTTATACAAAAGCAGACCAGATTCAGCCCGGGGGCTGTTGTTTCCCAACCCCCGATCTAGACAAAGAGCATCTGGGGCCAAGAACACCAAGGTGGGTGCCAACCACAAGCAAACGCAGCCCCAAGGGCTCAGCCAGGCCGGGGCATCCGGGCATCTGGAGTCCAGTCTCACTGCGTGTGCTGCTTAGGAGCAGAGCGCAGGCTTCCCAGGGCTGGGTGGGGATTGGCAGAGGACAAATAGGGGAGGCAGGCACCCAGGAGACCCAGAAATGCCAACCGCCAGGCTGCTCCAAGCAGGGGCACCCCAGCCACCCTGGGGCAGCAGGGCATCCACCCTCTCAACCTACACCCCCAGGTCCGCTCTGCCACCCCAGCAGCCCCACCTAAGCCCTGGCAGTTCCAGCTCCTGCTGGATCCTTGCCTGCTCCCACATCCAGGGAGACACCCTGCTAGAGGCCCACCCCTCCCAGGCCGGCTGCTCCAGAAAAGCCTGTGGGCAACAGACCACGAGGGACCGTTGGGGTTGCCTGGGACTGAGGACTGTCTCAGGGTCCATGACTTTCAGTGGTGCATCTGGTCACCCTCCATGCCACCCATATGGTCCCAAGGCCCCTGACTGGTCCAATCAGCAGAGGGAGGGGTGGGAATGGAGGGACAGAGGATGCCATCACCCAGTGCCCCTGCAGCCGGCATTGTGCCGGGCACACTTAGCAGCTCAAGAACTAGAAGGAACAGGGGAGGGGACCAGATGACTCTTCTCATTCAGATTCCCTTTTATAATGTGTGGTCTATGCACCCAACAGCAGACAACAGGGCAACCCACGCTGCAGGCGGCACAGGAAGAATCTCCCTGACAGACGCCAGCAAAAGAGCCCAGCCTGGGTGATTCTGTTTTCCCAAAGTACGAAAGAAACAGGCAAAGCCAGCCCCCAGTGTTACCTTCGGGGAGTCGCTGAGGGGTGCTTCGAATGGTCGAGCCGTGGTCCTGGCCCGGTGCTGGTCCCCCAGCGGTGCTTGGCCAGAGAGGTCACCCGCTGCGCACTAAGGGTCCATGCACCTCGCCGCGAGTTCCTGTGTGCACCGAAGCAAGTGCTTACAGAGGGAGAAGGTGCCTCCTTACGAAGCATCTCCTGCTTGGCTCTGTGTGACCTGCTAGCTAGCCTCTTGACCAACCTGGGCCAAGTATCTCCACCAGTCTGGCCAAGTGCTGCGCCCTGGGAGGGGAAGCTCCCCACTTGTGTTCAGAGTCCCCCAGGGGCAAGGCATTCTTACTCCTCATTTTACAGATGAGAAAACTAAGGCCAAAGAGGTGGTCAGTGGCCCAAAGTCACCCTGCGTGCCAAGATGCAACCCCCATCTGCCAGAGCTCCAAGCACTCTGTCTTCCCTCTCTGTAACATCCTTTCCTGTCTTGCAGGAAAAGGAGTTCCCATACCTGCCTTCCTGACCAGAAATCCCAAACTCACAGTCCAGACCCCAGACCTAGGGGGATCCCCCCTCCCCTGCTGGAGACGCTGCTGGCCAGGCATTTAGTCTGCAAATACCCTGACAAGACAGGTCATCAATGTGAAATTATCACCATCAGCAGGGCCAGGCGGCCTGGCCTCCCATTATGACCAAATGAATAACTCCGTTTAGAGAAGTCGTTTAGGGCGCTGCCCCAGACAATGACTCCTGTCAAAAGATTTACCGAAGCTCAGGGGCAATGTGGCGGGGAGGCCCCGTGGGCCTGGCCTCACAGTTTATCAGCTCATGCAGAAAACAAAGATTGCAGCGTGGACCATTTCGCCGCTGAAATTCATGCCTTTTGACCCCAAATGAAGAGATAATCCCGGGGCTTGTTTCCACTTGAGCTTGGAGATATTGTAAACAGCTGGCTCTGAAGCAGAACCTCACATTGGCCTTGGGTGGAAAACAAGTCATCAACCACACTGCTGGGGAAAGCGGTTCTTTACTTCATTTTACTACACTCCCTTGGAAGCACCCCCCAGGAGAATTCTATTTTTAAATTGAGTGCTTGGTAGAACTCTCGCTAAAGGAACATGCTGGAGGATGTGCTTCCTCCAATCCCCTACTGAAGACTGTAAGCTTAATCATGATGTATTTTCTCCTTGGCTACCAGGAAGCTCAAAAGCCAAGAAAAGCTTAAGTCCGTCAGCAAGGCTGGTCCTTTATATTATAACATGTGCATTATCCTTTACTTTCCTGTTGTGGATTCTATTTAGGTTTAATGATGTTTGTTTAAGTGCTTCATCGTGTAAACAGCTTCATATCCTTTGTTGAAAGAGGGAGGGCTGTGGGTAAATGATGGCGGGCTTCCAGGCAGGCAGAGTGGACAGCCAGAGGCAATAACAGGATTCGCCAAGGGACACCAGGTGGGAAGACCCATGCAAAGGCAGCTTGGGATGATCCACTTGCCCAGCATGAGAGGGGCACCTGGTTCTGCCCAGAAGCTCAGGAAATACCACGTGAATGCATGAATGTTGAATGGATAACTGAGCACTAAGCAAGTGGCCAGCAGACCCTGGACGCAGGCACCGTGCTCGGCCTCTGCTGCTTGGGGGTCCTCTCCTGACTTGTGAGGCCAGTCACCACCTCTCTCACAGTGAGATGGGGAGATGAAACCACAGCGGCGACCTGGCGTGTGCCCGGTGCATGGCGCAGCCTATGAGAGCTCCTCCACCTTCTCCTCCTTTCAGGGTGAGGTCATGTTTGACCAGCTTAAGTCAGGTGACAGATGCCAAGAAAGTGTGCATGCTGCAATTAGAAGCTGGAATGTTACAAAGGATGATAACAGCAGCTCCAGAGCATTTGCTGAACCCCAAGCGCTGTCCTATGCAACCCGTGTGGACTAACCCCTGTGATGCCCACACCCTCACAAGGTAGGAATTCTCATTGTCATTTTACAGATGACAAAATGGAGGTGTGGCAACTTTAAAACCTGTCTACAAATTCTTGGACCTTCTGGCATCGAGAGGCAGGTCACAGACCACACACACACACACACACACACACACACACACACGCACACGTATGCATACGTTGAAGCTGGCTGGCTGCGATTGTGACTCTTTTGTAGCCAATATCATGGCAGTGAGGTTAGTTGAGAAAATGTGGTGGTGCCAACAGTTCCGGTTTTTGTAGCCCAGGCACCAACCATGTGAGCAATGAGATAATCCCAGCCCCCAGGCATTAAGTCCCCCAGAGCCCCCAGTCTTCCAAGCAGGGGTCCCCCAGACTGTGTGGAGCAGACAAGTCATCCCCACTGGCTCCTTCCACAAAGAGGTTGTGGCTTTATTTCTAAGTTTGAGGTGGCTTTACATTGACAGGACAGAGATTTGGTGTCTGGGCAAATCCCAAGCATTAACTCTGGTCCTGGGCAGTGGATAGAAGCTAAAGGGGCCTTGAGAAGACTGCCAGTGAGGGCTTGAGGAAGACCAAGAAGAACGTCATTGGAAACCAGAGAAAAAGGGAGGTCAGTAACCCAAAGGAGGCCAATACTGCCATAAGCTACAACGTGGAAAGCAGGAAAAGGGTACCTAATTAACCCAGTGATGTAGCAAGCTTCTTCTGTAAAGGGCCAAATGGTAAATATTTTAGATATTGTGGAGAAGATGGTCTCTGCTGAAACTCCTCAAGTCTATAGTTGTAGCTCAAAAGCAGCCATCAACAATACACCAATAAATGGGCATGGCTGCACTCCAATAACCCTGTTTACAAAAACAGGCAGTAGGCTGGATTGCTCACCCCTGATCTAGCTAAGATGTCCAGGAAAATATATTGAAAGTGCCAG